>NC_000011.10:119596667-119899697 GCF_000001405.40 Homo sapiens | reverse complement strand
TAAGCCCCACATGCATTAGGTATTTGTCCTAATGCTCTCTCTCCCCTTGCCCCCCACCCCCTGACAGGCCCCAGTGTGTGATGTTTCCCTCCCTGTGTCCGTGTGTTCTCACTGCTCAATCCCCACTTATGAGTGAGAACATAATGCCTGAAATTCTTAAAAAAGACCTGTGGACTTTAGCAGGGGCACACATGATTTCTGCCTCCAGGTGGAAGAAGATACTTTCCCAGAACTCACCATTACCCAAAAGTGGGCCTCAGAGTCATGCATTACAAACTCAGGGGATACCGTGGGAGCCACAGTGATTAACTTTGGCACTTCAGAATATTCCTGCCATTGGACACCAGGTGATGACCTGAAAAACCTAAACCTTCATGTTCATCCAAATCTGTGAATCACTTCTGAAGCTGTCACTTTATTTCCAGCAAATAGCTCTGCAATTCTCTAAAATAGGGGATTCTACTGAGCCGAGGGCATTTCATCGATGGGAAATGAGCACAGTCTCCAGTTGTCATCTGCTCAATCCTCCTGTCCCGATGGAACATGAATGTCTACATGTCCTAGAACAAATCAGCAATGTTTTCCCCCTGCAGCTTCAAGTTCTCTGTGTTCAGATTTCTTCAGGAAGAAAATAATGTAATGAATCACAGGGAATCCAACACATTGGGTGAGAAAGCATTTGAATGAGTTTCTTTGACAAGTGTTCACCACCCAGCAATGGGATGGGCACAAGGACGAAGGAAATAAACCATCAGAGAATGTCCCCCTTACATCATGCGATCAACCTGTCTTGCGAAGTTTGCAACCCAGACTCTTCAGATGATGCATACTTTTTAAATTCGAATAAACTGTTAAAACTTCCTTTGTCTCTCTTTTCCTGCAGGTATACCATCAGAGAAAGAATGTTGATTTTCGCCTATCCACAAAGCTTGGCAAGCTCTTTACTGGTAGGGGATAAGGTCTTACTAGACTAAGTACATGAAATCATTAAGTAAAACAAAATGTTTCATTAAAAATGTCAAGTGGGCAGCTTAAGGTCAAGTGAGACAGATTTGGCCTAAAGGCTTTATGTTGTTGTGTACACTTACAGAAAAGAATCCATAAAAAGAGCTCAACTGGGAAGTTGAAAACACGTGTAACATAGATTACAAATTTCAAGGGGCCACAGTGTAAATTTCCTTAAGTTTATTCTATTTCTTTCAGGCCCTACACACAGGCATTGGGACCAACACTTCTTTTTATGCCTGACCCAATCTCAGCAAACATTAAGGGACCCCTGGGCACCAGTCACTATGCTTGGAACTTCCCTTTAATCTGCATACAGCCCTCTGAGATAGAGGTTATTAACCCCAATTTTATTGATGAATAAATAGTCTTATAAAGGTTAAGGGGCATTCAAGCCTCACTACCAGCATCTTTGCCTTTAAACCTCAGCTGCCTCTTAGTGTTTAGAAGGTGGGTAAAAATAGAAAAAATAAACCTCAGCTGCCTCCTATCACTGCCAGCTGGAGCTGGGACTGTTTAGATACAGCCTTGGGGAAACAATTTCCTTAGAGCATAGTTCTCAAACTTCAGGATGCCTACTTGAGAAACATTACAAAAAAAAAAAAAACAGATTTGGGGTTTCCGCAACTGATTCATCAGGACTGAAGATGAGGGCTGGTCGTCTGCATTTTCAGAAGCACCCCCCGTGGCTAAGTTGCAGGTGGCCCACCAAAGACCGCACTTTGACCTCCTCTGGCAGGACATCTTCTGCAATCACTCCTCTGCCTCCAGGCAGACACACCATACATACCAGCCCATCTTTGAAGAGAATGCTAGATTTTAGAAGCTCTTCCCAGGATCTTCTGGTCTGGTACAGGAACCTGGAGGCAGTCCTCACCACTTCCGAGGCCGAGCAAGGGAGAGGCAGGAAAGAAAGAGTGAGCAGGGCTTCTCTGCTCCTTCCAGGGCCAGCCCCCCAGCAGGAGTGACCTTTGCAAGCCTCACTTGTCAAATAGCTGATTCCCACCCTCTCTGCTGCTCATGGGGGCCGGAGCGGAGCGGCTCAGTGCTCCTCAGCAAGAAGGGTTCTGGCAACAATCCTCTAAGAAGGAGAGTTTACGGTTCTGTCTCTGACATTATAAAATTAATATACTTCTGAAGAGAGCAGGAGAGGACTTTCGGGGTAAATGTCTTTTTCTTTTTCCCCCCAGGGTAAAGGCCACTTAGCTCAAATTCAGTCAGCTGGCTCCATGGGACCTCGAAGTGTTTGGGGCTTAACTGTACAGGAAGAGAATGTTGTATACACAGCCCTGCTGCATTTTCTCACAATGGGTTCTAGCTCTTCCCTTGAGGCCTTGGGAAAGAACTGCTGGAGTCCTTTATGGCCAGGAATCCACCCTCTCCCAGCCAAGCTCTCCTTGCCTCCACAGCACATAGGAACTCATTTACTCATTCATCTCTCCAGCCAACCATTCCCCCACCATCCTTCCATTCTGCATGTAGCCAACCAACCTGCCAGCCAACATAGTTCTCACGCTTTCATTCATCAAATGTTTATCGAGCCCCTTCAGTGTACCAGGCTCACTGTTACAAAGCCAGAATCTGGAGCCATTGCTGTCTCTATGTGTGTGTGGACTCCAGTGGTTCTCAAACTTGGCTGAAGATTAATGTGGCCTGGAGCCTTTTAAAATCTCAGTCCTATTCATCGTGTTGGGGACACACAGATGAATAGGACTCCTCGCCATTAAGGAGATTACATCTCAGAAATTTTGCTTCAAAGGTAGAGGGAGACCAGATATTAAAGCTATGGTTGAGATTTTATTCTCTTGCCCAACTATCAAACTCCTACTTACCTGTCAAAACCCAACTCTAATATGCTCAGCCTCCAAAACTCCTCCCCATTCACCCCAGGAGATTAGATATTTCCCGAGTGTCTTACTGTGTTTGTTCATGACTTGATTCCAGCCTTGTTGTTGCTATTTGTATCTGTCTCCGGTGAGGGCAGCAACCAGTCTTTCTTAAGTGTATTTCTCGTGCTGAGCCCATGCCTGCTGGCCAGCGGTTTAGTGGCTTTCTAACTTTTGTGAACCTAAGAATCACCTGGGAAACTTGTTAAAACACTGACCCCCACCCCGCGCCACCTGCCAGCTCCACCCCCATGTGGTCTGACTCAATAGGTCTGAGACTGAGGCTTAGGAATTTGCATTTTTAGTAAGTTTCTTGGGTAAATCTGATATAGGTTCTCTGCAGAACACACTTTGATAACTATTATGCCAGTGACTCCATAAAAGTTTTTTGAATGAATGAATAAATAAAAACCAAGGAATTAAAGGTCAACAAAAAGTCTTGGAATTTAGTAAGGTCTGTGGATTGCATCCATGTTAACTTCCTAGTTTTGATATCAAATATAGTTATATGAAATGTTACCACTGGGAGAGGGTATGTGGGGCCTCTTCTTACTATTTTTGTAACTTCCTGTGTATCTATAATTGTTTCAAAGTAAAAAGTTAAGAAGTCTGTGGTTTTCCCAGGCCTCAAGGATGTAGAGTGGTAAGTTGCTTCAGACCACTGATGAACGGACCTTTAACTCCACCCTCTAGAGACATCAGCCCACAGCTGAGTACAATTAATCATAGACTTAATTATCATGAAGGAATTCTCTACTATACCTTTCATTCTTTGCCTAATTTCTCAATATCTTCCCAAATAATCTTATAATAAATATTTTCTTTTGATGTAAGCTATGTTAAAACTATTTGGGGAAGTTGAGGACAGCATTTGAGACGATGGAGACACCGTTACAAAGCCAGAATCTGGGGCCATTGCTGTCTCTATGTGCATGTGGACTCCAGGGTTCTCAAACTTGGCTGAAGATTAAAAATCTTTAAAAAATTTTAGATCGGAGCCTTTAAAAATCTCAGTGCCCAGGCCACACCTCATTCCAATCAAAATGAGAATTTCTGGGTAGGACTCCAGGCATTAGGGTTCTGGAAAGCTCCCGGGTGATTCCAACCAGTGGCGCAGGTTGTTGGCCTGTGAGCACCCCTGTGGGCCTGCGCAGGAGGAGGGAAACTGTAGTTCCTTCTGAACTGCTGCCTCTAAACTCAGCTCAGAAAGACTCACAACACTATTCGAGGCAGGACCAGCCCTGTGATCTCTTCTCTGCCATTCTCCTTCCTCCAAGCCAAGACCTGGAGGCAGGAAGGACTCCCGCTTGCCTTCCTGTGGAAGCCTTCGTTGGGTCCACAGTGCTTTCCACATGTGCAGGGACCTTCTTGTCTGTGGGGCTGAAAGGCCCCTTTCATAGAGAATGGACACTTCGTACGGTCTGGAGGGCCCTCAGTGACCCTTGGAAGTTCACCAGGGCTGGCTGGCTCATCGACAGGTGGGCTCCCAGTGTCTGTCCTGGTCAGGAAATACTTTCAGGAGAGAGTCTATCAGACCCATGCTGGAGTTTTGCCAGGGTGAAGGGGCTACATTGAGGACCCTTACGGTAGAAAAGGGGCTGGTGCCCAGCTCTGGGGGCAGAGCACCAGGTAAGGGCTAGTGGAGCCCTATCTGGTCATAGAAGGGGTGCAGGATCTCTTTGGGAGCATCTGTCACCCACTGATGACGTGGTCCTGTGCGTCCCATGGAGAGGGCAGGTTTTCAGGTCCTGGGGATTCTGAAGCATGGTCCATGGTGCCTGGAGGTTACAGACAGCCCAGTTCTCTCTGTAGTGCCTGAGGGCTCTCCACCATCACCCTACCCCACAAGGGTCGGGGTGGGGCTGGGAAGGACCAGTGCTGACACTCTGCAGACTGCCACATAGGACGAGACGGAGTACCCGTGACCAGAGGATACCCTCCACTCAGGGTGGTGCAGCCCCCTGGAGGCCCCGTTAGAGAGGGCCTAGTTGTCTAACCAGGCTGCGTCCACTGCTAGCTGATCAAGGGCTTCTAATGAGCTCTGGGCTCCCCAGGCTCACCTGGAGACAAATAACCGGCTTGGCTTCATGGTCCTCTTGGCCATCCCTACCCACACCTGCCTGCTCACCTCAGCTTCTTTCTCCTTTCCGCTCACCTCTGGTTTGTCAAAAACTTGTAGATCAAGCTGAGAGACAAAGCCCTCACATTGATTCACTGAACCTTACGACTGCTTTGAGTAGAAATGTGAGACTAGGTGCAGTGGCTTATGCCTGTAATCCCAGCACTTTGGGAGGCCGAGGTGGGTGAATCACTTGAGGTCAGGAGTTTGAGACCAGCCCGGCCAACATGGTGAAATCCCCATCTCTACTCAAAATATAGAACTTAGCCAGGTGTGGTGGTGGGCACCTGTAATCACAGCTCCATAGGAGGCTGAGGCAGGAGAATCACGTGAACCTAGGAAGTGGAGGTTGTAGTGAGCTGAGATCGTGCCACTGCTGCACTCCTGCCTGGATGACAAAGTGAGACTCTGTCTCAAGAAAAAAAAAAAAAAGTGAATTTTCCAGATGATCCAAACAGGAAAGGCAAATTTTAATTTTGGGTCTAGCCACTGTAGTAGCCATTATTTAACCTATTTTAGCCACTGCATTGTACACATTAAATCCCCCCAACTCCCCATTTTACAGGTGAGGAAAGTGAGGTCCCAGTACATACAAACATTGACTTGACTCAAGAGCCCACACATGTCATTGCTGTGTTCTGTGTGACCTCCAGGATCCTTCACACTAAGACCTAGAGGTCACTCTCATTGCCCCTGGAAGGGACCAGAACCCCTGTCCCTGGGAAATGGAGGACAGACTTCTGTAGTTGGTTGGATCAACACTGTCCACTGAGAAACAGGACACCTAGAAGCAGGAGATCGGGGGAAGAGAAGCCTTGGCAATGCCCTTTTTGACCCGCTGGATGAAAATGGCCTAGTGGGCTGAACCCCGGTTTGGGCAGGAAGGCGAGATTTGTAGGCCCAAGCCGGCTCCCATCTCTGAGGCTCTCCCCAGCCTGCTGGGACATTTGAGGAGGAGGCTAATGTCAAAGATGGAGTGGCCCAATTTCTGTTCAAATCTGATATGGGGAGCCAGGAGGAGGGGGACGAAGGTGTGAGGAGAGGGTGGGCCCACTTCTCCAGCCGCAGCTTCCCTAGATGAAGCAGAGCAGAGAATCCCCAACTCTGGTCTCACACGCTGGGTGACTGAATTTGAGATAAGCATCTCATGGTGTCCCTCTGTTAACATCTTCTACATCGTACTTGTATCCCATCTTCACTTACTAGCTGTGTGATTTGGGGCAATTTCTGTTTGTCAGTTTCTCCATCTGTGAAACAGGTATAATAACAGTATCCAGCACCCAGGGTCGTAGTGAGGCTTAAACAGTTAAATGTGTGTAAAATACCCAGCACAGTGCCTGGCACACAGGCAGTACTCGGTCAGTGTTAGCTAGTAGTAACAGGTCTCTTCTGAGACAGAGTAATTTCTTTTTCCATAAGCGACACTTTGGATAGATCAGAGAACTTTCTTGCCTGTTACACAGGCTAAGACACGTAAGATTATTCTACAAAGAAAACAGAAGCATCTCCTTCCTGGGACCCTTGTAGAAACTATTGTGTTTCAGGCAAAAATGATAATAAACATGTGTTGAGGGCCTACTGTGTGGTGGGCACTTCTGTGTGCGTCATCTCATGGAGCCCTGCTAGCCCTCTGCAGGTGTTTTCCTTTTATAGAAAAGGAAGCCCAGGCTCAGAGGAGGTTAAGTGCCTTGCCCCAGTTACAACTATGGTCCGAGCCTCCTCGCCCCTGCCTGCACCCGGCGACAGAAGATGGACAGACAGTATGACCTTCAGAAAACCTCTGTAACCCGAGGAGTCTCACCTGGGCTTGCTCAAGCCATCAGCAAAATGGAGATCTGAAAATAATCATGCTCCATTCAGAGTGTTTCTCTTCTCTCTCAGTAATACATTCTCCCGACATCCAGCAGAGCAGGGGGGTGGCCGGCCCAGGGCACTGACTGACATCTCTGAGCAGAGCTTTTCAGTGGACGGAGCGCAGACGGCATTGCGTCTGCAGAGGCCCGCGGGCAGGGTGATTGCTGGGCTCCCGCAAGAACAGGCGGTCCTTGGAGGCTTTTGACTCACACTTTGTAAATTGGTTTCATGCATGGGCTAACAGTGGGGGCCTGGCTAGATAATAGGATTTTCCAACACAGCTCTTTCCCCCTCATCTGCAGCCACCCAAATCTCCGTGCAGAGTGCCTGGAGGGGACGTGATGTGCTTGGCAGGGAGCGCCACGTCAGGCTCCACAGTCCTGGTTGGGGTGATGCGTGTCTAAGAGGCCATGGTTCAGAGCAGTGTCGGAGAGCAGCTTATGTGCTCCACAAGTAAGGATGGGGGGTGTCCCAGGCAGGCACCCACAGCCAAACCTTTCCATGGTGGGTGGGTGTGTGGGGGTTCTCAGGAAGTGCCAGGTCCTCAGGAAGCAGCCTGTGGGGCCAGGCTACTGCTCACGGCTGACTGCAGGGTACCACCAGCCTCGACTGTCCACAGCAAGTCCCTCCATGCCCAATCTGACCCAGAGGGAGGCACATCAGAGCCCAGAAGCCCAAGCAGCCCAAGGGCAACCATATCCCAGAAGCAGACATTCGTGAAAGTGTTGCTGGAGAAGCGTTCTCAGGAGAAATGGGGAGAAGGAAGGAAATAAGGATGTGGTCTGGGCCCGAGATCAGCTTCAGTCTCAATCCACCGGGAGCTTAGGAGCACAAATGATACCACAAGGTCAGGCTCACCTTGAGGCAAGGGGCCCGGTCTTTTTTCCCTACTGTCTGTTAGTCGGTCATCAGCTGTTGGCTTAGGGCAAGGGAACTGAGAAGGCATGTAGCTAGCCTCTGATGGCAGGCAGCTCCTACTCAGCTCAGGTGAATTATCCAGAGAAGGGGCAGCTGGGGGCTTTAGTGGCCAACACACACAGGGGCTGGGGGATGGGCTGCACCCATCCAGCAAAGGGGACTTGGGGGGGTACCAACATCCCTGCACCATGCCCATGGGAGTACAGCCAGGGCACAGCTCAGCTGGAATGCTGTCAAGAGCAGCCTGGTGATTCTGACTTGTAGAAAGCTAGAGGGCCGACGTGCCAGACAGCTGTACAATGGGCAGTGTCTGTGACAGCCTCAGCCATCCCCCAACACCCTTACGCTGACACTACAAAGCCAGTGATTCTCAAATCTGCCCTCTTATCTTTTCCCAGCAGGGCCACAGGGCTGCAAGTTTCATCAAGGGCAGCATCTGGGAGCCTCTGCCCAGGGCCCCTGAAGCCAGGGCCAGCCCCATCTGCACGAAGGCACACAGACACCTATCAGAGTTAGTCTGTGACGATCCAAAGCCTCCTACCCAAGAGCCTTTAATACAAGTTTGCTGCTGAAACACAAATATCCGCCTTCGATGCGGAAGAGAGATTAAATTAGGAACAATCTTAATTCTTTCTGGCAGAGGGAAGCGAGCGAGAGCTGTCAGTTCCCCAGTGATAGATTGTTAAGGAAATCCAGGTTTAAAGGCATTTCATAAGTTTGCTTTTGCCTGCTAATAAAGAGAGTCAGCTAACGGAATCCGATCACCAGGCGAGATCGTAATGAGATAATGCAATGTGTTCCACAGAGACCCAGCCAGCTCCTTGAAATTCCTCCGAGAGAGTTTCTGAAGTACCACGTTGTGACAAGGAAGGAAAAGTAAGAGGAAAAGAGAGAAGGGGAAATGGGCATAATTAGCCAAGTAGATTAGGTGATTCAACAAAGGTCATACGGTCTCAGCAGGCTGAGGGGCTGTGATATTTATCACCTACCTCCCACCTGCTTCTTGGTCTCCTGGCCTGCGTGCTTTCTCAGTGAGACGAGCAAGCTCAGACTCATGTTCCTGGAATATGCAGAGATTGGAGGCCTGATCACAAGCAAGGTGCCTGGAGTCCTCACCTGGTAGCTGGGAGTGGGCCTCAGCGGAGTCTCTTCCAATACCCCAAGGGTTTGAGGGAAGGGGCTGTGTTCTGAGGGACCCTCAGCCTAGGCTTGAGGTCACTCAGCCCCACGTCCAGCTGGCTGTCAGCTGCGCACTGAGTGTTCAGGTTGGGTGGCTGCGATAGCTTGGGCTCTGCTTTAAAGGTGTTTGGCCCCTGCCCTGGGGGTTGTTCTGGGGCTGAATTACACCCTGGGTTTATGCCGTGGTCTGGGCTGGGCTAACTCTGTGTGTTCACCTGGACATCAATGGTCAACCTATTTGGCAAACCAGAAAAGCAGACTCATCCACATGCAAAGAAAATGTAATTCCGGGCTTAAGGCAATAAAATAAACTTCCAAACTCCTATTTACTATTTCAGCAAGCTCAGCCCCCACACCCACTCGGCTCTTGTCACCACCCTTGTAGGCATGGACCACCTTTTTTTGTTCTAAAGGACTTTGAGAATCTGAAGGCTATGAAAACCTCTTTCCAGAAAAAGTGCAGATACACATAGACACCAAGTTGTCATGTAATTTTAGGGGCTTACAGATCCTGATCCTGAATCCTAGCTTTCAAAACTCTGGAGAGGAGGGGGTGATCCTCTCTTTGGTGCACCCTGTGCAGACAGATGCAGCCCAGGCAGGAGGCCGTCTGGAGCTGGTCCGGCCCTAGAGACAGGGAGGGCAGTTGCATTTCCTGTACTGCCCAGATTGTGTTTCCAGGCCTCTGGGTATCTGGGGTGAAAGAGAAGCCAGTGGCCAGCAGGGCAAACAGTGGTGACCGTGGAGGCAAGAAGTGAAGGCCAGGGATGGTGACTCGCAGGTGCAGGTGGCAGCCCACATGATTGTCTCTTATCTTGTGGGATCTGTCACCCCCCCTCTGTTCCCTAAATGGCCCAGTAGATGGTCCCTTGGAAGGAAAAGGGCTTTTGTACATGCTTGGAAGGCAGCACAGAGTAGGTGCTGGGAGACCAAGTCCTCTGCTATAGCCAGAGGGAGAAAACCCCAAGGGACAGAATGGTGCTGGCTACATGGGAGAGGTAGAGGTAACTGAGGCTCTGGAGCCTGGAAGGACTCCCAGAGGGAGGATGGGTATGGGGTATTGGAGACTGCTCACTTCCTGCCCGGGGACTGGAGGGACTCTGAGCTGACTGTATCCATAAGTTTAGACACAGCCGTTGGCGTTGCTGCCTAAAAGGGGCTTCTTTCTCTCAGTGATCACTAATGTATCGTGTCCCTGTAATTGTGTATTGTATTTTGGCGTTGGTGCATCCAGAGGAGATTGGAAATCCAGATCGAACCCTCTGTCCCTGGCAGGACATCCATCACACACTGAGGGGACTGGGTAAGGTGAGGGAAAGGGGCAGAAAGTCAGGGGGTGCTCAGATGCAACCAGAAAAAAGTGGGGAGCCAAGCAGGGGAGGATTTTCTCTGGATCTCGGAAACCTTTGTGGCCCAGTGCCCGGCTAGCAATGCTTACACTGCTCATGTGTCTGGACTTGCAGAGAGGATCAGGGTGTGGGGAATGGGGGCCCTGGCATCCCAGGGGCCTAGACTTGTCTCTCAGTCATTCAATGACGAGCATTACTTGGGTACCATCTTATGCCAGATACTGTTCTAGGCACTGGGGATACCACAGGAAACAAAATAGACCACGTTCTTGGAGTAGGTATGCTAGTGGAGAGGCTCAGGCATGGATCCTGGTCTGCACATGTGGGGACCAGATGCCCCACCATCACCAGATAAGCTCCCCAGCCTCCCGCTCTTGCAGGGTGATAGGATAGACCCTTCCTCAAAATGGATCAGGGGAAGAGCTACAGGGCCTCTGGCCCCCATCCTCCCACCTCCATCTCCTTGAGCTAAGAAGACAGACATCAGGGTCCATCTCCTTCCACCACCCACCTCACCAGGGTCTGGGTCTGGCTCTGGCAGGACTCGCTGAATGGGCTGTGGCTTGTCACTTCCCTCTCTGCTCCTTGGCATTCTTAACTCTAAGATGAGGCTAATGACACCAGCTCCAGGTGTCATCACATCACCAGAATTCTATTAGGACCATGGAACCCACAAAAAGTCTGGTCGGAGAAGAGACTTCAGGAATCCTTGAGCCCAATGGCCTCATTTATATAAGAATAAACCAAGGTCCGCAGTGGCTCCTACTGAGATCTTGTCTTAGAACGCTCCTGATGGATGAGAGGCTCTTTGTAAACATGAGGGGTTGTTTTGCTACTTTTGCTATTTTTCATTTGAGGTCCACTGGCTGGCCTCCCACGGCCCAAGCAGAGAAAGGAGGCATGAGCCAAGAGTCCCCTGTGGGTCCCCAAGTCCTTCATTTGTCCTCAAAGACCTTGTTGGCCTCAGGCCCCATGGAGCTCCCCCTGCTGTGACTTCCCAGTCCCTCTAAGAGGACGGAAGCTGTTTATTGCTTTCTTGCATGGTAGGGGAGGCTGGAGTTATAGGCTAATTAAACCACAGACAGATTCCTCAGCAGTTGGCTGGGACCATAAGTGCTGTTACAACAGTAAAAGGCCAGAGATGACAGATGGAGCTTTTCCAGGATTATGTCACCACCGACCCCGAACATGGCCTCCACTGCACCCCTCAGCTTCAGGGCCATGCTCCATAGGGTGATTGCTCTGCACCAGGGAAGTCTATAGACGATTAGGGGAAAAAGCAAAAACAAAAGACAGGAGTGGAACGGGCTTAACCCAAACGCAGTGTCAAGAAGTAGCAACCTGACCACACTGTGGTATCCCTGAAAGAATAGGAACCTGTCCAAGATTCTTCTCAAAGGGAGAGCAGGGATGTTCTTCCCAAAGTCGAACTGAAATCCCTTCTGCTGCCAAGACAGCAAAGGGATGGGGACAAGGAAGATGATTTGCCAAGATACAGACACCAAGAGCTGGGGAAGGGTCCTCCATGATAATCAAAAGCTACCCTGGGGCATGTCCTGATGGATCCCTGACAGTTGCCCCAGTCAGGGTTCCTGCCTGTTGCACTGCCTTCAACCCACCTTTTTCAGGAAGTTGACCTCGATGAGATTAAGCCAAAATCTTGACTTTGTTTTCTAGGCTACCCACAATCGATGAGCTGGAGGGAGGGAGGAAGAGAAAGGCAAGGAAATGATCTCACCATTAGAAATAACCTTCAGGGGAAAGTCTTCATCTGGTTATGGAGTCAGCCAGGTTGGCTCTGGGTCCCCTCTCTGCTGGTGCCCAGTGGCATTGGCTTGGACAGTTCATGTAACCATCCCTGGGCTTCTGGTTCCTCCACTGTAATAAAAACAGCTGAATGTTCCTCTCTTGTGAGTATACTGTGAAGCTCCAGAGAGATCATGCATTTACAACTGCAAAGTGCTCGGTAGAGATGAATTGTGGTTTTTCAGCCACTCATCGGAGAACACAGGCTCCACGAGGAGCTAGAACCTTCTTTACCCTGGAGAAGAAATCCCCTCTTTCCTTGATAATGAATTCCTTGGAGCTCGCAGAATGAGAAAAGCCACGCTAAAGTCTAATCTCACACCCAGCTGTGGCCAGGTTGCTGAAGGGACAGACCCAAACAGCAACTGTGAGACGGAGGAGCTGGAGCTCAGAAGAGGCCCGGCTCCCACCTCCCTCCAGCTGGGAAGATGGTACAAATTTGGCCAGTCCATTCCTCTGTTTCCCAGCTGCCCGTGTTCCTCAAAACCTACAAGGTCACTCGGCCCAGCTGGAGTTCTAGCTGGAGCACTGACATGATGAGATCTGACAGCGCTTTCTCCCGCCGCCAGCCCAGGGCATGGACGGAGGCTGCAGGCTGCTGGTAGAGTGGGGAGGAGTAGCTGTGTCTCGGCCTGGGCATGGCCTGGGGAGGCCAGGAGGACCAGAGGTGCTAAATGACAGAAAAGCTGAGGAGCAGGTTTGTAGGAAGTCCCCCGGCACTCCCCTGCCCACCTCCCACCTGGCACCCTCACCACACACCTCATGCTCTAAGACCAGCCCCAGTGTTCAGGAGCCACCAGCACTGGGGTTGTCTGATTGGGTCACCCCATGGATGGCAGCCCTGCAGGAAATGGGTGAGGACAAAGAGGGGCATCTGTGATCTGCAGATGCTTACGTTTGCCATAGGGCTGGGGTCCCCAACTGAGAGCTCATCTCCCAGGTCATGTCTTTTGACAGACCCTTTCTGTTCTCCTAGTTGGGAAGAAGAGGAATGAACACTTGGAAAGCCCCTGCTTTGTAATGGACTGCGCCAGCCACGTAAGCTCCCTTATTCATCCATGGTGGCAGACAGGGACCCTAGGGGACAATGACACACTCACACCCCACACTATGAAGAGAGTTTAGAAATGTTTACAAAGGTGTGGGTGGAGTCTAAGGAAACCAGCCAAAGGTAGTGTCATGTCCTTGCCTGGCAACAGCAGGGCCCTTACCCCCCCACCGTGGGCCTGGAGGGGCAAGAGAAGGAGCAGGTACTGCCCCTGCAGAGACCAGCAGGGGAGGTCTCTGGGGAGGGCTGGGGAGCCTGGGGAGGGCTGTCTGATCCAGGGATGCAGCCTGCTTATGAGGACCCTGCAGGGAAAGAATTAGGGAAATAAATCCCCAATTTTCCTGTTTTTCTCTCCCCCATGTTCTGCTGGTGCTACCCACTGGCCTGACACAGACAGAAGCCAGAGAGCAAGGGAGCTCACTGATGCCATCCAGCTGGGGAAGCCTTGGGTGTGGGGCCAGGGGCAGAGCAGGTAGAGAGTAGACCTAGAGAGGTAG
Organism: Homo sapiens; assembly: GCF_000001405.40. Taxonomy (NCBI): domain Eukaryota; kingdom Metazoa; phylum Chordata; class Mammalia; order Primates; family Hominidae; genus Homo; species Homo sapiens. Next base: position 119,886,036 of record NC_000011.10, on the reverse strand, counting down.
GCAGCAGGTGGCCAACATGCAGGAGATAGGAGTGACTCCTTTTACAAGTGCCCAAAGTCAACAGCTGATGACGAAGCCAATTTTTATGGCCATGCTCTTACTAATGTCTTCTGTCAAATCACTTATCTCCAAGAAAGTAAGACAGGAGGTAAAAGAGGACAGGTCGTAGGGTCTGTGTAACCCACTCAATCCAAGCTTCCAGCTCCAGCAGCTCCCTAGCCTCTGGTACTCTGAAAGTCCCTCAGGTCTACAGTGTGGACAGATTCTAGCCCAGCTTGGCCATCAACTGGCTCCTGACCTTAAGAAATGCCTTAGGCTCTCTGGACTTCAGTTTTCGCATTTGTGGGGAAAAAAAGTAACAAAATGGTCAAAAATAATTATCTCTCTGTTTTCATTACAAACAATTTTAAAGTTAAGTATTCACATGTACACACAAATGACATTGTTTGGCATAAAAGTCAACCCATAAATGCAAGAGAAAAATTGTTCTTTAATTCAACAAATTCTTATTGAACAACCTACAAAGTACAGCCATTGTTCCTGGTGCTGGGGACACGACAGCACACAAAATAGGCAGGTGTCTACATTCATGGAGGTTCTGGTCTAGTTGGAGGAGACAGACAGTGACAAACGAATACACAGTAATGTCAAGTGGAGATAAGTGGTTTGGGGAAAAGAACAGGACGACAGCAGGGCCCCTCCCTCACTGTGGGCCTGGAGGAGCAAGAGAAGGAGCAGGTACTGGCCCTGCAAGAGCCCAGCTGCCTGCGGATAGCTGTCTGATAGGAGCTGTGGCACGTAGGGAGTGCTGGAAGTGAGGATTACAGTTGTATGTAGGGTGGTTGGGGAAGACCTTCAGATGAGTTTTTTTTTTTTTTTCTTTTTTTTAAGACAGGGTCTTGCTCTGTCCCAGGCTGGAGTGCGGTGGTGCAATCATGGCTGACTGCAGCCTTGAATTCCTGGGCTCAAGCAATCCTCCTGCCTCAGCCTCCCAAGTAGCTAGAACCACAGGTATGCACCACTATGCCTGTCTAATTATTATTATTTTTGTAGAGACGAGGATCTCCCTGTGTTGCCCAGGCTGGTCTCAAACTCATGGCCTCAAACTTGGCCTCCCAAAGTGCTGGGATTACAGGTGTATCAGAAATCTTTTGCACAAAGGCCTGAAGGAATAGAGACATGCAGAGATCCCGGGAGAGGAAACAGCAAGTGCAAAGGCCCCGAGGCTGAGGCACACCGGGCATGTCTGAGAAGAGGCATGGAGGGATGCATGGACAGAAAAGAGTGGCCCAGATGCAGGGAGTAGGAACCACACCTCCATGCTAATAAGCAGAATGAAAGTGAGGGCGGAAGTTGGAAGCACTGTTAGAAGCTACTGCAGTAGCTGAGGGAAGAGGTGATAGCTTGGACCAGCTGGAGGTCCTGAGGGGTCAGACACTGGCCATCTATTGAAAGGGAAACTAGAGGATTTGTTGATGGGGTGGATGTGAGATATGAAAGACAAAGAGAAGAGGAGTTAAGACTGATTCCAAGGCTGCAGGTCCTGAGCAACTAAGGATGGTGTTGTGGCTTACGGAGCTGGGAAAGATAGCGGGTGGAGCAGCTTTGAGAGGGGAAAGTAGGAATGCTGTCTTGGATGTGCTGAGTAGGTATGCATGGTCTGGAATTTGGGAGCAAGGACTGGGCTGAGTGAGGCATCTGGGAGCTGTAGGCATTTAGATGGTATGAAAGCCACAGGTCTGGGGGACACCAACTGGGATTGGGGAGAGAGAGGAGAGGAGAGGAGGCAGAGGCCTGAGCCACGATGGGGGCTGGGTCAGGGGCCAGCCTAAGGGACTGAGAAGCAGTGACCAGTAAGGCAGAAGAACCAGACAAGGAAGGCCCAAAAACAAAACCACAGACTCATCCCCCATTTGAATACAGCTGCCCAGATCCACATGAGAATAGTAGCATAATAGAATAAGCAATGCATTAAAAGAACAGAATCTCATAAGCAGTTTGTAAATGTAGATCTAGGAGCTGCCATGGCTTTTTTGCCACCATGAGGGAAGCCCACCTGAGGGGGAGGCTGATGTAAAGAGAGGGCGCCGGCTGGGCAGGAAACTTGGAGGGTTCGCCAGGGATTACTTTATCCCAGTAACACAGGCTAATTCAACATTATAATATATATTAAAATAGGCCACTGGATGATAAAGGAAAATTCTATATGGTTATGTCACTACACATCAAGAAACATTTGATAAAATTCTATATACTTTTCCTGTTTTAAAAGATGCCTCAACAAAGCAGGAAGGAAAATTAAGCTGTCTTAATTATATAACATTCAGAAAAACCTTGGAAACATTTCCCATTCTGTCTGGAAACAATATAGCGATGCCCCTCCTATCCAGCACGATTTAAGAGAAGAAAAAGAAGAATGGAAGAGAAAACTATTATTTTCAGATTATATGATCATCTTCTATGAAATCCAGCGGAAAGAAATGACAGACTGTTAGATAATAAGATTCCAGCGCAGTGGTAGAGTTAACAGAGCAACAACCAAAACTCAAAGCTTCCCTCCATGCCACCAATTAAAAATAGATACATTCAAACGTAAAAAAAGAACAAATAATAACAACAAATGCCTTTAAGGTCCCAAGGAATAAACCCAATAAAATATGAACGAAACTTTTATAGAAAAACTATAAAACTCTACTGAGTATCACATAAGAGGATCTAAATAAATGGTGAGACATCTAATATTCCTAGATGGGAAATATCAACATTGTAAAGACGTCAGTTCTCCCCAGATTCAAAGCAACCTCTGTCAAAATCCCAGCGCAATTTTATGGAACTTAATGCAGGTAATTTAAATTCATCTGGAAGAGAAAGGGAACAAGAATAGCCAGGCAGATGTTGAAAAAGAAGAATGATGAAGAAGGATTTACCCAACCAGCATAAAATATATTACAATTACATAAACCATAGTCATTAAAACAGCAAGACGTTAGCCTAAGAATAGACAAACAGATAAGAAACAGATCATGTGTGTACAGGAGTATATGATAGCATTTCTAATTAATGACCAAGTGTTGGACCATCTATAGATAGCACAGGAGCAGTTACTTGTTATATCAGTTTAGTCACTGCTGCCTGCTGCCCATAACAGAGAACTTGACTCAACCAGGCTTTAATAATAAGAAAATAACATTGCTCATGTAAGGAAGGCCAAGACAGATAAAGAGGTAATGAGGCTTCCAGACTGCCCTAATCCATGGCCCTGGCTCCATCCCTTGAAGTTTCATGCATAGCCAGGACCCTCTATACATGAGCCTCCCCCTCAGGCGGGCTTCTTTCATGGTGGCAAAAGAGCCATGGCAGCTCCTGGATCCACATCTACAAAGCATCATGACCAAAGGAAGGAAGCGGGTCTCTGCTCTTCCCCAGGGATCATCTTTTAGCAGTAAGCAAAATATTTTTCCCAGATGCACTCAGTAAACTTGCCCCCACCCTAACTGGGTCATGCACTGATCCTGAACTAATCACCGTGACCAACTTCATGCCATGCTCTGATGTTTAGGCGAGGTATATGGGATTACCCTTAAACCAATAAAGCCCAGCCCTAAAGCCTGAGGGATAAATGGGCACAAGGTGAAAGCCTAAATGAAAAGACAGGGAAGGGAGGAATAAACAAGAAGTGGGCCAGCAATAATGGCTCCAAAGCTATCTACTTGGAAAAAAATACATTGGGGCCCTATTTCCCACCATTCACAAAATAAATTTCAAATTGACTAAAGAGCTACGTAAGAGAGGTGAACACTATAAAACTGTTAGAAGAAAATACACTTAAACTTTGGGATAGAGAAGACCTTCTTAAGGAGACACACACACAAATAAGCCCATAAATAAAAAAATGGATACATTGACTGCCAAAATTGTTTCTGTCTAACCAAAACAAACAAACAAACAAACAAAAACCCTATAAGAACAACTGAAAAATAATTTAAAGACTGGGAGAAATAGATGAAACATGCACAACACATATAAATCAATATCCAGGGTATAGAAAGAGTTTCTACAAAATGATAAGAATAGGCAAAAAAAAATGAGCATGGAATTCATAGAAGAGGATGCATAAATAAGCAGTGAGTGTATGTAATTTTTAGTAAGTATGAAAATGCTTACTAAAATTAGGGAAATTCAAATTAAATCATATATTTTATTTTGGTCAAAATTATAATATTGGTAATAATCAGGGCTCCAGGGAGTGTGGAGAAATGGGAAGTTTGATACGCTGTTGGGACTGTAAATTGGCAAAGAGTATTTGTTCAAATTAAATATACCATTACTCAACTAATTCTGCCAGGAGTTTCATTTCATGTCTATCCTAGAGAAATACTCCTTTATGTTTACAGAAAAGCGCTGACAAAGATGTTCTTCATTATATTGTTTCTAGTAGTGACTCAAATGTCCAAGAGGGGAAAATAATTAAAGATACATACAGACATATGTATATACAAATGCATACGTATACATACATAATAGAATACTATTTAGCAGATAAAAATGAGGCAGATCTATAGGTAGTGGAATTGAAATAGCTCCAAGTCATATTTTTAAGTGAAAAGAGCAAATTGCAAACCATATGTACCACATTTTAACATTTACATAAAAAACAAACAAAAGATCCTACATGTTTCTATTTGTATGTGTATGTAAAATGCATAGGCAGCTGTCTGTGAGGCTTCAGTCATTCCCTAGTCACCACTAGGAAGGGGGCTGGGAAGGAGCGAGAAAGGGAACACTTAGGCTTTATCAGTACTATGTGTATTTTTAAAATATAACTATATATACCTCCTATAGTTAAAAATAAATGTAAACATTTAGTTTTCCTTTGTGCACTTGCTGAGGGCGTGCCACTCGCATGTTCTGGCTCACCCACCTTGTGCTCTGCCACCTTGGATGAAGGAAGCACATGTTTCTGGTTCCTCCCCACCAGGGCTTCCTGGCGAACCTGAGGAAGGCTCCGGATTCCCAGAATCCTCTAAGGGCTGGGCACGGTGTGGTTGCAAAGCACGTGGGCTTTGGAGCCAGAAGACTCCAAAGCCTGAGTTCTGCCCCCACTTCTTGCTAGCTATGCAACTTTGGTCAAATGAATCCCTCTGTGCCATGGTGTTTCCATCTGTAAAGAGGGCTAACTGGTAAGAATACCTTCTTGCAGGGCTCCTGGGAGAACTGAATGAACATCAGATCCACTGGGCATTAAAATATATTTTTTAAGTTTGAAAATGTTACTCTAACACCAGGTTTAGGGATCGCCTGTCTTTTCCAAACACTTGCAGTGACCCCTCCCTTACAGGAGAAACAGCACTGAGCATGAGTTTCCTCCCCTCTCCTCTCCTCTCTGCCTTCCCATATCTATGTGTACTCACTAGAGCTGTGTACTCACTAGAGCTGTGCACTCAGGTGAACAACGACCCCCGTTAACCTCTTTGATTAAGTCTTTGTCCTCCTAGTCCCCATCTACACACCTGTTAGCAAGTAGCAAAGGCTGCCCCTACCTCTGGGCAGCCAGCAGCTCCCCTGTGGCCCTGAGCCTGCTAAGGGCTGAGCTGGCCCTTCCCCGAGCTGTCTTTGTTAGCAAGAGATTGGCAGCTTCCTAGAAGCCAGCTGGGAAATGACTTCTGAACCACACCAAAAGGAGCAGAAGGTTAGCAACGCTTTGCCTCTACTCCTCCTTGGGCCCAGGCCTGCCTTTACACCTGCTTCTCAGGGAGGAGTAAACTACTCAGATCCTCCCTCCTCCAGGACAGGCCCTGCCTCTGGAGGGCGGACAGAGATAGTAGGAGAGGAAAATCACTTCTGACCACTGCCAGTCTATTGGCCAGCCAGGTCACCAGCCCCTGTCTCCCGAGACGCAGCTGTAGATGGGAGTTGAGGGAGCAATACCTGCCCAAATCGCTCCTGCTGCTCTCCATGCCATTCGCCTGTCGCTCTCCTCCAAAAAACGTGTCCATCATCTGTGAGCCCCAGGCTTTTCTCTCTCTCTCTGATTGGACCCAGGGACAGAGGAAGCCTGAGAAGATTGAGCAAAGTCTCCTGTTCTCCAGTCCTCCTCCCATTCCTGCTCCCTGAGGGGTACCAGAACCCACACCCAGCCATGTGTGCAAACAAGCATGCACACGCCCTCCAGGGTTCACCCTGCAGATCTAGAGGATCGCTCTGAGTCCTCTTCTCCAGCCCCTGCCTTTGGCCCAGAGGTCACCTGAATCTTTCCCTACATTTATTCTTATTCTTATGTATTTATTTTTAAATTCATGCAAACCAACAACTTGCACCTACATTTATTTTTAAAGACACCCAAGAACAAAGATTTCATCATGTTTAATTATCCTTTAAGACCTGGCTCAAGCATCATAGCCTCTGTGGAGCCCTCCAGAGCCCCCCTCTCCTTCCCCGTGGAGCTTTTTCCCTTGTGTCTCCAGCTGTCTGGTGAAAGTGCATCAGTCACAGAACTTACTCCACGGGGTTGCATTTTGTCACACATCCATCTCCCCCACCACACTGTGTCATCTGTATCTAAAACACAGTGATGACACATGTTAGACACACGTCAATGAATGATGGATGGTTGACTGGACAGATGGATGGAAAGCCTCCTGCCAAGGACTGAATGTTTGTGTCCCCTTAAAATTCCTATGTTAGAATCCTAACCCCCAAGGTGATAGTATTAGAAGGTGGTGATTTTTGGGAGGTGATTAGGTCACGATGGAAGAATCCTCATGAATGGGATTTGAAAGTGGCTCCAGAGAGCTCCCTTTACCCCTTCTGCCATGTGAGGGCACAGTGAGCATACAGCTGTCTATAAACCAGGAAGCGAGCCCTTGCCAGACACTGAACTCGCCAGTGCCTTGATTGTGAATTTCCCAACCTCGAGACTGTAAGAAATCAATTCTGTTGTTTATAAGCCACCCGGTCTATGGTGTTGTCATAGCAGCTCGAATGGACTAAGACACCTCCCTTGCTCATCCTCCCCAGCTTCTAAGATGTAATGCAACACAAGTTCTTCCTGCTGCCTACTCTTTCAACAGTCATAATTCTGTTGGCCTATATGTGTATTTATAACAGAGAATTGGCCAGGCGTGGTGGCTCATGCCTGTAATCCCAGCACTTTGGGAGGCCACGGTGGGTGGATCCCCTGAGGTCAGGAGTTCAAGACCAGCCTGACCAACATGGTGAAACACCATCTCTACTAAATACAAAAGATTATCCGGGCGTGGTGGCGCATGCCTGTAATCCCAGCTACTTCGGAGGCTGAGGCAGGAGAATCGCTTGAACCCAGGAGGCGGAGGTTGCGGGGAGCCGAGATTATGCCATTGCACTCCAGCCTGGCCAACAACAGCAAAACTCTGTCTCAAAAATAAATAAATAAATAAATAAATAAATAAATAAATAAATAAATAAAATAAATATAATAAACAGAGAATCTTCATAGACATCATTGCACCTGATGGGCCAGCTGTTCTTCTTTTTGGAGGAACCCAAGCTTCTTTGAGAATAGAAAAAAATTGTGCACAGAAAAGTGTACAAGTGTACAATTTTGTTAACAAGTGGCTTGCAGATACTACTGAAGGGCACTGAAAGGCATCCATAGACCTAGGTTCAGAATCCCACCGTGATGGTCTACACAGAGACCAATGCTCTTTCCTCTGCATATACAGCCCTGCATTAAGATGGCAGGAAATGAGTGGGCATCTGCCCTTCGTTGAGCTGAAGATCATTTCTGAGACTCTCTCACTCCATTTTTCTTCAAAGTATGTACTTGTTGTTCACAAAGCAAGTGATTTGCCCTAAATTCTATAGTGATAATAAACAGTTTTCTTCTTGAGATTATTCTGTCTTGAAAATGGGGTGTCCAATGCAAGTACTTAGGATTCTCTGGACAGTGCCCCCATTGGAGGCCCTGGGCTGGTTGGGCAGCCACAGAACACATGGAGTGCCCGTCTTGTATGCACCCGGCAAGAGGAGCAGGAGGGCTGGATCCACCCCTCCCTGCCTCCATGAGAGTTCTCTCGGACAGAGTGAGTTTCATGCTTACAGTCTGAGGGCCTCATCGCTGAATCCACCAGCAGAGTCTGCAGCCCGAGGCCCATGGTGGGGGAGGCAGGCGGGGCTCAGCCCTTCTCAGAGGCAAAAAGCAATGAGGTTGAACTTTATATTTATTGATCATGGCTTCTCTAGACCTTTACTATCATTTAACTCTCGCTTCTAACCAAATCCCCTTTATCTCTTTTTGCCAACTTCACTGCCCAAGATCGTTTTGTTCTCACACCGTAAACACATTTCCATTTCAGCGAACAGCGAGCCCAGCCACAGGAGCCCTCTCTGGGTTTATTTTTCTCTCTTATCCTAGAGCCTCCTCATCATGGAAGAGAATTAAAGGAAGGAGCAGCCCAGAAGGAGTTAAACCAACCCAGTAAATAAAGATTGCAAGATCTCAATTTCTGGAACAACTTCAAGCGGTGAAACTGTGGTTGATTTAAAGAGAAGGGCTTTTGGTGTTTGAATGAGTTGGGGGCCTTTCCATATGCAAATAAAAAGACAATCATGTCTCTGGATTATCCAGCAATTATGAACATTTAAAAGAAAATTTAAAATGAACATTTAAAAGAAAATAAATAATAAGAAAGAATAAAGTTGCAACTCAAAGCCTAATCTTCCAGGGGTCCTTCCCTCCCCCTTAGTAAGAGCCACTTCATGCTGGGAGGTGACTCCAGGTAGGAATCATGAACGGAGCAGCCTAAATGGATGTGCCCCTCTCCCTCTAAACTCTCTTGGTGTCTTTCTTATCTTCTAATGAGGTTCAAATGTGCTATACCTCGATTAGGATGAAATCAGAAGGCCCCCTTTCCTCTATCGCCGAACTCTGAGTTAGGCCAGATGAGGAAGGGCGGCTTGAGCACCGAAAGCCTTAGCACATGTCTTCAGGAGTTGCTTCGGCTCCCCGGGGCACACAGCTCTAATCCAAATAGAATCCGTCCACTGGCGGCGCTGGACTCGATTGGGCACAAACAGGATGCAAGTGCGTTCTTTTGACTTAGCCCCTTCCAGCACATTACTCCCTGATCATTGGAGGACCACTTTGGAATATCTCATAGCTTTGGGTGCTACTGTCAGATTTAAAAAAGAAAAAAAAAAAAAGGCCCAAGCCAGTCTACTAGCAAAGCCTCCATCCTATCCTATTTGAAACTGCCACCCCGCAGCCTGGTCTGGCTCAAGTTGGAACCTTGAGGAGGGGGAGGAGGGAGAGTCAGTTCTATCACTCTTCCCTGACTCGTTGCCCCCTCCCCCCAGGTCAGATAGGGTGGGGCTGGGGGAGAAATACGGGCCAGGGAAAGTGTTCGTTGACTTGTAGGATGGTGGTAGGGTACCTGTGCCCTCTGGGCCTGGCAGACTCCACATGCCAAGTCTTTCTCTTGTCCTGGGCTTGTGTGGGTTCTCTCAGCTGTACCTCCCTTGATGTGAGCAAGGCTGCTGAGGAACATCCAACTTCTCCAGTCTTGAAGAAGAGGGCACGCCCCTGCCTCTGGCCTTGGCGTGAGGCCTTCAGACTTCCTGGCATCCCTCTGGGAGATCCACCCCAGCCAGCAGGACACAGGCTCCCTCCCTGCCTTGCCAAACTCCAGGAGAGAAGCCTGTGGGGCCCCCACCCTCTCTGCCCTGCCTTCTCGGGCAGTCTAGCTCTCCTTCAAATTTTCTCAGGCCTCAGCCAAGCTCTCTTGAGGTTCCCTCATGATTAGGGGATGGGAGGCAGCCTCCTCCATCCACAGACAGCTCACTGCAGAGGGGGCCCCCAGGCCTCTTGAGCCTCTCATGTGGTATTTTTATACCCTTGAGGTGGATGAGGAGCCAAAGCTTACAAAACCAGTTTCACAAATTTATTTTTATCTACAAAATATGGGTATGGGGCCTATTTCCAGGTTTGTTGGAAACACGGGCACAGGCCTGGCCCAGTCCAGACACATGGAAGGTGGGGAGCCTGGGTGAGGGGTGGGCCCAACACCACTCTCGGCTGCGGAGCCTCCTGCTTCCTGGGAGCCTGCTTCCCTGCTCAGCCCAGGTGTGTGAGGGTCAAGCTTCTCTGAGCCACTCATTCACCCACAAATGTGCTCTGAGCACCTACTGTGTGCCAGGCATCGCACAGGGCACTGAGGATAAGAACATCCGCAGGGGATGAGACTTGCCCTCTGTGATTTTTCTCTCCTAGTTTTTGAGGAAGGAGAAATGTGTGGATAAATAACTGCATAGCAACATGAGACAGGCACAGTGACAGCCCAGAGGCGGGGCTGATGGAGGGAGGCACCCCAACATCCGTGTCCCTGGGAAGGGCTGCAGGGCATGGCAGGGGCTCCAGTGGCCAGACGCACAGGCATGTGTCCAGCAGGCTGTGGAGATAGACCCCAGGCTTCTCCTCACTGGGATAGGGGCCCTTGAATGGCTGCTTCTTGGTGGGCACATTTGGCCAAGTGGTATGAACATCTGGATAACAACCAGGATGGGCTTCAGTGAAGTTTATTGAATAGCTTCCTTGGGGCGAGGCTGGGCCAGGGGTTTTCTCAACAAACCTGGAAATAGGGTCCCTTACGCCCATTTTGTAGATAAATAAACTGAGATTGAAATACACAAGTGGGTCTCTGCATACAGGAGGCAAATACACTTCTAGCCTGAACAAGTTCCCGGCCTTTAGTTCCCAAGCACCAAGAGCTTTTCACCACTCCCAGCTCTGTCCTCAAAATGCCGTAAAGGAAAGTTTGTCTAACTCCAGGTTCTTTGCGTCTTGTTTAGAGATGGAGATAAAAATGCGTTCATTATCCCATCTGTGGCGGCTTGAATGAGAGAAAAGTGCTTCTGTATCAGGCAACGCAAGCCACCCAAACCTTTTTACTTCTATTAAAAAAACATGAAGGTAATTTGCCGGGATGTGCCTGTCACAGTTTGAAAAACAGAAAGGCCTCTTTTATCTTCTGCTTTATTTACAGGTGCAGCCTGGTGACAGAGGCAAGTGTTTTCCAGAGCAGCGACTTGGAGGGGCCGCAGGGAGACAAAGCAGCTGCCAGACGCTCCCTTGTTTGCTAGAAAGGAGCGCAGCACGGTCACCAGCAGAAGGGGCCGGAAGCTGGCCCCACCCATGGAGGGGGTGGCAGACAGTCTCCCACCCTGCTGAAGGAGCGCTCTAGGCTTCTGCCCATTCCCTCTGACTCCAGGTGGAGAGGGGAGAGCAATTTGGCGGCTCTAGTGGGCTGAGTAAGCGAGAAGCCATCTCGAAGGGCTTTCTGTCTCCAAAAATCTGATAGGTACAAAGCAGGGCCTAAGGGCAGCACTGACATCATCTCCTTTTCTGGAAATTTTAGTGATAGGACATTCATTTCTCTGCGGCTGCCTCCACGTTGTGTCCTCCCCAGAGATATCTTTGGATGCTTTGATGGAAACTCTCTCTTAAGGAGCCCTCTGGGTACTGTTTCAACCTTTATCCCTGTTCACACTGAGAGGACACAAAGGGGCCAGCGGGGCACTCAATTCAGACAAATGAACACCAGGGCAGGATCGAACTGGGCATGAGAATTGGCCATCAGAATTGGCCATCAAAGACACTTTCTCTCTGGGTCAATAACGTTTCTGGGGCCCCAGCTGCAGGAGTCAGGTTTGGCATCAGGGGCGGGAGAGTGATTGTAGATGAGAGGTGATCTCACAAACAGCCTGGTGGAGACAGGCAAGAAAGGAAATCACCACAATGTGAAGCCCAACAAAATAAGTAGGAAGTAGAGGTGTCTGCAACACGTAGCGGGAGTGCAGAGAGGCGATGAATTAATTCCAAGCTGGGACTCAGGGAGGGCAGAGATTCCCCCCGAAGGCAGCATTTTCCCTTGATCTTGAGGAATGGAGGCTTTTCAGGAGAAGCCTGGGAGGCGGTGGGGGTGGTGGCAGAGGTGGCAGCCCTCAAGCATAATATTACCTTAGCCCTGTTCTGGGGTTCAGCCGGGACACAGTCACGCCCCCATCAAAGGCTCCCATTGCCCACAGGGGCTTCTGTCTGGCTCAACGTCCATCTGGCCCTCCTTACCGTGGTGCGAAGGTCTGCACCCAGTGACCTGGCCGGTTGCTGGGAGCATCGCCCAGCAGGAATGCGTACTCTCAAGCAGCCAGGACTCAAGGGCGCTCCACCTGCGGGAAGCCACAGCTAGGCTGGAACCTTCAGAGCCACAGGCTGAAAGTGACACTGAAGGAGGTGGGCTAGGCATGGAGTCTGTGTTCAAAACCATGGGGGCAGGGGCACTGGGATCCACACCTTCTAGTCCCTTCCTCCATTTTAGTTGAGGGCCAATAGCAACTTTGGATTTCTTGATACCAAAAGGACCATATGGTTCAATTTCCTAGCATGAACTTCACAGCTCCTTCACAATCTGGTGCCCGCCTGACTGCCCCAACTGCCCCAACTCCCACCCAACTCTTCTTCTCTCCATATAGCCCCCTCCAACCTCAGCAAACAGCTTATTTCTCCAGACACGTCATCTCCTTCCACCGCTGCCCGTGTACCCCTTCAGGACCGCCCAGGCTAGGCGTAAGCCTGTCCCTCGCTTGGTTCTGCACCATTTTGGAGACGTTTTGACCTAATTTGATCCTCAAGGTAGATGTGATTATTCCCACTTTCCAGAGAAGTTGGGTGGCTCACTGAACTGATGCCACGCCCGCCTCTCATGTCTCCTAATTCTGAGCCCAGAGCTCCATCCCCCATCATCATGGCCCTAACCTTTTCACTTCCCAGGACCACATTTATTGCTTTTCCTTCCAACGGCCCCAGGGACTCCTATGATGTCATTCCCAGCCAATCTGCACTCCTGCTTCGCACAAGATAACCACTGTTAGCATGTCGCCGAGTCGACACAATCCCAGCTAAAAGCAGAGAAATCTGATGTTTTAGTTAGGCTGTGCAGCCTGAGTGCAGATAACAGTGTGATTTCTGTAAGCTATTTCAGACATCGACAGAAGCTCTCCGAGCCTTATTACTGCTTTCCCTGGGGGTCCAAGGACTTTAGGTTGGGAACTACTGCACTATTCTGCAGTGACCACAATTTTCAGGAGAAAAGCCAGGACTCATGGTGTGACAACTATGAATAGATGTAGGGGCTGATGGGACAGGCCGGATGACATCTATACTGTTTCAGGAAATCTGGGGTAGATGGCTATTCATTCATCACTCATTTGCTCATTTGTTAAGCGCTTACTCTGTACTGGGCACTATGCTGGGTGCTGGGGGTGTAGTGATGACTGGAATACGGCCCCTGCCTTTGGACAGCAGCCTGTTAGTTTACACATAATGACCCTGTCATGTGTAGAGCAGAAGAAAGAGGGAAAGTCTGGGGGGATTTACAAAGGCCACCTGAAGGAGTTGACATCTGAGTGTAGTTTTGAAAGATAAGCAATAATTCACTGTGGATGAGAACAGAAGGTTGAGAGGGAAGAGCGTGAGTAATGGCTGGGGGTGTGAAATAGCAAATATATGGGAGCTACAAGCGGTCCATTGGGGTTATAAAGATGAACGCAGAGATGGAGAAAAAGAAGGGGTGAGATGAAGCTGGAGGGCAGGAAGGAGCCAGGCCATGGAGGGTAGTGAATGCCACGCCTGGGGGTCTCTGTATACTCACCCCATCCCCACCCATGCCCTCCGCCTTGGCTGGCCCATAAAAACTAGTCTTTGACCACGACGTGAGTTCCAGACAATTGCCTCTGACCTCGACCACTCTGATTTTCTCCCTCTGCCTCTGGAATTCCAGGCTCTGGGCACTCAGGAATCCATTCGTTCTCTCATTACAGCAAAAAAAACAAGACAGAAATAGTCCCTGCCCTTATGTAGCTTTAGTCTAATGGAGGAGCCAAACATGAATCCAATAATTAAATGTGCAATGGCAACTTACAAATATCAAATGTAATATCAATGTAGTTTTTTAAAAATTATAAACATCTAGTGTAAATTATGGCAAGTGCTACCTACCTGGTGCTATAAAAGCTTATAACAGAGAGATTTAACCTACTTAGAGAGGTGGGAAAAGCTTTCCAGAAGTCACAAAAACTGAGCTGAGACTGTTAGACAAATAGAAATGAATATTATGCTTGCTTTTGCCCCCTGTGGTGTTGATAACCTATGGCAACTCCCTTCGTTGGTGCTGGATTTGGCTTCCTAGTGGCTTTACTTGATCCTCTGACTTTTCCAACTCCCTCCCTCTGTCTTGCTGGGAGAGCCCTTTATTCTACCCCACTCTCTCAGGGTAAATGCTGACCTTGGGGCAAAGGGGGGCCATTCTGGGACTTTCAGCAGCGGGGGACATCTCCAGCCTCAATTCCTCCCCTGAGTATCCAAGTTCATCCCCATTTGAGTTTAAGGTCTCCAAAGCCTAACCTGTCCAAACTATACTCTCCCTGACCACTGGCCAAACCCTCCTCTGTCTTCTCTATGTAAGAAAGTGGCAACTCCACAGTTCCAGCTGTCCAGCCAAAGTCCTTGGAATCAGTCTTGACTCCTCTCTGTTTGCACTCCATATCCAATCTGTCACAAATTCCTCATCAACTCTCCTTCAAAACACATCTCTCAAATCTGACCTTTCTCACCACTCCACTGCTGTGGCCCAGGTCCAGCTGCCATCCTGTGTGACCTGAATTCTTGCACCTGCCTTCTAACTGATCTTCCTGCAGACTATTCTGCAGTAGCAGCCTGCGTGACCCATCTAAGATGAAGGTTGGATCCTGCCGGCCTCTGTTCCCCACCTTCAGATGGCTTCCACCTCACTCACCGTCAAAGCCAAAGTCCTCACAATGACCTACAAGGTCCTTTGCCCACTGCCCTCCCCACCACTTCTATACCCTCATTCTGTCCATCCTCCTCTCCAGCTATGCTGGCCCCTTTGCTCCTCAAACACAGAAAGCACACAGTTCCCTCCATCTGGAATGCTCTTCCCCCCACACCCCAGATACTCACAAGGCTCACTCTCTCACTTCCTTTGTCTTTGCTCAAATATCACCTTTGGAGAGACATCTTTTCCAAGCCCTTCCACAACAGCACTGCTTCATGGTCACCTCTTATTCCCTTATCCTTCTTTATTCTCCTTCTTAGAACTTACCATCACCTGACATAGAATTACTTGTTTACTTGCTTGCTGTCTGTTCTCCCCCACTCCTACCTCCCCAACTAGAAGGTAAATTCCATCAGGAAGAAAGAGTTTATTTGTATCATTCATTTCTATATCGCTAACACTTAGGACATAAGTGTTATGCTTGGAACCTAAGAGGCACCCAAGAAACATTCACTGAATGTATAAATGTTTGAATTTGAATTTGTAAAGGGGTCACTTTGGGAGGAAAAAGAAATGGAGAGGGACAGCCATGGGGACAGTGGGTGACCTGGGAACTTCATGTTGTCACTCGGGAAGGCAAAGTTGGAGGTGATGGAGAAAAAAATCAGATGGGGATGCAGAGTTGGTAGGACATGGAGGCTGACTGGGTGGGGGGAATGGGAACAGAAAGGAACCAGATGGCTCTCCAGGTCCTGACTCAATGGCCAAGTGGTTGTTAGTGCCTCTGATTGAGAAAGGAAATGCAGCAGGCCAAGCAGGTTTGGGAGAAGGTGAGGAGCTGGTTTTAGAAATGCCGAGGTTGAGACGACATGCACATCCAAGAGGAGGTGACCAGCAGGCAGCTGGATACACAGGTGTGGGTCTCAGCAGCACACCAGAAATGGAGATCTGCTGCGCGATAGTGTCATTTAAAGTAATGCGTGTGTAGTAAATCACCTGGGAAGATGGTGTAGAGTGAGAAAAGAAGAGGAAAAATGGTCAGAGCCCTGGGGAGTGTGGACATGTAAGAAAAGAGAATAAGAAATAATGACTAAGAAAAACTGGTGAGGGACGTTTAAAGAGAACCAAGAGACAAGGGTGTCATGGTAATAAAGGCAAGGATCCAGTTGTTCAGAAGGAGGGAGCAGTTAACAGTGTCAAATGCCAGGGGCAGTAACAGAAGGATAAGGGCTGAGGAGGGCCCATTTGGTGTGTAATATGGTGACCACCCATGGCCTTGGCTGGATGTGAGTCTGTCATGCAAGAGCAGAAACCAGGCTACGCTGGTTGAGGAGATATGGGAAACAGCAGAAAAGCAACAGCAAGTACGGACCACTCTTTCAAAAAACTTGGCTGAGCAAGGGAGGAAAATGAGAGGGCATTAACCAGAAAGGAATCCTAGTGGTCAAGAGTTTTGTTTCACCACATGGGATGACCTGAGCATCTTTATGGGCTCAGGGAAAGGGCCAGGGGAGGCCAGGGTGGGCTCTAGGTCTAGGCAGAGAGAGGATGGTTAAAGGAGTGTAGCCATTGGGGTGGAGCAGGAGGGAGATGCACGCTGCGGAGCAGGGATGTGTGTGGGGCAGAGAGAGGAGAGACCAGAGCTCACACTATGATTGCAGCCCAGTGATGCTCACCAGGGTGGGAAGACCAGGAGAGGGACACATGAAAATGCATGGGACACCTACAACTGAAGCATGTGAACTAGGGCCCAACAGCTGCTGCTGGGCAGAGTGACAGACACAGTGTGGAAGGGGATGACAGAGGGGTTCACACTGGCCAGACCAAGTGGGTTAGTAAAGGGAGGCTTTGTGGAGGAAGCAAATTGTAAGAAGAAGGTTGAAAAATACAGGGCTTGGGAAAGGACTTTCTGGTCTGGAAAAAGGGCTGGTTTGGAGCCGTCAAGGCAGGCAGAGGGGGAGGTACAGAGAGCCACATGTGATAAGTAAGACACACAGGCAGGTGCACACAGGGAGTCCAGGGTGGTGGTCAGAATGGGAACTATGAAGGCAGGACACTGAGTTCACACCTGGCTCAGTTACAGCTTGGCTGTGTGACTTTGGACAAGGTGTTTAATTTTTCAGTGCCTCAGTGTCCTCATCTGTAAAATGGAGACCATAACATGTAAAGTACTTGGTGCTATGATTTTTCAGGCATCTGTTCCACAACTCATAACTTAGGGCTCAGGTAGTCTTATGAGTTCACAGTCTATCTGTCATAATAGGCAGAGAGACGGACAGACAGCTAGAGATAGGTGTGCAAACAATGCTTCTCACCTTTACTTATTTCCTACTTTATCAGGAAACATAATTTGGCCACTTTTTCCTCGGAGGCAGGAAAACAGTGAAATTGCTCATTTCTAAATTCTCAGTCCTGAAATTGGGGCATCCAGGTGGCTGCTTGGCCTGTGGGTGGGGAGAGAATGGCAGGAAGTTGTTGACACCAAGTGTCTAAACTGTCACCTTCTGGTCAGGTCTTTGGCTCAAAGAAACACAGTCATGAAGGGCTTTACGATCCAATAGAAAAACAAGGGAATTTTGACCAGCTTCTCCTCCCCTCCCAACTGCCCTACATCCCACAGCAGACATGATAGTTTTCCTTTCAATATTCATTTTTCTCTTCTTCCAAAGCAATAGAAATTCCCTGGGCACATGGCCACCAGAGGAAGGCTGCACAGCCTCCTTTGCAACTAAGCACGGCTATGTGACCAAGTGCCAATGGTGTGCAAGCATAAGTATTGCGTCAGAACTGCCAACAGGCTCCCTTAAAATACGGCTGGTGCATGTGCCCTTTGCCTTTTCTTACTTGTCTCTTTCTCCATGAAGCCACCCAGGACATGGATATGATGGCAGCCGTCTTGAACCATGAAGACAGAGCTACACAATAGAGATGGCGGAACAGCCAGTGGGCAGGATCATGGCACCCTGACGTTCCCTGCTGCCTCCAGGTGTTCACTAGAGAGAAATCTCGACTCTCATCTATAGAAGCCCCTGTTGTGTTGGTCACTGGTAGCTGAAGCCAATCCTAACGGAAGCACAACACCCCAGGTGGCTCAAGCTCCGGGGCCACTTTCTGTAGCAACCTTGATGGTTCCTAATTCAAATGAGTAAACAGAAAGAGGATCTACAGCTTCTGACCCCCCTGCCTCCATCTGGCCAGAAACTTCGCTGGAATAATAATAGCAACCTGTATCGTGTTTTATTATTCACAATGCGCTTCCTCAAACATGAGCTCATTAGATTTTCCCAGAAACTCTGCAGGGTAGCCAAGACTGGTATTTCTATGTGCTCCATTTTCAAAGATAAGGAAACGTGGAGAAAGGAGTTTAAGTATTTTGCACGCATCACACAGTCAATAAGAAGTACAGTCAAGAAACCTGGATCTCCCTCCCCCAAGCTTAGAGCTTTTTTCAGAACACTCAGCTGCCAGTCTTCAGGTGGTTCTGGGCAGAAAGAACTAAGGGAAGAAGAATCCTGGGGCCAGAGGGGTATAGTGTGGGATAGTTTTAATTCCTTTAGAAACTATTTTATTATGAAAAACACACATAACATGAAATCTGCCCTCTTCACCAAAATTTTATGTGTACAATACATTATCATTAACACTAAGCACAATGATCTACGTCTCTGGAACTCTCTCATCTTGCATGACTGACTCTATGAACATCAATTCTCCTTGAATAGTAACTCTCCATTTCCCCCTCCTCCCAGGTCCTGGTAACCACCACTCCACATTCTGCTTCTGTGGGTTTAACTGCTTTAGATGCCTCATATAAGTGAGATCATGAAGTATTTGTCTTTCTGTTATTGGTTTGTTTCACTCAGCATAATGATCTCAAGGTTCATTTATTTTGTTGAATGTGAAAAGATTGCCTTCTTTTTTGTGGCTGAGTAATATTCCACTGCAATGTTATTCACAATAGCCAAGATGAGGAAGCAGTCTAAATGTCCACCTGCATGTGTGGATATAGAAAATGTGGTATATACACATAAGGAGGGGCTGTTTACCAAGCCCAGGTGGCACATCACACCTCAAGTTCCACCTGTAGGTTACCATAGGCCAGAGAGCACTTCCCAGGGTAGCTGGAGGAGACTTCATCCAGGCTTTCATCCAAGTGTTTGGCATTTGCAGCAAGGTACCTTGATAGATGTTGCTGGGGAAACAAGATGTTGAGTAGGTTATAGGATGAGTGTGAGAATATCATTTATAACATAAGGCAGAGAGCAACACATGCCACTGAAGAGGTGAAGATGAAGTCTAAAGCAATCCAATCCAGCCAGTAACTTTCATCTGCTCTCTGAACAAAAGGCTGGGTGTGAGGCACTAAGAACACAGGAGTGAAGAGGACAGCATGGTTCCTGCCTCTTGAGCTGTTCATCTGGTTCCATCACCCTCCCAAGAGCATGGATTCCAAAGGAGGCAGCTTTGAAGCCTGGGAAATACCTGGACATGTGAAGATAGGTCTGGGGTGGGAGATACAAAGAAAAGAATGTCTGTGCAGGGTTCAAAGACATATAAGGCAGGGCTTCCAAGTCAAGCATGAACCTAGCAATACAAAGTTGCCAATGCCCAGTGCCTAGGGCTATATTAGTGACAGTGCATGCCATTAGTTCCAGAAGTAGGGACTGGAGTGGTCAAGGAGGACTTCATGGAGGAGGTGAGACTTCAACTGGGACTTACAGAATGGGTAGGATTTTAGGCCGGGCGCGGTGGCTCACATCTGTAATCCCAGCACTTTGGGAGGCTGAGGTGGGTGGATCATGAGGTCAAGAGATTGAGACCATCCTGGCCCACATGGTGAAACCCCACCTCTACTAAAAATACAAAAAATTAGCTGGGCATGGTGGCACGTGCCTGTAGTCCCAGCTACTCGGCAGGCTGAGACAGGAGAATCGCTTGAACCCGGGAGGCGGAGGTTGCAGTGAGCTGAGATCGCACCACTGCACTCCAGCCTGATGACAGAGCGAGACTCCGTCTCAAAAAAAAAAAAAAAAAAAAAAAAACCAGAATGGGTAGAATTTTAATAGGTGGAGAGAGGACAGAGAGGAGGCTTCATGCATGTTATGAGTAACCATGTGCTGAAATGCACAAGGTGGGGTGGGTGAAGGAGGAATGATTCATTGGGCCTGAGCCAAGAGTTTGGGCTGAGGAGTAAATAACAGGGACAGTGTCCCTGGCAGGGTTAGTTTGGAATTGAACACCAGGCCAGGAAACTTGGATTTAGGTGCAGGAGTGATGTGATCAGGCTTCAGGGAGGCCTCTGGCAGGGTGTGCAGGGAGGACTGAAGGGAGAAGCAGGAGGTGACAGACTAGGAGGCTGGGTGTGTGGGCAGGGTACTTAAGTGGCAGGCAGCAGGGCTGGGTATGAGAGCCAGCAGAAGGAGGAACTCATAGGCCTCAGGGTGTCGCCATCAGAGAGGATGCAGTCCCTGGTCAGCCAGCTTCCAGGGGAGGGCCCAGCCTCTGTGGAACAAAATTGTCCAAAGCATGGCTGTCGGCCTGTGGCAGCTCCCACCCAACGAGAAGCAGGTATTGCTCAAGCACACTGTGTTCTCCATATGACTCCTGTGTGACGGCTCCCCAGGGGGCAGACTCTTAAAGGGGCTCCCGCAGGAGAGGCTGAGGCCATCTGGGGTTGTGGCCAGCCCACCTGAGGCCACAGAGACCACCAAGGCCATGAGAGATCAGGAAGAAGGGGAGGGGTTCCCTTGAGCAGGACAGGGAGAGACATCAGCCTCCTCTCTCCAAGCGACAGTCACTCAGTTGCTCCTGCCCAGCGGCCTGACTCCTGTCTCCACCCTGGGGTCAGCTCCAAAAAGTCCAAGTTCTAGCGCAAGAAGGTGAGATGCAAATAGCCCAAGAGGCAGAGCCACTGCCAAGCACAGTGGCCCATTCATTCATCTCTGCCAGGAGTTGGTATGGAGAGCCCTAAGGAGAGGCTCTCCCAGTGATTGATGGTGTTTCCAGAGGTTATTAACTGAGTTGGACTTGGTCTCTTTGGGCTGATCTATGATCCAGGGACAGTTTTAAAGTATGTGGCTTTTGGGTGCTGGATTATCGAAAAGAGTTAAAATTGAAGTAGTCATTCAAAGCACTGCCATCTGTCACAAGCTGCCGGCCGGGGCTCCTCCGGGCAGGATGGGAGGGTGGGCGCTGTGCCCTTGTCCCTTTTCCAACGCATCCTCCCTGGTGCCCCTGGGCCATGTGCAGTTGATGGTCCACCCGAAGCAGGAAGGGGCCATGAGAACCAGGCAGGGGAGAAGGAGCAGGTATCTCCAGCCCAGTTTTTCAGGGGGCAGGTCCTCTTCTTAGGCTCACAAACATTTTCCTCCTGGCAGGTAAAATAATATCAGTAACAGTACTACTGGTTGACATTTACTGAGAACCTATTATGTGTTGAGTACCAGTCCAGGCGCTTTACCTGCATGAGAGCATTTACTCCTAACTGATAATGCAGTGAAGTAGACACGATTATGATCTTTTGAGAGAGGGGGAAGCCGAGGCATGAGGGTATGGAAAAGGAACTTGGCCAAGGTCATGGGGGATGATGCAGCCAGGATTTGAAGACAGAAGTCTGGTTCCAGAGCCTGGACCCTAAGCCACGTGCTTCATCTCAGGCCTGTGCACAGGCTTGCCCCTCCCCGGGGAGCTTGAGCCCTCCCCTTCTCACCTGGCTCTTCTATGACATGCTCCACTTCCTCAGAGCAAGGTCCCTGCCACATTTGTATTTATTGCTCCGTGCATTTGTTTAACACCTGCCTTTCCGTCTGGACTGTAAACTCCGAAGGTCAGTAAGAGCTGGTGGGTGGGGCTCCTGGGGGAGGTGGTGGTGTTAGGTGCTGAGCAGGGCTGAAAGTGGCTCCCTTGCTTATCCTGCTCTCTTCCGCCCACAGGTGCTGAGCAGGAGCAGCTGCTGCCTTATGGCCTCTAAAGATTCCCTGGGCCTGGGGTGGTCTGTGGGAGAGGCTGCAGTTCCCCATTCTCATCAATGCCCCTCCTTCATCCTCAGACACGAAGCAACTCCCGGACCTCTCCAGCTCTCCCTCCACGCTCAGCCCTCAGTGATCCTCCCCTCCCAGGCCCTCCATCAGAAGCATGAAATATTAATCGGGGATTAGCCGCAGGCTGCTCATCCTCCCGCCAGGAGTGCAGCCCAGAAACTGTGATGAGGGCAGGAGGAAGGCAGGGGGCCTGGCGGGGGTGCAGCCCAGGCTGGGCGCTGGCCACCATCAAATCATGCAGATTAAAGGACGTGCAGGCTGGAAGGGGCCTCCAGAGGCCGTTTTCATCCCTGCTCCTGGCTTGCAGCAGGAAACGACTGCACAGATTCCGAACACAGGCTGTGTCCAGGGATAGGGATGGGGGCTGCTTTTGCCCCTGCGTAATCTCCACCAGTCGCCACATCAAAGTAATAATATATATTTTCTGGTGTAGGCAATTGACATTTTTCAATCTTATGAAAAGCATGTGAATAAGAGCGTTTCTTAGAAAACAATCTATTTTTGTCAGTTTATAACAAACAGTCTCTGCAAAAACCGTGTGTGTTGCCCATGCACGATGCATATGACACATACGCAGCTTCCAGACAGACAAGGGGCCCAGCCCTCCCCACCCCCACCCTGGGAGCTCCTGCCCTTTGGGCACCCCCAAAGCCTCTCCAGTGGAAACACAGGAGCCAAGGCCTCAGCTCCTCTCCTCTAGGAAAAAGGGCAGATCAGAGAGTGGCTCCTGCAGCCACATTGTGACCTGCCGCACCCTTGAGCTATGCTGGAGGGCTGCCCCAGAGCTCCGCGGCCTGCCTGCATTACAACACGAAAACCTCTTTGGAAATGGTTTATTACCCCTCTCCCCCACGCTGGCTGTAATCTTTGCAAGGGCAAGTGTCCTGGCCCCATTCACCTGGTGTTCGGTCCATGGGAAGGGCTGAATGAGTGTTTGGTGAATGTCCATCCTCCTCATCCTGCTTCTCATTTGCTCCAAGGTCTCTCTGAGTTCTTGGTCTCTCTGAGTTCTCCTCCTCGCTCCCTCTCTTCCTCCCACTCCGTCTCACCTCTCTGGTCTCTGCCTCTCCCTGTCTTGCTCCCTGTCTTTTTCCTACCTTATCTATTCCCATTCTCTCTCTTACCTCCCACTCCAGGTCCCTCCTCCCATCTCTCTGATTTGGTCCAGAAATGACTATTTGGCCAAGATGATGAACTGGTCATAAAGAAAACATGAGCTGTTGGTTGGAAACGTTCATTTACAACTAATTTTCAAAATAAAAAAAATTATAAAAACACTGCCAAGAAAGCTGAGCCGAGCAGGTTGAAAACAAATTAGAAATGTTTAAAAAGAAGGGAGGAGGACCCCAATTTGAAAAATTCCAGAATTTTTTTATACTTTTGTCTTTGGGTTGCGCTTTTTTTTTTTTTTTTTTTTTTTTGGAGATAGAGTCTCACTCTGTGGCCCAGGCTGGAGTGCAGTGGTGCGATCTTGGCTCACTGCAAGCTCTGCCTCCTGGGTTCAGGCCGTTATCCTGCCTCAGCCTCCCGAGTAGCTGGGACTACAGGTGCCCACCACCACGTCCAGCTAATTTTTTTGTATTTTTAGTACAGATGGGGTTTCACCGTGTTGGCCAGGATGGTCTCGATCTCCTGACCTCGTGATCTGCCCGTCTCGGCCTCCCAAAGTGCTGGGATTACAGGCGTGAACCACCACGCCCGGCTGTGCTGCTTTTAACTTATAAAATGCACATTATAGAAAATACAGACAAGCACAAAGAACATAAAGAAGTGTAAGCCCCCATTCAGACACAGCCACTGAGAACACCTGGGCACCTGCACCTCTGCATTCTTCCCAGCATGTGTGTGTTACCACTTCCCAAAGAAGGTTCTAGAACTTCAGTCCCTTGAGCTATAAAACAACAACACAAACAGCAGCAACACACCTGGTCAAATTTCAAAAAGTACTGTACATTCTACCCTCTTCTTGGAGCTTTGTAGTATTCATTGTAATGAATATTTATTGTAATATTCATTGTAAATGCATGTAAAGCTCTATAGAGAGCCTCAGTTAGGAAACCCATTTAAACTTTGCCATTCCCTAAACTCTATGAATCCAGAAGCTGTTTTTTCACCAGGTAGCTATTAATGTCCATACTCATGTCTCCAAAAAAAAAATCTTGCCAAATAATGAGAAATAAATATGTATCTACAGATTTAGTTTACAAAAATAGAATCTTATTATACATTCTGTTTTGTAAGACTATGTATGTTTCCTACTAATCCCTGTTATTGGATATTTAGGTTATTTCCCACTTTTTATTATCATTTATATTATCCTAAACAGTACAGAGTGGGAATAAGAGGTTGAGTGTGAATTAGAAATCAAAAACACAAAAGGAGATAAATTCTGAAAAGTAAACATATCTAAAAACAGATAAAGATTGCAAAACCCTCCTTGTGGTACACAAAAATTCCCAACCCAGGTGCAAATGAATGTTTAACAAATATGTATTGAGCACCTACTATGTACCAGATACCATTGGAGGTTTGGGAGTACGGTAAGACAGACAGAAATCCCTGTCCCCATGACCATTACAGGCAGGTGTCAGGACACAGCAATGACTGATTAAACGGGAGGGAGATGCACGGCAGAGGGGGAGTGGAGGGATGGCCAGGTCAGGGGCAATTTTAAATGGTCTTTCCAGAGACCACCGGGCTGCAAGTGTAAAATCCCAGCAAAGGACTTGTGGGAGGTGAGGGAGCAAGCCATGTAGACATCTCAGGAGGAGCAGTCCAGACAGGGGGCAGGCAAGTGCAAGGGCCCTGGGTGCCAGCAAGTCTGGTCCTGCCCCTCCAAACACTCGTTAGGCCCAGGGCCTCCTGGGGCCCAGGATGGGGAGGGTGTGTCTGGATTTGCCATCTCAGGGCAGTCATGGGTTGGAGACTGGGCTTCAGCATCCTTATTACGTGGACATAAAGGGGCACAGCCATTGCACCCTAAACTGTTAAGGGGACAGACATGGTTATGTTTGACAAATTCATTATTTTAATGAGATTTATGTTAGTATCAACATGCTGTCAACTAAACTACCCCCCATTCTTTCCCAGTCCATCACTCCAAAGGCCAAGGATGCTGGCTCCATGCTGATGGGCTGTTTTAAAAGCCCTTAACCCCCCTGAAAGCTCCTCTGGCAAGTCCATGGCTTTGCTGCCTCCCCCTGCTCTGGCTAGGCTGCCCCTGCCAGTTTCACCAGCTCTGGGCCCAGATCAGGAAATAAGAAGGGCGCTGGCCATGGCTTGCAGGATATGCCAGGGTCTAGAAGTGGGGCATGGCTTGCAGGATATGCCAGGGTCTAGAAGCTCTGCCAGGCAAATCACCCCAGATAGCCATGGCTTTTCTGCAAGGTGTGTGCAAACCACATATGGGAGGAGGCAGGGCAGATCTAGACATGCAGAAACCACAGAAGGAAAACAGGGAGACAGGGGCAAAACGTGGAAGAAAGACACAGCGGACAATGACAGGGAAACAGAGAAAGATTGACCAAAAGGAAGGAGGAACCAGAACACAAGGAGAAAGACCAAGACAAGGATGGATGAAGGGACTTGCGTGGCCTCGTGGGAGGGACACAAAGGTGGGACACAGGTGGAAAGACAGAGACAGAGATGGGTTGGGGACTCAGGGCTCATTGAGTTTGCTTCCAGCTGGCCCTTACTCTCATGGGCACATAGAGCCCCACAGCCTCCTTTCAGGGAATGGGAACTACCCAGGAGAGGGGAGACCTGGAGCACGGAGGGGAAGCTGGCCTGCCACCCCGAGCCTATGCGGAGAAGCTATATGCTGGGTGTTGGAGACCTGGAGAACTTGGAATATGACCAGGCTAGCTCAGAAGAGCCTTCCACAGACATTTTTGAGAATGAGACATCTGAAGAATTTAGGGGGTCACCCTTAGGCAAGGACAACATGATGAGGTGAAGTGTCCAGCTTTGGAGCCAAACTGCCTGGGTTCACATCCTAGTTCTACCATTTCAAAGCTGTGTGACCTTGGTCCAGTTCCACCACCTCTCTGAATCTGTTTCCTCCTCTTTAAAATGGACAGAACATTATTTGTGTGGCTCAAATAAGATAAAGCATATAAAGCATTGCACCCAGTGACAGGCACGCAGTAAGTGTACCATGGTCACCATTGGCTGGTAGCATTATTGCTCCCTGGCCTCCCTGCCTGGGAGAGCCATGACTGAACAGAGAAGTCCTTGCCTGAGGACCTCGTCCTCTCCCAGTGTGAGTGTACCAGGAAGGGCCTGGATGCTTTCCCAGCTCACATCTTGCTCACACTCCAGATTGGCCCTGACAGGTACACGCTTTAAACACTGCCACCAAGTGCAGCTTCTAGGTTCCTCCCAGCAAGCCATATCAGGTGCCACCTCCTGGGGACAGGAAGCATGGGGGAACAGGGTTCCAGCCAGAGTTGCCTCCTGGATCCCTTCGTCTTTAGTGTGCACAAACCCCTACCCACAGCTGCCCTGCTCCCAGTTCTGCAAGCACTCAGCCAGCCAGCCTCAGCACCCCAGGGTGGTGCCTCAAGTCCCTGTACCTGCTTGGGTCATGGCCTCTGCAGCCTTCTTCTTCCCAAGGCTGGGACCTCTCAGTCTCCCCTCCTCTCCCATCTGAAGGCTCTGTCCTATGCCCAGGTCTAGTTTTAGGGATGGGAGATCTTAGCTGTTCTGCCCTGATGTTCTGGCTTACCCCATCATGGTCCCCAGTGCTGGTCTGGGGAGTCCTGGGACTGATAACATAGTGTCTGCATTACTGCTGGTGTGCAAGACCCTGTCTTGCTAACCTTCCCAAAACCCTGGTCTTCTAAGGCCTGGGCCTCTGCCCTGCTAGTCTCAGATCCCCTCTCCAGGGAGGTCTGAGAATCTTGCCATTAGTACCAGACCCCCCACCTCTGAGGCTGCCTGATGTCCCCTCTATCATTCTACCCACCTGTCAGGATACCTGCTACTACATCTTGGATGCTACCCCAAAAGCCTTGTCCCTGCCCCCTCATCCTAACCCTGCTTCACTGTCTGGTCCAGCTGCAGAGGATACTGTCCTAGAATCCAGCCCTTTTGGAACCTGGCAGCACCTTTCCCTTTGCAGTTCAGGTGGTCTGAAGACTTTGCTCAGTGTGAGTTTCCCACCCAAGTGGGAGGATGGATGGGGTAGAAGGACCATGAGACCCTGACCTGGGACGGGGGACTCCCCTCCTTTGCACATATTCGCATGAGTTCACACTTGGTGTCCTTCACCAAGTGAAGTCAGATTTTTCACTCCCCTTCTAGGATACATGGGGCTGAAGCCAACCTGCTCAGCTCGGCCCCTCAACCAAGAAGACATGAGTTCTCTTTGGATATACCGCTCTGTTTTTCTCTGTGCCTTTATCTTCCTCCTTGACTTCCATGCCTTCAGCAGTTTTAGGTCTGTCCTAGTTCCCTGTGGAATAAGAGGTCCCTGTCTCCCTATACCTCTGGCTTCATAATCCAGGCACGAAATAAGTCCAGCTCAAGCCCGTGCTTGCCAGTTTCCGCA
Source organism: Homo sapiens (assembly GCF_000001405.40). Classification (NCBI taxonomy): domain Eukaryota; kingdom Metazoa; phylum Chordata; class Mammalia; order Primates; family Hominidae; genus Homo; species Homo sapiens. Next base: position 119,858,620 of record NC_000011.10, on the reverse strand, counting down.
CCTCCATCTGACTCTGATCCCAGCTCCCTCTGTGTGCTTCGCTGTCTCTCTCAGACTCCCCGTATGTCTCTTTCTCTTGCTCCTCCTCGTCTCTGTCTCCCTCCCTCCCTGCCTCTCCCCTAAGTTGCTGTGTTGTCAAGTATTTCCACCGTCAGCACTTGCCGAGTTGAAAGTTCTTCCGCATGTGCAGCAAGCCTCGTGGGCAGGCTGGGTAATGTCTGTTTTACCCTCTCTGTAATGAATCCCATCTTCTCCTCTTCTCAGTGATGGTTATTGATTCTGTCTTGACACCTTGGTTTGTTTTCTGCCGGCGCCTGCCTTCCCTTCATCTTGCTGTGGCCATTTCTCCACTCTTATCTGTAATTTCCTCTCTTGTTACGGCTGCCTCCCTCCTGGGCTGGTGTAGCACCGGGGCCGGAGTTTTGTATTAACTCGGCAGTGCAGCTCCATCAGCCCTTCTGTGATGGGGTGAGTTTGGGTGGTGGCCGAGAACAGGCACATAATGACAGCAGGAGGAGGGGAGAAGATATCTGGAGCCAGGCCCTCCTCATACCGGGTGTTCTAAAGCAGAGCTGGGGCTGTGCTGCGTTCCCCTTCTTAGACACTTCCTGTGGTTCCCCTTGACCCCCCAACAAAGGATGTAAAGCTCATCTGGGGAAGAGTCCTTCGCAGCCTCTCTCCAATCTGCCTCATCCCCAGCCTACTCTCTTAGAACCACAAACTTCCCACTGCAGATGCACAGGACTGGCTATCAGTGATTTCCTTCCACACCCCCAGGCCCTGGCTCTGTTTATGCTGTTCTCCCTGCCTAGTGTGCTCCTCCCCACCTCTCACTCTATTTTTCACCTGAAAAACTCCTATTCATCCTTCAAGGACCAACTCCAATATCATCCCTTCTGGGATGACTTCCCTGGCAGGCCCCATGCCTGCACTAGCTCAGAGCAGAGCTAAATCTTCTCTTCACTGAGCTCCCACAATTCTTTATACAAAATGATAATTACTTGCATCCCTGGCTTCTGCAAGAACAGGCTAGGTCTTAACCAGGGAGGTACTCAGGAAAAGTATGTCAAGTAGACTTGAATGGAGTCTTCTGGGTCACTACAAATACTCTCCCAAGGAGGTAGGTCAGAATTTGCAGTGGTTCTAGCACGCACTAACTTTGCTGAGGCATGGATGTGGACCACGGGAACTTGGATGAGTCTGGAGCAAGGCTCCGGGTACACACCAAGCTGCTCTGATATAGAGGTCTGCCAGAAACCAGCAGCTCTCTCCATAGGATGACATCATTTGTGGCTGCGCCCTGGAGCTACGATCAGTGAATGATCAGTGCCCAGAACTCTGCACCTTCTGCAGAGCCCGGGGCACAAGGCACTGAATGGATGGGCTAAATGAAGGACTAGAGCACAGGGTCCCTGAAATCAAAGCCCATGGACTTCCTTCCACCTCTGCTGCCTGGCACAAGCTTAGGCCCTGGGGCCTGGAGTCTGCCCTCTCCAATCTTTCCCACCTCCCTCCTTTGCTCTCTTCTCTCCCTGCAACCCCTGCAGCCTGCAGTGTCCTCACTTGGGGCTGACTGCCTGGCAGCTTCTTCCGGGACTGTGTAAGCAGCTGCTTCTGCAGGCATTAGCATTCCATGGATTAACCAGGGCTGCATGGTGGAGAAGGAGCCTGAGATCACCTGGGGTGGGCGGCTCACTTCACAGGCAAAGAGGGAAGAATTTGGGGTTCATCTTAAGGTATTTTGACCATACCAGGAGAGGAAGAAGACACATCTCCTCTGCCCCCAGGCCCTGGGGCTCCACGGAGCTTTCCTGGGGAGGTGCCAGTAACATTTTGTGAATCCCCTGGCCCTGGTGAGTGGCCCCAGAAGGTGGATGTCAGGTGACCAAAAAGCTCGTGGGGTTCTTCTTGGCATGGGGAGGATAGAACCCTGGAAAGAAGGGGTGATCACTTGAGGCTGACCATGCGTTGAACACTCTCAGTCAAGCCTCAGGCAGGTGTATAATTCAGGAACCACATCCTTTTAGCAGATACAGAAGTGGAGGCTAAGAGGGATCAGGTTATTTGCCCAAAGTCACACAGCTGGTAAGTGACTCAGTTTCAATCCCAGGTCTCTCAGACTCTAAGGTCGGTGCTCTTTCCATTACCCCTGTTCCCTGGAGTTCTCAATCCTGTGGCAAGCCTCAATCCTGATGTCACCCCTACCTTAAGCATTTTGCCATGGTACCCACATTCCAAGATGGCCCTCATTGATCCTCTTGGAATTCAGACCTGCATAGTCCCCTCCCACATTGGATCAGGGATGGACTGTGTGACCCATAAAATACAGTGCAAGTAATGGTGTGTGACTTCCAAGGCTAGGTCATAGAAAGCACTGCACCTTCTGCCTTGGCCTCTTGGATTGCTCGCTCTGGGGAAAGCATCTACCATGTTAGGAAGGAACTCAAGCAGCCCTGCAGAGCGCCCACATGAGAGGAACCGACTTGCCAGCCGTATGAATGGACCACCTTAGAAGTAGACCTACCAGCCCCTATCAGGCCTTCAGATAACTTCAGCCCCAGCAAGATCTTGACTGCAACCTCCTGAGAAACCCTGAGTTGAATGCCCCAGCCACACTGCCCCAGAGCACCAGACACTGTGAGAGATAACCAATGACTGTTGGAGTTGTAAGCACTACGTTTTGGAGTGATTTGTTACATGGCAGTAGATAGCTAATAGATCTGCCCTCCCTGAGACACAGGGCACTCATGTTTTCATAATGTCCTAGGCAGAGCCACCAGGCCAAGGGCTGGACAGTTCTTGGCTTCTTCTAAGGTTTCTTTATCTCCATGTAGGAAAAGCCCTGGAGACACTGAAGCCAGAGAGCTTTTTTGTCCAGAGACTCTTCACTCTTCTTAGGGAGGGACAAGTGAGACAAGAGACAGGAAGAAGGAATCCCTCAGATCTCATCAGAAAAAGTGTCTCTTTCCCTCCCTAATGAAGATAAATCCCAGGATCTGAGGAGACACTAAATGGATATGAATGAACTGGCAGTGCAATCAGATGGAGGTGTTTTCTTGAGATCTACAGCTGATGAATTCCTGCCCCAGCTGACACCCAGCCTGCTGTCCCTGGAGAGGTCCCTGGAGACCCCTGAGTGACACCTCCCTGTCGGGGAACTCTGGTGTCACCTTAAAGAGACTCTAGCCTCTCTTCCCTGGTCTCTCCCATGTCTAGCTGGAGTCCTAAGGGATGTTTTGGAAACACTATGTTGGCCACCACAATATCAAACTCAAAGGCTGCAGAATGGACTGGCACTCAGCCCCACACCCTGGCATGTTATTAAGTTTCCATAAACTCCACCAGGCAAAGAAGGCCCATGTCACTGTTTTGACTCCCTCTTGCTCTACAGTGGAGGGCAAAGGAAGACTTATTTTTAGGCTGGTACGTTTTGTTCTTATTTGCAAGGCTGCCTTAGAAAGAAACATCTGATTGGTTTATTGGCTTCTGATTGGTTGAGTGCCTTCTTTATCCCCTGCCTTTAGATATTGAAGTTTGTGTTTGTCATGTGATGGCTAGAGACCCTACCTCTGCTTCCAAGAGGGGCACAGGCTATTTCTGGTTCTCGGGCTTTTCAGAACAAGCATCTGGGAGCTGTAAGGGTTTGGGGAATGGTTCTAACCAGGCTCAGAGACCCCATCTCCCTTTGTCTCCAAGCAATGAGAAAGCATTAGAAAGCTCATCCCACCCCCTTTCATACCTGTCCTAGTTGATCACATGCCACCTTTTTCCACAAGCAAGTTTCCTTGCCCCGGCACCCTCCTGCTGCAGCTCGGTCCCCTGGTACCTGCGCACAGCATCTGTCTGCTTATTTACTTTCACTTTCTCTGCTTGCCCGGCTGCACCAACCAACATGTTGTTTATCCTTGCTCAGGCCTGTCCCTACGGCATCTCTGGATCATGCTTGTCTTGCTAGCCCTTTGACCTCAAGGAACACATCACGGCTGCCAGCGAATTTGCTCTTTGACAACATTTTCCATAGCAGCACCTGTGTCTCTGCAACACTGGGGTCTTGGGCCCACTGCCCTGGAGGAGGCAAAGGGAGCTGCCAGTCCTTTCTTCAAAAGTGTCTGGGGAAAGGCAGCCCCTTAGTCTTATCTGCTACCCGCTGTGGATCATTTATGCAAAGTCCTGCCCTGTGGAAGGGTCTTTGAGACTAGCAGGGCAGAGACCCCGGGGACGAGTGGTCCTATCTGGCATTATGAGCAGGAATGGAGTGGAATGAGCAGGGACCTGGCAACAGGGCAAACCCTGGCTTGGTTATTCCCAACTTTACTTATGTCTCTGCATCTCAATTTCATCCACTGGGAAGTGGATTTTATCTACTGCACAGAGGAGTGAAGGAAGGCATGGAAACAGCTAGTGAATAGTGACTTTGTAGCAAAGAGTAGCAGTGATGACAACTGCCAAGTCAGAGTGGCCCTGCCCACACTGAGAACCAGGGAACTGAAGAAGCCGCAACGTCCTCACCTTGCAAGCACTGCTCAAAAAGCAGCTCACCTGAGTCAGACGAGGAGCAATCGATAGAAACTTCTCTCTAGGCGGGGTTTGGTCTCTTAGGCCACACATAATCCCAAGACCTCGTGTTCCAACCCCACATTTACCAGCAGACAGAATTGAGGGCAGCAACTGGCCCACAGAGGGCAGCGACTGGCCCACGGTCACCCTGTCCCCCGGTGGAACCTCAAGTCTCTGACACCCCATTGCCACCTAGCCACAGGCTACGCTGGCTCCCACTCACAGGCCACAGAGGCAGAGCTGCTCCTCAGGGACTCCGTCAGCAGGAGTGATGAGGGCTCTGCGGGCCGGCTCCCTGAGCCAGCCTGTCTCTCCAGACCACATTCTGGGGAATCCTCCAAGGCCCAAAGACTATTGCTCAAAGAGCGGTCGTTTAAGAAGAAATCATTAAGCCAGCCATGGTGGTGCACACCTGTAGTCCCAGCTACTCAGGAGACTGAGGTGGGAGGGTGGTTTGAACCCAGGAGGTTGATTCTGCAGTGAGCCCTGATTGCGCCACTGCACTCCAGCCTGGGCAACAGAGTGAGACCCTGTCTCTAAAACAAACAAACAAAATCAAAAAAGAAGAAACCATTAGTATGTGGGAAGCCCCCCAGAAGAAAGCCATTCCTGCCTGATACAGAACCATCTACAGTTCCTACTGGGAGCCTCTCTGTGATGTAAAATCTATCTCCTCCCATCAAAGGAGAGAGGAGGAATGGGTGGGAGGTGGTGGGCCATGGGGCCAATAGAGGTGGCCCTGGGAGGAGGGGGAATGTGCCCCCACTGAGCTGCTCTGAGGGGCAGAGCCCAGAAGTTCTCAGGTTGTGAGCCTGAGGGTCTGAAACTCCATTCTCAGGTTCCAGGAAGGTGGTGACTCTTCTCCTAAATATACAGAACCCAGCCCTCCTCCCCCACCATAGTGCTGGATGTGCTAGCACCAGACAGCTTTGATCTGAGCTCTCAGAGATGCCCAGGAATAGTCTCTTGCACATGAAGGAGACAGAAACTCTCAGCTGAAGGTGGGAATTGGACAGGGAGAGTGGAGAGGGAGATTGGCTGGGGCATGGGAAATGCTACTCCAGCCCCTAGTTTTGCCCCAGGGCAGGGAAGGAGGACAGAAGCAGCTCAGAGGCCCAAAGCTGGAGCACTTGGAACCAGACCAAAGTTACTGAGGAAGAGAAAGTGACCCTTGCCCCTACCCCCAGGCAGATTCGTAAGATTTGCCTAATGGTGATCCAGGCCTGGGTATAGTGCTTCCTATGCCCTGACACCAGCCCTCTGTCCTGTCGTGTGTGCAGGACAAGCACCATGTCTTATTTTGCAAATAAGGAGACCAAAGCCCAAGCTGATTAAACAGCTAGCCCAAGGTCCCCTAAACATATATGTGAGCACTTGCACACACACACACACACACACACACACAAAAGAGAAAGAGAGAAAGAGAGAGAGACAGGATCTTGCTCTGTCATCCAGCCTACAGTGCTAGAGTGCAGTGGAGCGATCTTGGCTCAATGCAGCTTCTCCTCCTGGGCTCAAGCGATCCTCCGGCCTCAGCCTCCCAAGTAGCTGGGACCACAGGTGCTCACCACCATGTCCAGTTAATTTTTTCTGTTTTTTGTAGAGACAGGTTCTCACTATGTTGCCCACGCTGGTCTCAAACACCTGGACTCAAGCAATCCTCCCACCTCAGCCTCCCAAAGTGTCAGGATGACAGGAGTAAGTGACTGTACTCAGCCTAATTTGATTTAATTTAATTTTTTAGAGATAGGGCCTCGCTTTGTTGCCCAGGTTGGTCTTGAACCCCTGGCTTCAAGCAATTCTCATATTTCAGCTTCCAAAAGTGTTGGGATTACAGGCATGAGCCACTGTGCCTGGCCTTCTATTTATTAGTTATATTTTCCTCTGATTCGCAAGCAGTTTGAGGAAGCTTGTATCAAAATGCTTTGAATTTATTCCTTCCATAGACATTTGGTGCTCTCTGTGTGCCTGGCATTGCCCTAGACTCCAAGGAAAATGAGGACAGACAGAATCTCTGCTTCTGGAGAGCTTGTGGTCTGGCATATTGTACTCTTGTGGTAAGTTCTGTGCAGGAAAGTGAGTAAGTAACAGTACTAGTGAGCAGGGGAACCTGGCCTAGGAGGTGGCATCTAAGCAGGCATGAAGGCCTGAGGCAAACCTGGGTTTGGTGTGTTCAAACTGTGAAGAGAAGTGCCCAGTGGCCCAGGTGCTGTGTGAGGGGAGAACAGTGCAAGCTGAGAGAACAGGGCAGGGCCCACTTTGGAGATCTCCGTGGTGAGCAGTTACAGTGTATACTTAGCAGAATGGGAGGTCTGAGGGGGGCAACTGGCAGGATCCCAGGACATTTTAGAAGGATACTTCCTGCTGCCTGGAGAATGGGCCATGGGGAAGCAAGAATGGAGGCAGTTTGGACAACATGGCATACCTCGTCTCTACAAAAATACAACAATTAGACGGGTGTGGTGGCGCATGCCTGTGGTCCCAGCAACTTGGGAGGTTGAGGCAGGAGGATCGTTTGAGCCCAGAAGGCAGAGTGACAGCAAGTTGATATTGCACCTCTGCACTCCAGCCTGGGTGACAGAGAGAGACCCTGTCTCAAAAAGAAAGAAAGAAAAAGAGAGAGAGAGAGCAAGGGAGGGAGGGGGAGAGAGAGAGAAACAGACAGAGAGGGAGGGAGGGAGGGAAGGAAGAATGAAGGTGGCTTCTGGCAGATGAGAGAGGATGGTGATTGAACTAGGGGAATGGCAGGGGATCTGGAGAGAGAAACAAGAGGGCAGTCTCAGGGGCCTGCAGAGAAAGGGCAGGAGAAGAACATGGGGAGACCCTTCACACCAGCAGCCCCTGGACAGCTCCTCAAGGGTGAGGACGGAGGGTGGAGGAAACCCTGTTGGAGTTAAGCCATCCAATAGGGCCAGCTAACTTAGAGCACCCTTGTGAGTGCTCCTAGAGAGACCCAGGCTTTCAATCACCTGTTGCTGAGTAATAATAACTCACTTTTCCATTACAGGAAGGACAAGGAAGCATGGTTTAAGGCAAGGATGACATGCACACAGCACTTCCACACCCATACCCGTGGCAGACATCACTAATCAATCATGCCATTCCTTCTGGTGAGCGCAGACTCAGCTTCACTGCCTTTCCCAAAGTAGTCCTCCAGGCAGCCCTTCCCAATCACCTGGTGATGGCACAGCGTTAACCTATTCGTCATTCCCAGTGCACAGGAATGAGCACTGAGGCTGGAGCCCAAAAGACTCAGGTTTAGCTCTGCTTCTGCCATTTAGTTGCTGTGTGTCTGTGGACAATTTATTTAGCCCCTTTGAATTTCATTTTCCCATCTGTTAAAGTGAATCATTATTCCTAGGTCACATGTTTGCCGTGAGGACTAAATGAGATAATATACAAAAGCACTTAGCTTAGTTCTGGTACAGGTAGGCACCAATAAATGTTTAAAAAAATAGCCCCCCTTTGCCCCACCCACATTTATACCCCCAGATGTTCACAGACTAAACACTCCTACACGCTCTCTGACAGTGCCCATTCAGGCACACACTTACACACAAGGGCACACACTCACACAGTGCAGAAGAGGATAAAAAAACATTATCCTAACAGCTGGCAGTGGAATTGATCTTAGGGAGGAAAGTGTCTTTTGTTCAGGAAACTACCTTGATAAGCCTCTGAGGATATGGATTAGCAAAAGTCAAGGAAACAAAAAGATGGCTGAACTGCTCTGCATTGAAATTGAGACAAAATTTGGGGGCAGGGGAAAGAAAGAAAGCCCAGCAGGGTGGGTGCTGCAGAGAACCAAGGTGGAAGACAGAGGCAGAGGACTTTCTAAGGATGAGTGTGTCAAATATTCAACATGGAACTGCTTGCAGATTTTGAGATATGAAACCTCTCTGTCTCAAAAAGAGACTGCATGATTCCATTTGTATAGAAACATCTAGAAAATGCAAACCAATTCATAGTGATCAGTGGTTGCCCAGGGTGAGGAGAGGAGGAAACTTCTGGGGATGGTGCCCTTGTTAACACACACACCTAACACCAAGCACCTGCAGCCTCTCCTCTTTGCCTTGCACCCTAAAGTGAGGCCCTCCCACCTCTTGGGGCTGTGAGCCACGTGTCAGGGAAGAGGAACCTCTTGACTCAGGTTCAGAGGAATGTGTGTATATCTATATGTGTATATCTAAATAGAGATCTAGATCTAGATGTCAAAACTTGGCAAATTGAACACTTGAAATATGGACAGTTTTTTAAATTATACCTTAATACACTGTTAAGATGTTTTAAAAAGTGGTTTATATCAATTCAATCCAAATATTTTTGTTTCTCATGCTTTTACATGTGCTATTTTTTCCCCACCTTTCAACAGATACTGACCCCCCAAAACAGTTTCTTTTGTCCCACACCACACCTTCAGTCCAGTCTGACGCTGATGTTAATGCCTTATGGGAATTGTTTTGGGGTCGAATGTGAAGGAGAGATTGAATCCTACATCTAAGTCAAACTGCAGCTGTGGACCAGCATGAGGAAATGTATCCACAAGCTGAACAAATTCAGCACGAGCATCAGCTTGGAGCCAAGACCCTCATGAGAACTCAAGCTCACTCCCCTCTCTGGAAATTCTTAGAAATCTCAGGATAAAACATTGAACTTCCCTAGGATATGAAAAGGGAGTTCCAGCCAGCATCATAGGTCCCAGTTGACACGTGTGTTACATACACAGACAGAAACACACCCGGGCACTCAAAACACACATGCCCAGCACCAAGCACCTGCAGCCATTCCTCACTGCGCCCTAAAGCAAGGCCCTTCCACCTCTTAGGGCTGTGAGCCACATGTGTGGGGAGAGGACATGGCTCTTGACTGAACTGTGTTTACTCTCTAAAGAAACTTTTCAGAAATGCAAAGATGGGGCAAAGGTGGGAAGTCAGCCTCCTTGACAAACACAGGTATGCTGAGATCCTTTCTTTTTTTTTTTTTTTTTTTTTTTTTTTTTTTGAGACGGAGTCTCGCTCTGTCGCCCAGGCTGGAGTGCAGTGGCGCAATCTCGGCTCACTGCAAGCTCCGCCTCCCGGGTTCACGCCATTCTCCTGCCTCAGCCTCCCAAGTAGCTGGGACTACAGGCGCCCGCCACTACGCCCGGCTAATTTTTTGTATTTTTAGTAGAGACGGGGTTTCACCGTTTTAGCCGGGATGGTCTCGATCTCCTGACCTCGTGATCCGCCCGCCTCGGCCTCCCAAGCTGAGATCCTTTCTCTTTTCTTTTTTTTCTTTTTCTTTTTCTTTTTTTTTTTTTTTTGAGATGGAGCCTCGCTCTGTCGCCCAGGCTGGAGTGCCATGGCACGATCTTGGCTCACTGCAACCTCCGCCTCCCAGGTTCAAGCAATTCTCCTGCCTCAGCCTCCTGAGTAGCTGAGATTACAGGCGCCCGCCACACACCTGGCTAATTTTTTTTGTATTTTTAGTAGAGACAGGGCTTCACCATCTTGGCCAGGCTGGTCTTGAACTCCTGACCTCGTGATCCACCCGCCTGGGTCTCCCAAAGTGCTGGGATTACAGGCATGAGCCACCACACCCAGCCTTTCTCTTAGGATCATCAAGTCAGTCCATTCTAATCAACCTCATAACACACTTCGTGGCAATATTCCTTCAAGCTGGCCCAATAATCATCAAAAAACGTGAGGTCAGTTTGCTCCTGGCAACGCCTGGCATTGCTGCAGAAGTTCCTCAGCTCTGCAAGGTGTTGTGCTCCAGGAGGCAAACATCGCCCCAGCCCCTCACGCCTCTGCCTCTTCCCTCTCCCTCCCCTGCCTCCCAACACCACTCCTTGGAGCACCACGCAGAAACCAAATCAGCTGCTCCTTCCGAGGGGATAATCAAAGTGCAGGTCTCTGGAGAGGACCAGCTCTGTGGAGCAAGTCTTTAATTTCAAGCTGACAAGGTTGGGAGCATGTGCCATGGGCTTTTCCATAGGCAAGACAGCCGGATGGCCAGGGAGCACAGCTGGTGAGCAGGAGAAGGGGAGGGCAGAGGGGGAGGGCTGGATAGGAGCCACAGGCAGCTTCCCAGGTGGGCAAAGGGCCTCTGTGCTATGGAAGTCTGTTTGCTCTCTGCAAATTTGAGCTGTAGGCATCTCCCGACATCACCCAGAGGGATGTCCACAGCTGCAAGTGTGGCCCTTGTCTGCCCAGAAGGCTCAGGAGCTGGAGGAAACCCTGAAGGGCAAGCCTCTGGCCCAGGATCACACATGTCTTTGAGAGGAGAGGTGGGGCCCTGAATACAGACCTGGGTGGAGCTTCAGGGCTCCTCAGGCTCCTGAGCCCAAATGGCAGGGCTACCTTGGGAGCAAGGCCTCACTGAGATGAAGAAACCAAGACTGCAGAAAAATTTCAAGTGCTCAGAAGCAGGTGTTGCTGGGGCTCTTGTCATCATCCTGTCATCAAGAGACAACAGGTCCAGAGAGGGTAGGAATTCTGCTCCAGATCACAAAGCAAGGCCATGAAGAAACCAAGGGTAAAATATATTCTCTTTGACATTCACGAATAATACATCCCAAGACCTTGGTGAGGCCTCCATTTCCCAAATAAAAAATTGAACTGGTTGGACAACACCATTGCCCCACTGGGCTGCAGCAGCTGGGCAGCCCCTAGCCAGCTCAGACACCCTGCACACACTGCTCAGTTGTTCAAACCTAGCCTCAGCAGAGGGACAGATTTATTACTGCATGGGCCTTCAGTGCACTACCAAAAAGCTGAACGCGCAAATAGCACCCCAGCAAACCAGCCGTCTTTCCTACAGCCCTCTCCTCTCCTGGATCAGTGACCTAACCATTGGCTCCTGCCATGCTGCATTGGGCTGGGGATCAGGAGGGCCCCTGTAGGCAGGTGAGTAAAATCAGGAGGGAGAGGCAGCCACCTGGGAGCACAGCCCCAACTCTGAGCCCAGAAATATGCTGCCTCCCTTCCCCTCACCTCATCCACCAATGCTGGGCCTGAGCTTCATGCATCAGAACCAACAACTTGGATGCCATCCTTTGGGAAGCCTTCCCCCTTTTCCAGGTTCACAGATGTACTGTGTTCCCATTCCATATCATTTGGGCTCCTTGTACTTCTAGGATCTAAGCACCTGGCACAGTGTCTGGCCTTGGCGAGTGCTTAGGATTTGCTGACTAAATAAAGCTAAACATGTATGTGAATCGGGCTCCCTGCACCCTGGCCCCTCTCTGAGCCTCGCTTTCCTGCTGCGGAGGGTGGTTGGGGGCAGGGGTGTTACTTTCTATCACATGGAATCAGCGCTGGCCAGTGGGTCTGGATCTAGTAGACAGCTAAGGACTGAATGGTTTCCCTCTCAAAATCCATCTGTTGAAGCCCTAACCTCCAATGTGATGGTATTTGCCTTTGGGAGGTGATTAGGTTTAGATGAGGTCATGAGGGTGGGGCCCTCATGATGGGATTAGTGCCCTTGTAAGAAGAGACCACAGAGCTTGCTCGTGCTCTGTTTCTACCATGAAAAGATGGCCATCTGTATGCCAGGAGGTGGCCCCTCACCAGGAACTGAATCATCCGGCACTTTGATCTTGGACTGCCTGACCTCCAGAACTGTGAGCAATAAATGTCTGTTGTCTAAGCCACCTGGTATGGGGTATTTTGCTATAGCAGCCTGGACATAGCCCTGTAAGATACAGTGGTAACTTCCCCCTGACATATCCTAAAGCCATATTACCAGAGTCTTCGCCTTGTCTGTGAACAGAACTGTGACTACTGAGGCGAAAATGCACTGGGTGGGTGCCCAAAACCTGGGTTCAAGAGCCAGTCCTACTGTTTATCAGCTCCATGACCTCAGGTAAGGGATGGAATCAGAGTGCCCCAGAGATGACATCCACAAGACCTCAGTGTCCCCATCTTTTGCTCAGGGATACTGTGAGTGAGGCTCCCGTGGGACCATGTGCAGGTATGTGCCTGGAAAGCAGAATGCACTGTGGGAATGTGCAAGAAGCTGAGGTCCAGCCGGCTTCACAGCAGACCTGTTGGAGGAGGCTCCTCAGGCTGGCAGTGTACAGCTCTGAGCCCTGGAGCAGTTTTCTCTCTACCATTCCCCACCCACCCACATTCCTCGGACCTAAGAATCCACCCACTGTCTATAGCATGTTTGGGCCTGTCCACTTGCTTTGTTAGACACCTCTGGGAAGCGTGTCTTGTTTCTGGGCTCCACCAGAAACCTCTAGAAGGCATGTTTGGGTCTATCTTTGTGTCCTCTGGAGTCAATTTGACTTGATCACCCTCTGCTCTCTGAAGTGACCCAGCCATGCCCCATTTGGAGAAGGGGGGTTCTCTTTGCTGCAGGAACCCCCACCAAAGCCTGCCCTTGGCATTTGGTACTGCTAACGGCAAACAGCCCTGTCTTCCCAGGATGGTGGGATCAATAGGCGATGGCCTGGAGCAAGTCCTCAGTGGCCTTTCCAGGCCCGGCACACTCTGCTGCCACCTGTGCCCACAGGCCCGCACCACCCTGCCTTCACCAGCCATGCGGCACTGCGGGGTGCACCTCCCTAGGTCCTGACTGATGGAATAAGATGTGACCTCCAATGCTCAATGACACGGGGCTGCTGGAGGCTGCATGGGCCCCCCAACCCAGGAACCCAGCTGCCCCCTTCCTGTGCCCAAGCGTCCCGGTCCCCAGGGAATCAAGGCAGGGGTGTGAGCTGGCCGCTCCTGCCTCTTGCCTTCTTTCCTGGTCTTCAATATTCATGAGCACACCTAGCAGGGGAGCTAAAAATGTTCTGCTCCGAAATCTAACTGCTTTATGGAAGCCTAATTAAATTCTTTGGTGGAAGGGGAAAAAAGTGACCTTCAAAACTGCCAAAGCTATTCGGAGTGGTGTGTCCCAGAAACCTTTCCCCTTCTCTCCCCTCCTGCTGTGGGTGGCCTTTGCTCTGGTGATAAAATTCTCCACCTCCCCCTCAGGCTAAGGGCTCAGGGAGTTCCCTGGGGGTGCTAAGTGTGCCCGATGACAAGATTGCCTCCTATGGAAGAAACACAGCCAGGCAACGATCCTGACTGCTCAGGGGACCAGGCAAGCTCAGCCCTTGCTGGAAACTTGGGTCTCGGCCAGTGGATAGGGTTGGAGGGAAGAGAAATGGCAGTGGGGGATGGGGTTGACTCTGGTGGAGAGAGAATAGCAGTACCCCTTTCCTCCTGGGCAGGTGCTTCTGCAGTATGGTGCCCTAAGAATTTCAGGCTTCCTCCTTCCCTGGGCCACCCTGTCCATGCATCCTGGCAAGACCGAAACAGGGGCCCGGGATAGAGAATAGCCCTTTGCAAACCCCTACCTGGGAGCCTGGAATTGGAGCTCACGCCCAGTTGCTTCTCCTATTCACTGGGGATAAGCAGTCATTTCCCCAGAGGTCAATGAAGAAACCTGCCCTTTTCTGAGGGTTGCCAACTAGTGGGGGTGAAGGGGTCTGAATCTCCCACCCTCTTCCCTGTGACTTGGCTTCCCGAGAAGGTGGAAGAGATGAGAAGGGGGTGAGGACATGAGCTGCACAGCCCCTCACCTGCACAGTTAGAATTCACCTAGACACAGGCGCGTTCCAGCAGGCTCAGTCAGGGACCCCACAGACCCTCCTCCATGAGAAGTAGGTGGCTGGCTAGAATCCCCCCAGGCAGGAGGTGGGAAGACACCGAGAGGATTAGATCTCCACAGCACAGCAGCATGGGTGCCTGGCACTCCTAGAACCTCAGTGACTATGTGGATGTAAAGGCTCATGCCTGCCTGATAGTTGAGGACAGGGTGGGGCAGGGGCAGGGGGTGGAGGGGCAGGGGGGTCTGAGTGACCAGATGCTTTCTCTTCCATTTTGGGAGGAGGTCATTTTTATCCACTCCAAAGCTGCCTTCTGATTGGTCACCCATGAGTCATTCTCAGGCAGTCACAGCCCAGTGTGATGACTGGTTGCCAGTGACACCTGGCTCTCCACGGGCCTGCTCATTCTGGGATGCATATTCTTCAAAATCACTTTCTAGGTCATTTTGAGGCCCTCAGAACAGACCCTGCTTGGTGTGTGCTGCTTCCGGGTGAGCACACCCAATTCTAGTCCACGCCCAGGCAGACTCGAGAAAGCAGTTCGCCAGGCAGTCTGCAGAGATCAAGGCTGCCGTCTGCTAGGACAGCCAGGGAAGATGCTGCATCCTCCCCTCCTGGCCTCACCTGATCTATGGCCTCTTCCCACTCATTCCTGACTCCTACCTGGGCTGCCCTTTCCCCCTCCTCCTCCCCAAATCCTGCATGCTGCTGTGTCCAGCTTCATGCAGGAGAATTTCCCAGGCCAGGCCAGCTGGCAGTGATTGCCCCTCACCCCTGCCTGGACTCTCAGGCTGAGCAGCTCACTCACTTCACCTCTGAGCCCCTCACGCCCAAGCCCATCCTAAACTCCCCAACCAGATTTTAACCCCAAGGGGCCAATATTCATGCTCTAAATGCCTTTGGGAGCTGCCAGTGTGCCTTTAGAAGACTCAAGTGCTTCATGAATGAATGAATGAATAGTTGAATGAATAAAAGTGGATGAATAAATGAGGAAATCCACTCATTTAAGAAATACTTCCTAAGTACTGTATGCCAGGCATGGGCTGGGTGATGAGGACTCAGAGGATTCCAACAGACCTGCCCCTGCACTCAGGGCCCCTCATCATGCTGGGACAAGTGAGTAAATAAAGAAGGGTGAGGGAACAGGGGAGATGAGAATGAGCAGGGACCAGACAGTGCTCGAATGCACAGGCCTTTGGGGACCCCAACAGTGTCCCCCTGGCTGAGGGGGTTCAGGCCTTGTCTAGACCACCCCCAGGCCTGCTCTCCCTCTCCTGGCTCCCCTGGAGCTGGCTTTCACCAAGGTGTGTTCACACCTCTGCCCCTGCCTTCTCCACCAACCCCCACATCTATTTTGGTGTCTGCACTAGGCCAGCTGATTGCCTCCCCCTGCTCCCAGCTGCTTCCTCTCCCATTCTGCCTTCAGCGGCCTTGAATCAAATGGAAACGCCCAGTGCAGCCCTGTTACCGCCATCTTGGGCTGAGACCCAGCCTGCTCAGGCCTGCACATAGGGGGCCAGCAAGCCCCCATCAGTGGCCCAGCAAGGGGACCTGAGCGGGCTGCCAACCATCCTAAACTCCCCAATCACCCCTCAGGCCAGGGCATGGAGAGGGGGACCTGGAGAAGAAGGAATCAGGCCATGTGCCCCCATCAGTGGGACCAAAGGCCCTGGCAGCCTTCAGAGGGCTCCATCAAATGCCCTTGGAGATGGCCCAGCAAATACACAAATGTTAAAGCATGTTATTCTGAAGAATAACAGTCAATCCTGCTGTGGTGTGTGAGCTAAGGCAAAGTCGCAAATACTTTTTATTAAGATACACTTAATATTGGAACAAAATTGAGTTTGACAGACCTAGGCTTGTCCTACCATTGCTGCCATAGCTTCGTTTAATCTCTTTAGTCCCTTATTCCTGCAACTTTAGTCTTGGCCCTTCTAGCTTCCCTTTAACATGGCGTGTGTGAGAGTGTGTGTGTGTGTGTGTGTGTGTGAAGGATGGAGGGATAGGGAACTAGTGTTTCAATTTTTATGCAAATGTTTCTGATATAATTGTGTGGCTTTGAACCATGAGAAAAGAATATAGGATTCGGAGTTGACCTAGGCTGAGATCTCAATTCCGCCCCATATGAATGCTGTGAGCTTAGACAAGTTCATCTCTGCACCTTCACTTCCATCCATAGGTGTCATAACCTAGCGGATGTTGTGGTCAGCCATGCAGATGCCTTCTCAGGTGCCTCCTGCAGCTGCCTGGCACTACCTGCTGCTGGCTCGCAGTGGAATCCTCTGCAGGAAGGCCTTGGCAGAAAGAAGCTGCCCTCCCCAGCAGTAGGCATCCTCCCTCAGGGTAGGCACCCAAAAGCAGCCTGTCCCAGAAGACTGGTCCATGTGAGACACAGAGGCTTGGCTCTGCTGCCTCTGTTTTACTGAAAGACTATCCCAGCCTCAGCACTGGGATGGGATAAGGCCTTTAACTATGCTTAATTACAACACAGCTCTAAACACAGTTCACCTGCTTCCTCTGGCCAATCTTGCATCCCTCGCTCCCGTACAGATGTTGTTCTCTGGGAGGGCTCCCCAGAAATCTTCCTGCCCACAACACTCTGTCTCAGAGTCTGTTTCCTGGGGGGACCCGACCTCAGAAAGTAGCCAGGCTGTAGTCAGTGAAATATGATAAGGCGTGTATAAAGGCTTAGTGCAGTGCCCAACTCACAGGAGAACTCAATTGATGACGGCTGCTGGGATTCTCCTTGGAGGTCGCTGTTTCTGAACCCTGATGAACATTGAAATCAGCTGTGAAGCTTTTTTTTAAAAGGCCAATTTTTTCCTGAGACACTGATTCAGGAGGGCTGAAATCAGACCCAGTGTTCTGTATTTTAGAAACCCCACAGGTGTTTCTGATGGACAGCCAGGGCCGACAGCCAATGACCTGGGTCATTTTTCTATACCACCATCACCCCTATAATTTAAAGGCAAGAACCACAAACCCATGCAGGGCAAAGTGACCTGTTCAAGGGCAGACAGGTACTTAGTTGCCCAGAGAGGGTTCAACTCATTAATCCTGATTCTCTCAGGGTCAATGCTTGGGTTGTGTGTGTGGTGGGGGGTGCTATAAAAGCCCCTGATCCCAACTCTCTCCAACATAAGCACAGGCAGCTGCATTTATTAAGCAGATCCCAGAACATTTGGCCTAACCAGCAATACAAGCAGTATGTGATCAACCATTGCTTTCACTAGTGCAGGCTGTGAGCTCCCAGAGGAGGAGTCCTCATTGTGGCTGTGGTAGTCAGGGAGGTCTTCAAGGAGGAGGTGAGCCCTGAACCAGATTTTAGAGAACAGTGAGGCTTCAAATAGGGAGCAAGCTGTAAGGATGCCAGACCCCAGGACTGGTCACCTCATTCTGTGTTCAATCCGTTTCTAAGGAAACTAATCCTGATCTGTATTCTCATCATCCTTCTGGCAAGACCGGGGATTTCAGGAGCACTCAGACTCATGGACCAGTGGGCAATAATTTCCCAGGTTTTACAAAAACATATTTTGTTCTAAAGATTAAAACTTAGGTAAGGGTTTGCTTGAAGTTTGATTAACCTGCACTTCATTAGCCCCATTTCTCTTAAGCACTGGAGTTGCACAGCCATGTGGTCACATGGTGTGGTTGAGGTGGAGCTCAGGCTCTACCACTTATAAGCTGTGTGACCTTGGTCAAGTTACTTAACTTCTCTGAGCCTCTATTTGTTCAACCTTAAAATGGAAACAGTGATACTTACCTTCTTCCCTCTCTGGATTGTTAAGAGGATCAAATGGGGTCATGATCTCAAAAAAAAAAAAAAAAAAAAAAAAAAGCACTTCTGTAAATGTCAAAGCACACTACAAGTGAGAGCTGCTACTATTTTCCACATTTATCTTTTGAAACTTGGGATGCAGAAGCCCAGGGAGGTTTCTGCCATTGCTCAGCACCCTACAGTAAGCTATATGGGGAGCAGAGGCAAGACCAAATTCCCCCAAATCCTACTGTAATGCTTTTTCCAATATAGCAGCATATCTATTCCTCAAATCTTTCTTCTCTCTCTAATTTCTTAGGCACTACAGGGAATTGTGCATTCTCACCTTGCCCTAAATTTGTAGTCTTTGATGGCTCGTAATCTTTTGATCCCTTCTGCAGCAGCCTGCTATCCTGTGCCCTTCCCGCCTCTATATCATCTCAAGGGGCTTTCTGTCTATACTCTCTTTACTTTGGACATCCTAAATTCAGCCTGGAACGAGCCCCCACCCAGAAGATGATAACCCCCTCCTCCGTGGGACTCTTTCCTCTCATTTATAACACTGGTGCAATGTTACCTTCTGATTCATTCACAGCAAGGAACTTGGGAAACAGAGTCAAAAAGTAGTCTGTAAAAGGGCCCTTGAGGGCTCAGCACCAGCCCTTGCTGGGCAGCATGACGAGGCCACAATGGAGTGGGGCAAGGCGTCTCCTGGAAGCTGGGGCTGGAGGGCTGTACTCTGATCCCCAACCTCTGCTATTCCTCTGTCCCGATATCTCTGCCTGATCAACTAAATCCTCAGCTGCAGAAACCTCCTGCTGCTCTGTGCCAGCCTCTGGGTCTCTGGTGCCAAACCCTTGGCAGCCCCTTGGCTCCTCACTCCATTCTTCCCACCAGCCCTGCACCCCCTCTCCCCACGGAGACCCCTCCAAGTCCAAGGCCCAGCTCAGGCTCTCGATTCCAGGAGACAGGTCATGTCCACCACCCCGGGGTGCAGTGCGAGCCAAACTAATCAATGGCAGAGTGGTAGATTAAGGGGCCCAGCTCAAAGCCATCCATCACTGTCGTTTACCCGGGCCTGTCAGCCTGCAAATGGAAAAGGAGATGATGTGAAACAACCCATCTGCAGGTTTTTAACGCTCTTTACAAATTGCCGTGGTGAATAACTTGTTGCCTGTATTTATCCCTTTTCAAATTGTCTCTTAGCTACAGTCATCCGTCTTCATTCTACACCCTGATGGTGCGTGCACCGCCAGTTGGGCAACCTCATTATTTCCCTGCTGCTGCTGCCTGGAGGAGGCAGGGGAGGAAGAAAGAGAAGGAGAAGGAATGGAGGAGAGAGAAAGAAGAGAAAGAAGGTGGAGGGAGAGAGAAAGAAAGGGAGTGAGGTGGGGGTGGGAGGGTGGTGGGAGAGGAGAGACTCCAGACAGTGGAACCAGCTTGGGCAAGAACCTACTCAGCTAGGGTTCTTCCCCGGAGGTCCCCACTTCCCTGAGCTCATGGTGAGAGAAAAACCTATCCCCTCTGCCAGGAAGTTTGTGAGCAGGGACTGTCCTCCCCAGAGGGTACCAGATCAGTGGTCAGAATTTCCAGTCCCAGGTCATCGGCTGTGGTCCTTCATCATTCCCACCTCTAAGGAAGAAAGCCTATCTGCCAGGCCAGTTGTAAAGCTTCATCATGCAAAGTCATCTTTCATGTGTCCCCTTCCTCTTCCCACATGCCACGACGTGCTACTTCTAGCTTTCCAATGAGACCCTTCCCTGTGCTTTGGTTTCCACTGCCCTAGGTCTGACTGACATTCCTTCCTCCTCAGCTCGGGGCTGTAGCCTCCTGCAATGGACTGAATGTTTATTTCCCCCGACAAAATCCATATGATGGCATCCTTACCCCCAAGGTGATGGTATTAGGAGGTACGGGTGATTAGGTTATGAGGGTGGAGGCCACATAGATGGGATTAGTGCTCTTATAAAAGAGACCTCAGAGCTCCCTTGGCCCTTCCAGCATGTGAGGACACAGAAGTCCACTGTCCATGAACCAGGAAGTGGGCAAGTGTCAGACCCTGAATCTACTGGCACCTTGATCTTGGACTTCCCAGCCTCCAGGACCATGAGAAATAAATTGTTGTTTATAACCTGCCCAGCCCAAATGGACTAGGACACCTCCTAACTGGTCAGTCTCTCTGCCAGCCCACCTCCTCACTCTCAAGAACAAATGAAAAACTTCTCATAAAGGCCATGTTATTTCTTCACTCTATCAGTGTCTTCCAGTGATCCGTGAGCCTCCTGTATTAGAATCACCTGGCCACCCTGCCCCAGGACTACTGATGCTGTGAGGCAGGGGCTGCATGTTACATGTTTCCTAGCTGGTTAGTGTGCACTGCAAAGGTCGAGGGCCACACCCCAGAAATTTGTTTTGACACACAAGAAACTGGAGACACAGAAAGATGCAATAATTTGCCCAAGGTCACACAGCTAATTGGCAGCTGAACAGGAACCAGTAAACAGGCCTCTTTTCCTACAATCAAGTGCTCTTCCTCCTATAAACAGTTAGATCCTTCCATGAATAACAGTTGTTTGTTTATCCAACTCTGACTCAAACAGAAGCTCCTTGAGGCCAGGGTCCCATGCGCCACTGTACCCCTCCATCCTCCTCCAGGCTTAGCACAGGGTTTATTGGTTTACTTTTGGTAAGACAGAAAAGTGTAGAACAGGATGCATCAGGCCAAGACCACATTGAATTCTTCCTCCAGGGCTCTTGCAGGGTTCAGAGCCTCCCACTTCTTGCTAGGGTACTATGGACCGAACCAAAATCTGCCTGGCTGTCAAGTGCTGAGTTTCTAACACTGCATCTGATATTTCCACTCAGTCTTCCAGGGCAGACCTTTAAATATTTGAAAACAGCTGTCAGGATCCATTTCCGTGTTCTCTCTTCCAGGTTAAAGTCCCAAGCTCCCTCAACCACTCCTTGTCTGGCATGACAGCAAGACCCTGGGGCATCCCAGGCCCCCTCCTCCAAATGCTATCCCATTCGTCAATGTCCTTGCTCAATTGTGGCTCCCAGAATGAAACGCAAGTCTCCAGATGTGGTCTGACCACTGCCAAGCACAGAGGGCCACACCATTATCTCCCATCTTCTGCACTCTGTGCTTTGATTAATATAGTCCAAGATTGCATTGCTTTCCTGGCAGCCTCACCCCACTGTTGGCTCACATTGCTCTTGGTTTGCTAATCCATCTAACTCTATTACTGTCTAATCCACAATTCTCCATCTCGTCCCTGAGGATTACATCAGAGTCCTTACAAAATGCCTTGCTGAAATCCAGATATGCCATGTTCATCGTGCCCTGCACGTCTACCAGTCTAGAAAACCCAGCAGCCGGAGAAAGGAGTTTATTGTGGCGGGACTTCCACTTGGTGAACCCAAGATGCTTCCTAGTGATCGCTCCTTTTCTTCCTACGGGTTCATGAACGATCCACTCAATAATCTTTCTTTTTTCTTTTTTTTTTTATTATACTTTAAGTTCTAGGGTACATGTGCACAACGTGCAGGCTCATTACATAAGTATACATGTGCCATGTTGGCCCACTGCACCCATCAACCTGTCATTTACATTAGATATTTCTCCCAATACTATCCCTCCCCTGGCCCCGCATCCCATGACAGGCCCCAGTGTGTGATGTTCCCTACCCTGTGACCAAGTGTTCTCATTGTTCAATTCCCACCTATGAATTAGAACATACAGTGTTTGGTTTTCTGTCCTTCTGATAGTTTGCTCAGAATGATGGTTTCTAGCTTCTTTAAAGTTCATATGGAACCAAAAAAGAGCCCACATTGCCAAGTCAATCCTAAGCAAAAAGAACAAAGCTGGAGGCATCACGCTACCTGACTTCAAACTATACTACAAGGCTACAGTAACCAAAACAGCATGGTACTGTTACCAAAACAGAGATATAGACCAATGGAACAGAACAGAGGCCTCAGAAATAACACCACACATCTACAACTATCTGATCTTTGACAAACCTGACAAAAACAAGAAATGGGGAAAGGATTCCCTATTTAATAAATGGTGCTGGGAAAACAGGCTAGTCATATGTAGAAAGCTGAAACTGGATCCCTTCCTTACACCTTATACAAAAATTAATTCAAGACGGATTAAAGACTTAATGTTAGAAATAATCTTTGTTTAGTGCCCTCTACAGTGCTTTTCTCACCCAAGGTGCTTGCTCAGTGTCTGGACTGAGCAATGATGACAGGCGGCCTGATTGATCATGCCGGTTGTGAGGTTTATGCTAGTCAACAGGAGCTGCCCGGGGAAAAGCAGAGAGGGGAGTAAGTCCAAAAACCACAAACTCAGAAATGCCCATGGAGGTTGTAAACAGCTTGATAGAGGGACGATGAGTCTCTGGGT
Organism: Homo sapiens; assembly: GCF_000001405.40. Classification (NCBI taxonomy): domain Eukaryota; kingdom Metazoa; phylum Chordata; class Mammalia; order Primates; family Hominidae; genus Homo; species Homo sapiens. Next base: position 119,836,312 of record NC_000011.10, on the reverse strand, counting down.
TAGAAAATTTATTAACAATGCCGAATGTATTTCACTCTCCCTGCATGATGTTTGATTCAAAGAAAATATGAAAACATTACTGGAATCCCAATTTGCCAAACCATTTCCTTTCTCCTATAATTAGGTACTCTGAATTTTAGTATCATTTTGTGTGTGTGTTTGTTTCTTCTGATTTCCACGGACTATTTTTAGACCAATCATGACTCATTTTTTGAAAGGCGTTAGGAAAAAATAAGTATTTTTCCCCAGCAATCAAATGTTCCTGTCCTCTGGGTGACACACATTTAGGTAAGTCATAGCTGTGTGACAGACTCGCGGGCCTGGGGCAGCGGGAGGAGAGCCCACAGGAGAAAGTCTCCTGATCTGGGGGGAGGACACAATGAGGGGAGGATCAACACAGGAACCTTCAGCCCCCAGCCAGACCCACTGATTCATCCCACCCTGTCCTCCAAAGAGGGAGATAGATCCAGGATCCAGGAGGGCCCAGCCACAGGAGTGCAGATTGCACCAGGACGATGCCGGAGAGGCATCCCAGCCTTGAAGAGCTGCCCCGGGAGAGCCATCAGGCTCATTATTCTTCAAGCAGAAGCAGGAGGGACATGAACAAGTAAGTACAACTAGCTCAGAAAAAGAAAGAGCTAACGATGAGATATTCAACTGTGGGATGAACTACTGGACAAAGTAGTGAGCTCCCCGACTCTGGGAGTGTTGGAACTAAGCTGGTTCTTTCCAAACCTCGATGTCCAAAGCCCCTTCCAATGCTGACTCTGTGGTATCTGCCAGGGAGGCTGCTGGAAGAATTCCTGCTATAAAAGAGAAACTAAGTCACAATGTCCAAAGTCTCGTCCAACATCAGGACTCTGGGAAGAATCAGACCCCTGCATCTATGTCTGCACTTGTTCCCCAAAGCAGAGACAACATGGGGAGGGCTGGGGGGAGTTTCACCTCCTCCATTAGGCCTTCCTGCTGCGATCCATCTGGAGGGGGAAGTCTTTGAATGCTCTCCCCCAGCCTCTGCCACAGTAACACATACCCTTCCCACCTCCCACATGAAAAGGGTTTTACATACAATTTACTAGCTAGACACGGATTCATTTTCCAACTCCGTTTAAGTACTCAGACCTTTTACAGAGACTCTTGTAGACCCAGTTCCTTCTTTCTGGGAGTTTATACTCTAAGATAGACCTGCTGAAACTAACAGGTGTAAAACACACTGCCAACAACAGCAACACAAACCTGTATCAATTCAATGTCCCTGGATGTGAGAGACAGAGAAAAGAAGAGAGAGAACATGTATGCAGGGGAGGGGAAAGTATCAAATTTACTCTGGGCTGTCTCTAAACTACACATGCCCTTTCCTTGCCCACTGAGAGTCTGCCATGCTCCCCTGCCCCACCACACAACATTTAAGAACGCACCCACATGGAGGGCCAATGTTACATGAGAGGAGCCTCAGAAAGGTGGAGAACACTGGAACTTTACAGTTTGCAAATCCCTCTCTCATCCATTACTCTTGGATTGTCCATTCATTCACCAAAGATTTATGCAGTACCTACTGTCTTTGGGCACTGAGAGTACAAGAGTGACTCAAAACAGACATGTTTCCTGGAAGCTCACATGAAGCTCACAGCCTGGTGGAGAAGGCAGACACTCGTAAACAATCACCTAGGTGTAAGTGTGCACCTACAGTACTCTCAGGTGAGTCCAGCAATGGAAAGTCATTTAGTGCTGTGGAGTGTGTAACCCAGGGAGCTGACTTAACCCGGGGCTCAAGGAGGACTTCCTGGAGGAGGTGACATTTGAGTTGGGATCTGAAGGATGAAGGATGGGTAATCAGGTGACAAGACCGAGCCTGCACTTTGGAGGTCTGAAAGATACAATCTCCCTGTGAAGGGCATGCGTGGTTCACCCAAGAAACATGGAGCTCCTACACACATGTCAGGTGCTGCAGGGCACTGGAGACACGTGGTGTCCCAGATAGACAGCCCAGCCCTCCTGATCCTTCAGTTTTCAGTCTAGAATGGGAGGCAGACAGCTGGAAATGTCATGAAACTTCAGGGTGGTCAGTAAAGTGCTCGTGAGGAAAATTGCAGGGTGCAGACAAAATAGATGGCCCCACCTGGGCCATCCTTAGGAGTGAGAATGACCAGACTTGATGGCTACTTGAATGGGGTGGGGACCAAGGGTAACTGGGGAGGGTGAATGAGAAGTATGGGGTTTCTACTTTGGATGCCAGGTACATGGGGAAGCTGTTCACTGAGGTGGGGAATGTAGGAGCCAGAGTACTTTGGAGCACAATGCATGAGTATGATTTGGGCATATCCAGCCTGTCCCAGGTCTGAGTTCTCCTGAGGACAGGATGAAGAGGAGCCAAGGAAGGATTCTAAGAAGAGATACTCATTAAGCTTGATCTTGAATGGCAAATAGCATGGAAGGGTGAGGAAGGAGTATAGTCAAGAATTCCATGGAAGGGCCACAGCTTAGGCAGACGCCTGTAGCATGAAGGAGCAAGGTTTGTTTACAGAACTGCAAGTGGCCGAACTTCGCTAGGGTAGAATGGCACACAGTGTGGACGGAGATAAGGATGGAGAGCCAGGCAGGGGGCCAGAATGCTAAGAAATTTTGACTGACTTAAAGGTAAAGGGAGTCGCCAAAGGGTTTTGTGAAAGAAAATGGCATGGTCAGATTTGTGCTCTGAAAATTCATCACTGAGTCTGGTCGGCTAACCAAGGGCAGCACAGCGGAGCAAGGAGCCGCAGGAACCCAGAGACACTGCGGGCCCTGCTGGTGAGAACGGGCCTCCCATGGGCCTGGGCCCTCCACTCTTTCCTACAGGATCCCCTCTCCCCAGACCTCCTCTGTCTGTCTGTCTGTCTTGCCCACCAGAGGTCTGGGTGGCCCTCATGAAGCAGTCTCCCCTCCGTTGCCTGTATAAGGAGGGCCCCACCAGAGTCAGCCAGGGAATCCAGTGACCTCTCACAGTGGCCTGCACACCCCCGGGATGGGCCTGGGGTAGAGAGCCAGCGGTCAGCACAGGACACCCTCCTTCCTCCAGGAGAGATGCAGACCCCACGCTGGGAGGAGGTCCCCCATCACTCTCTGGAAAAAACCCAAAGTGCCCAGTTACATTAGAATTTCAGGTAAGTAATGGATCATTGTTTAGTGTAAATATATCTCACATATTGTGTGGGACATACCTATATTAATCCATTTATTTGTTGCTTACCTGAAATTCAACTTTAACGAGGCAGCCGGTGACCCGCTCCTTGGCTGTTCTATGAGGGTTGGGAATCCTGGAAAAGGATGGGGGGAATCATGGAGAAATTAATTCCCCAATAGCCAGGGCCCAGCCTACAGCTCCTCACGTCCACCCGGTGCTCTGCAAGGTCTATTTAGGGGGTCCCTGTGCTCCCTGGAAACCCCAGGCTGTGGCCTCAGCTCCCACCCACCCCATATGAAGCACCACTGCCGGAGCTCCCCCACGCCCACTGTCCTTGGCCAGCTCACTAGCAGCGCTGCTCCTGGAGAGTTGCAGCCAATCCAGGCTTCAGCCCTGTCTCCACCCCCATCCCTGCTCCTCCAGTCTGAGAATCCACTTCCTGGTACGCTTTCCTCTGCCCTCTTGAACTGGAGTCCATTTGCTTTCACTCAGCCTGGGTCCAGATGCTTTCAATGAATGAGAACTTCTGGTCCTGCGGTTTTGATTCCAATCTGGAACATTTTCTTTCAAAGCAGGAGCAAGGAAATAGCTGATACCTGCCTTTCTCTTTGTCTACCCTCACAGATCCCTCCAAATGCTATCTTTGCCCCCACCCAGGTCTCTCCTGGGTTCCCAGCCTTTCCAGGGATCCCCAGCCCCATGCTGCCTGGCTGCAGGTTTTATTACCCGTGCTGCCCTCTGCTCCCGCTTAGGCTAATTGAGGCTGGCACATGAGTAGGGGCTGCCAATGGGCTTCCTCTGCACGGGCTCTCAGCCGGCAGAAGGAAGGGACATGATTGCCTCCTTTCCCGACCATTAAGCGGAGCAGCCAACACCACACACAGCTCCTGGCTGAGCAGCAGGGCATGTGGACCAGCAGGGGACATGGGGGCTGGGAGTTCTCCTACCCCAACCCTGCTCAGTTAGCAAAGGCATCAGGGGCTGTGGCTGGCTGAGAGGTCAGGGACAACCAACTGTCAGACTTCCTGCCAGAGGCTCAGCCCAGGCTGTATTCACATGTATCCCTTCCAGCAGACCCCGAGGGCCTCTGGGAAGAGTCCCCTTGCTCCTGGCCCTGGATAGGAGATGGGGAGATCGGCTAGGGTAGCCCAGCCCAGGGACTCTGAGGGGGTTCTCATATAGGATAAAGAAGCAAGGGTCACCCACTCCTGGAACACTGCTCTCCCTCTGCACTCCCATGAACCCCTATACATATACATCTTCCAGAATTTGTCTTAAACTTCTCCTCCTCTGGGCAGACCTCTCTGATGTCCCAAACGAAGTCAGATGTCCCAGTACATATTCTCACAGCACCTTGAGCTTCCCTTTCTTCTCACTCATCAAAATTACAATTACTGCAATAAGGGATGGAATGTACACACAATAACTCAGATTGGTAGGACAAAGTTACTTTATTTTCCATCGCTGACCACTTCTTGATCCAGGTTGTCCATCCCTGCTCACAGTTTGGTGGGTGTGGGGGTCTTAAGGGATGGAGGGGGTGGTGATCAACTTACCATTAAACAGTAATTCCATTTAAAAGTCCCTTTTAGCACTATTTCTTCCATCCTCCTTCCTTGGATGGCCTTGGGATGGGGGAAGTTTGTGTCTCCTTGTGGTGGCCAGGGCAGGGCCCCCAGCCCACCTGCTGTCCTCTGGGTTATTGTCAGCCTCCATGAGCTATTCCCCTGGGCCACCTATCTCTGGGTGTCCAACCTGTTGCCCTCTGGCTGCAGCTGATCTTTTCTGACATCGGATAGCACTCCCAGATGAGGTCCCAGCCTCTCCCACCATCTGCCCTCACGTGTCCTCCTCATCCTAACTCCAGGCCTGTATGTCCACAATTCTTTCACACTTCTGCAATCTCCCCTCTGAGACACACGGAACTCCCAGATCCTCTGCTGTGTTGGATACAGGGCATTGGCAGCCAGGAACACTGATTAAGAACCGCCCTGCACAGCTCCCTCAACCAGGGCTGCACCACGTCTGACCCAGGGCCACGCCAAACCCGGACCTTCTCTGGGAGGTTTGTCTTCATCTCAGGCCACACACAGAAGGCAGTCCACAAGCCCCAATATTCTCAGGTCCCCCACACCTACCTGGGAATATTTATTTCTCACCTGTCCCTGCTCTGAAGTTTGACCCAGTGAGGGTGACATGGAGGAAGAAGGAGGCTCACAGCCTCCCCTACCTCCCAAGAAGCCAGGAAGAGCTGTCCCATTCCTGCTGTTGGGGGATCCCTTTGGGTTTCCCAAAATGCTTCCTGTACAGCTTGCAGAACCCTGAGCCCAAATATACCTCCTTTTTTAAATAAATTACCCAGCCTCAGGTATCACTTTATAGCAATGCAAACGGACAAACACAAAGCCCTAGCTTAAAGCTATGCCCAGGCCTCCAAGCTTGGTGCTGCTGATGCAAAGAGTTGTTTCATAAATGTAACAAAAAGCATTTTATCTCTACAAATTAAGCTGTCAAGACCATGGTTTCACGAAGGCCTTTTAAAAGCCACGCAGTGACCTCTTTGTTCCAGAATCACTCAGTTTCTTTTATGCTTTCTTGAATATGAAAGAAAGGTGAGGGGTGACAGCTTTCAAACTCAGTTTTTAAAATAACCTTAGCAGCTCACTGCAAAGGTGAACCATTGCTCACGTGCAACTCGTGAAGAAGAGGTGGTGGATCCCTGAATCCGGTGATATCCCAAGGCCCTCCCAGTTCTGCCAGTCAGTGGTGGTTATGACCTAGCAAAGGAGCAAGATCAATATACAAACAACTGCAGTGTAAGGCAGGGCCCATCGAGTGCTACAGAAAGGTGCAAGGGCCCTTAGAAGTCGAACAGAGAAGAGGATTCATCAATTAGAGTGTGAGTTCTCAACATTTTTTTTTTAGCCTATGACCCCAGCAATGCTTTCTCTTGCTGTCTGAAGTATAATTCCATTAATCCAGAGCAGTTTGTTAACCTAACTTTTGGCAGTTTATGGACAAAAACAATAGACATGTTGAGTATGACTTTTCAAACTACACATTTTCTCATGCCACCCACCCAACCACAATTCACACAGATTCAGATGAAGCTCCCGCAGGAGGAAGAGGGTTTTGGGTGGATTATTAAAGTCAGGGGAGGCTTCAGGGGTGGTGTTGAGGCAGGGCTTGAGAGATGAGTGACATCCAAACAGATAGGAGTGGGAGTTTCCAGGCAAAGGGACCCCCAGTAAGTAGATGGGCAGGGGAGGAGAGGGGTGGTGTGCTGGAGTCTGGCTGGCAGTGGGGTACACAGAGGGGAGCAGTGGAAGATGAGTCCAGGAGGGTCGGTCTTGGATCCCAGTCTGGGGAATCTGTACCTGGAGCTGAAAGGTGCTCTGAAGACTGACTCGGGGCTGAGCAGGGAGAGTTTGCCCAGCTGAGTGGAAAGGGCCTGACCTTCCAGAATGTGGATTCTCTGGCCTTTTACTCCTCCCTCCTTCCCTCCCCCTACCAGCCTGACCCTGGGGACTGAGTTAAGCTTCTGGGAGAGGAGTTCATCTGAAGCCCAGTCTTCCCCTGGAACCCTGCCCAACGCAGGCCTGCAGATACACTCTGCAAAAGCTTTCACGAGGCCTGTAGCTGAAAGAACAGAAGGAATCAAATGTAAAGATATTATACTGTCCACTGTATATAACAGAAAATCAAACTCAAAATTACTTAACCAATAGGAAATCTATTGACTCATGAAATTGGAATCCCCAGGGGAAATGTCAGCTTCAGGAGGAGTTTCACCCAGAGGTTGGTAATGTCTCATAATCCTTGGCTACATTGCTTTGTGATTCTCTCCACTCTCCTTTTCTAATGTATCAGGCCCATTCTCAGATTGAATTCCCTCACAATAGCAAAATGTGTGCTAGCACCTCCGGGGTCACATGCTTCCTTTTTCATAACCACGGAGGTTTAAAAGGCTTTTCTTACTCCCAACTTTTACCACAAATCCCAACTTTCTCTCTGATTGGACCAACTTACATCACAAGGTAGCTCTCAAGCCAATCACCATGGCCAAGAGAATCCTATGCATTGATTGGCTTGGTGCTGGGTTATATGCCTTTTCCTTACCCAATCACTGAGGCCAGGGAAGGTAAGAATACTGTCATTGGCTTAGCCCATTAGGGACCAACCCAGAAGTTGAGTCCTGCTCAGGTAACATGGCTGCTCTGCAGTGAGAGAGGGGTGAATGGATGCTGGGGAAGTAGACAACACTGCAGTCCAACACAGATGTCTATTTTGCTTTTCTCATGAAAGGCTGGGTGAGCGAGAGAAGAGATTAGAATTAGACTTAGACTGTGGAGAGTAATTTGAAGGCCACCCATAGACTTAACTCTCCCATATCCCCAAGGTCACACAAAATTGTGGGTTGGCTATAATATATTCTTTCATCTTTCCTTCTCTTTCCTTTTTCTCTTCAATCTCTCTTTTCCCTCCCTTTTCCCCCTCTAGTGTTTCCTTATCCCCTGGCTTGCCTGACTTCTTTTCTTTTTTCCATTCCTTCCCATCTCTCTGTCATCACAGTGCTGTATTGCCCCTCAATCCTGAATGTCTCCACCGCCTGGGTCTTTTATCTCAGGCTCATCCTTCCCTCCCTGCGCACATCTCCAGCCACCCTCTCCTGATGCCTCTGAGTTCAATTTCATCTCCTCCAAATTGCTTTATTGGTTCTACAGAAAAACAAGGCTAGCTAGAGCCATTATGGGTGCATACGGTGTGCATTAGACTCAAAAAAATATTTAAGGAAAATACTGTGGTAAATGGAATCAATAAACTCCACATCACACTTTCACCAGGAAGAGGGAGAAGGCTACCTCCAGCTAAGTGCGCCAGGAAACTGCTCACCATTCAGCAGCAAGAGCTGGAGGCTGCTTCACTGCCCCTCCCACAGTGCACATTGGTCTGAGCAAGCTGTGGACTCCTAGTACTCCAGCCTCCCTCTTTCCCAGCTGCACCTGGCTCTGACCACACCTCGCCTCTCCCCTCCCCGTCCTCACTTCTCCTCTCTGCTGCTGAAGATCCCAATGGCTTCCGCACGAACCCCCTTCCCCCAGAGTGTAGTCGATCAGCGGTGCTGATGAAGAAAGGGACACGATGATGAGGAGAGAGGGAAGAGGACTGGGGGAACAGAGGCATTTGCATTGTGGTGTTTTTAGACCCAATGGTGAAATCTTTCATAATTGTAATTTTTTCTTGAAAGAAAATGAGAGTTTGATGGGTGGTGCTTGTGCCCTACCTCCTCTTTGTGCTCTCCCTGCAACAGACAGGGAAGACAAGAGGAAAGAGCAACACAGAAAAGAGAGGAGAGCAAATCAGAGGGGAATTTGTCCTACAAAACTGGGGTCTCCAAGAGCCTTCCACCTGCCCCCAAAGCTTTGGTATGGTGGATTTCAGGAAGGATGAACTGAGGCTAAGGTCACACTGGGAATCTGGGCTGTCTCCCAAGCACTGGGTCGCCCTGGAGTCCTGTTTGCTATGAGAGAGGGAAGAACATGACTATAGGAATCAGCTTCCTTTAACAACACTTTTATCACATCCCTAGTCTATCCAAGTGCTTTCGCATACTCTCCAGTGCCTTTTGGATTAAAAAGCAGCTAGTACTCCCAGGTCCTGCAGGAGAAGGATCCCTTCCTCCAGAAGGGTATCCCCTTCTGGGCCTTCCACCTACTGATATTCCCCCAAAACCTCTCAGGAACCTTATTCTACCCCGTGCAACTTAATGAGCTGACCTTCCCCCACACCATGTCCTGTGAGAGTGCTGCCTCTCACACAAAACACAGCGGCAGGACTCCACCCAGGAGAGCTCTAGGGGGAGAGGGGAGGAGCAAGTGGGGAGAAGCAGCAAACCAGAGGGCAAGACACCTGAAACAGAGCCCTAACTCTACCACCAACTGCATGAATTTAAACAACCACTACCAATGAAGACCTCAGTTTTCCCAAATTACAATAAAGGGGTGAATAGATCAAAGGATTTTAGGCTAGGATCCAGGGATCCCCTGAATTTGCACTGTTGTTTGTAAGTGTGCTTTTCTGGTAACAGGCTTCATTGCAACCTCAAAGGGGTCTAAGAGCCCAAAAAGTTGAGAGAGAGCCATAGAGGGTGCTAGTGGCCAAGTTTACATGTGGCTCAAGTGTTCTAAGCCTTCCCAAATCCCCAGGTGGGATAGCTGCTCAGAGTCCTGGCTTTGTACCCTGAAGATGTACCTTGGAATGCCCTCCTTAATGCCCACGTGTCACCTTTACAGGACTGCTGTGTCACCTTTCTCTGCAGCTGATACCAGCATACTCTTCCTTTTAGTATAGTTTAGGCAGGCTCCTTTTATTACAATAAATCTTATTGAAAATGAATAAAACAAAAATAACATTAAGTTGGTCAGGTTCTCAAAAATCCTACCAATTCCACTCAAAGTAGCAAAGCTGCTGAGTTGGAGTCCAAATTACCTCTTCCTAGAGTGACTGCTATCTTCACAGATGGGCCAACATCTTCATAGGCACTAGTTTTGGTCATTTCCCATCAAACGACCTTTGTCCCCAAACCAGCCTCTAATTCCCATCATCATAGGCTCCAGGTGCCATGTTGCCTCTGGGCACCCAGACACTAAACTCCCTAAACATCTTGCCTCATTCAAGGGCAAACATTTTCTTTAAAACTAAGACTTTCACCTGGGTACAGTGGTGCATGCCTGTAATCCCAGCTACTTGGGACTATGGGGTGGAAGGATAGCTTGAGCCCAGGAGGTCAAGACCAGCTTAAGCAACATAGCAAGACCCTGTCTCTAAAAATTAAAAAAAAAAAAATGAAGACTCTTCATTTTCTGATCAAATGCCAATTACAGTGACTCAAGCCTCTTAGGTGCTCAAAAAATAGATATTGAATTGATAAGTAAGTGAACAAATGAATCAATTTGTAAATTAGTGAAGTAAATGAATGAAAGCTTCACTTCTGTTACTCTCCCAAATCCCATTTCTCCTAGGCTAGAGACCTCTGGCTCAATTCCCATATAGGCCCAGTGATTTGCGAGTCATTTCTGACCCCTCTGAGCCAGTGAATGGCTGAACCCTCCTGTGTCTGGTACAGATCAATCCACCACTGAACCCTTCTTGAACAATAAACTGATGTCTTTCCTCTGTAATAGAAAATTTAAATATTTCTTCCACCTGGTTTTCTCTCTCTCTTCTTTCTCCTTTCATCTGAGACTTCAATTAAATATACGCTAGGCTTTCTCATTTTGTCCTCCTTGTCTTTTACCCTCTTTTCTGTATTTTCCATCTTTTTTTCTCAGTGCTACACTGAACAGTTTCATCTGACCTTAATTCCAATTCAGTAATTTTCTCTTTAGCTGTGTTTAATCTGCTTTAAAACTCACCCATCAATTTCTTAATTTTAGCTATTGCATTTTAGTTCTAGAATTCCTTTTTTAAAAATTTGTTATGTATTTAATAGTTTTCAGTTCCCTGCTGAAGTTTTCAAGCTGGTGTTTTTTATTTCTTTGAACATAGTAAGCATAGTTATTTTATAGTCTATGTCTGATAATTCCAATATCTGAAGCCTGCATGACTCTGTTTCTATTGTCTATTGTTTCTACTGGTACTTGGTCAAAGTGTCTTGTTCCCTTATGTGTTGGTCATCTTAGAATGTGTGTATGACGTTCACCTCACCCCAGCTACTATGTCCCTAATCTCCTCAGAGAACTTTGAGGATGGAGGACATAACTTCAACGGGCTGCTATTCCTGTCAGGATGCCATTTCACATTGTTGTTCCAAGTCCAGTTGGAAAACTACTCAAAGAGGTCTGAAACTGGGACCCACTCTTGTCAATACCTGTCCCACTCTTGGAAAGTACTGAAGTGTGCTTGAGGGTTGTGGGGGCAGTGGGGATGGAGGAGCGGTAAGGTAAGAGACTTCTGGGAGACTTCTTCCCACTTCATCACAAACACCAAACCATGGTCCCACCCAAAGGCATCAGCATCACCTCCTGAGCAACCATAGAAGAGGAGACTTTCAACCAAGCTTGCCTGGACAAGGCAAGGATGAAATCAGGCTTCAGAGGTTGCAAAACTGTCACCTGGCAGAGTAACATTCAGTCTGTTAATGTATTTTATTCATGTATTCATTTGTTGTTTTAAAGTACTGCTCAGAACCAGCAGATTTAGACCAACTTTTAGAAATCAGGAAATGTAGCTTCTCTTTAAAGATCAGAGGTTCTGATAACACTGAGCCCTGATACCAGGAGGTAACAATTGGCTGGAGCTGAGAAGCAGCCATCCCTGAGAAGCAAGTGCTCTTCAGGAGCTGCATTTACCACCACTCAGGCAACAAACAAATTTGCACTTATTCTGCCCACTTCACTTAATTACTGCCTAGCCCTGTAAGAATTTAATTTTTCAGTCCTTGACCTAGAGAAAAGACAGTGTGTAATTCCGATCCCTAGGAGTTTCCAAGACTGAGACAGACAGCACACAGTCAGTAGAGCAAGAGATCAGAGAGGCAGGGGAAATCTCAGAGGCTCCTGCTGACCCTGGGGGAATGTGCCACAGGGTCCGCCCGGCCCCTCCCCAGGTTCCTGGCAAGGCCTCCCTGCCTAGGCCAGGTGACTGTGTCTAATGCAGCCTGGCCATTTCCTGTGAGACCAACCTTGGGCAAATCATTTAACGTCTCTAAGCCTCTATTTCCTCATCTGTAAAATGAGAATGGTCATAGTTCCAGATCCATAGGATTGTTGTGAAGTTCAATGAGGTAATGGATGAAAAAGCCCTAGCATAACATCCCATAGATAACAGGGATGTCTGCTGCTTCTCCCCACCCTGCCTACTCTCACCCTCCCTGGGTGCCCTCAGTATCAGAGACTGCAAGGGCCAGAGTCACCATCATCCTCTTTGATGTATAAATGATGAAATCAAGGCCCAGAGAGAGGGAGGTTCCCCTAGATGCTGCAGTGTGAGCATCCACCCTTGGTCCAAAGATACGAATCTGTCCAGGCCAACTTAGGCTCAAAGAAGGGACCAATCACAGCCAGGACTGAGGTGAGGTAGGAAGGAAGGCTTCCTGGAGGTGGCGAACTCTAAGCAGGATTTGGAAGGAAATGTGGAACTCAGATTGGCAAGGAAAGGGGTTTTCTTATATGCTGCTCCCCATAACCCACATTTTGAGTCACCAAAACTGAAAGCATTTTACTGTCTTTGAGCTCCAAACAATAGTCCCTAACCCCATCCTTACCCAACTGCCCTGTCCCAACAAATGGACTCAAAATACCCTTACCTGCTCTCCTAGTTCTAACTAGAACTAGGAGACAGACAGACAGACACACACACACACACACACACACACACACACACACACACACAGAGAGAGAGAGAGAGATGTTTGTCTTCTCCTCTTGTGGGACCCTTTCACCACCAGCTCATTTTTCCAGTGGAGAATCCGCAAACTGATACAAACTCAAGACATTCCATATCAGAATTAAGTTTTCTCTGAGGCAGTGATCAAAGCGATCTTATTTACCAAGGAAATTAAGAAGGCTCCAGGAGGAATTGCCATCTAGAACCAAACTCATCAAACTCAGGTGCTTTCCTTTGTTTTTTTCTAATGAGTTTTAAGCTGGGCTCCCCTTGGGACACCGAGCAAAGCCTGCCGCTTCCTGAAGTTCCTTCCTTCCCACTTCCTACCACTCTTCAGCCAGGCTCTCAGGACCCTCTCAGTCAACCCACCCTCTCCCTGCACCTCCCAGAGAGCTCCCCTCACCTTCCAGACTTCTCCTTGGGCTGCTGTCTCCTTACCATCTCCTCGACTGCTTCAGCTGCCACCACCAACATGCACACACACACACGTGCACACACACACGTGCACACACACATGTGCATGCACACACGTGCACACACGTGCGCACACACATGTGCACGCACACACGTGCACGCACACACGTGCACACACACAGGCACACACATACGTGCATGCACACACACTCTGCGTTCGCCACTCGTGGGGTTCTCTCTCTGCCTTTGTGGCAATATGGCTTCCCTCTTCCCTTCCACTGGAACCACTATGGCCCAAGCCATGGTCAGTTCTCTGTCCTTATCTTCTCTGACCTCTCAGTGGCCTTTGACCCAAGAGAACCCCCTTCCTTCTGGAAACACTCTCTCCTCTGGGCTTCCCTAACCTCCACTGGCCTGGTTCTCCCCTCTCCAACTCCTTCTCAGTCCCGTTGTCAGACATCTTTCCCTGACCTCAAAATGCTGGAACGGGAGGTTCTCAGGCTAACTGCAGTTTTACCACATCCTCACCAACACTGCATCTTATTTTTATTTTTAAAAATCTTTGCTAATCTGAAGGCAAAATACTGTTTTGTTGTTTAAATTTCTATTTCTTTCCTGTAGGATGACTCGCTAGGGCCTTGCTGTAGGCCATGGCAAAAAGTTTGGGCTTTCTTCAGAACTCCAACAGAGGAGTCGCATAATTCAATTTTCATCTTCACAAGTCCCTCTGGCTGGCGAGAGGAGGCTGGACTGAAAGGAGACAAGGACAGCAGTGCCGGCAAGAGAGGAGAGTCGCATGGGCTGGGGAGGCAGTGCAAGGCTGAGAAACGGAGGGACCTGCATGGGATGGCAGCGAGGGTGCTGGAATGAGGGGAGGGGGAATCAGGGATGACCCTTGGGTTTTCAGCCTTAGTAACCGGAAAAGTAGTAACAGCTACCACTTACAGGGGATGGCCGTGCATCAGATGCTGCTGCACGGGTTATGCATGTTTTCATCCACTTCTGCTCCTCCACTCTGGGGAACAGGCGCTGTTGGCTTCCCAAGCCATGGTCGGTTCTCTAAATATATGCCCAATGTCAAGGTTGCTGTATTTTTTGGTGGTCTATCAAGAAGGATGAAGAGGTGCTGAAGAAGAACTGCCTGCATATCGTCGTGGGGACTCCAGGCCGTATCCTAGCCCTGGCTGGAAATAAGAGCCTCAACCTCAAACACATAAAACACTTTATTTCAAATGAATGTGATAAGACGTTTGAACAGCTCAACATGTGTCGGGATGTCCAGGGAATTTTTCGCATGACCCCACCGTGAAAAGCCGGTCATGATGTTCAGGGCTACCTTGAGCAAAGAGATCCGTCCAGTCTGCCACAAGTTCATGCAAGATCCAGTGGAGATCTTCATGGATAATGAGATGAAGTTGATGCTGCATGGGTTGCAGCAGTACTACATGAAACTGAAGGACAACCAGAAGAACTGGAAGCGCTATGACCTTCTGAATGTCCTTGAGTTCAACCAGGTGATGATCTTTTTGAAGTCTGTGCAGCGGCGCATTGCCTCAGCCCAGCTACTGGGTGGAGCAGAACATCCCAGCCATTGCCATCCACCGCGGGATGCCCCAGGGCAGAGGCTGTCTCAGTATCAGCAGTTTAAAGATTTTCAATGGTGAATTATTGTGGCTACCAACCTATTTGGCCAAGGAATGGACATTGAGCGGGTGAACATTGCTTTTAATTATGACATGCCTGAGGATTCTGACACCTACCTGCATTGGGTGGCCAGAGCCAGCCGGTTTGGCACCAAGAGCTTGGCTATCACATTTGTGTCTGACGAGAATGATGCCAAGATCCTCAATGACATGCAGGATCGCTTTGAGGTCAATCGTAGTGATCTGCCTGATGAGAGAGACATCTTCTCCTGCTTTGAAAAGACATGGTAAAGGACATGGTAGAGGACACATTGCAGAATATGACCGTCTGTCCTTCAGGAGAGGACACATCAGGGTGGGGGTGAAGGAGACACCAGTGCCCCCACCCCTGACAGCCCCCACCCCATGGCTTCCTTCTTTTGCATCACCACCACTCCTGAACCCCCATTTCTGATTTGTCAGAATGGTTTTTTAACAAAACTAAAAACAAAAAATATATATAGATAATATTATATATTATACTTATTTATTATATGCTATATAATATACATATATATATATTAGACTCATATTATATACGGTAAATATTTCATAGTTGAGGGCACTGAGCCCAGCAAGGCCGTGCCAGAGCCAGAATTCCAACCCTGGGGGTCTGGCTCCAGAATCCACACTCCCCGTAGCGACACTAATGGCCTCTATTGAAAGGTTTGAGCACTTAGTGAGATGGAGAAGACTAGGGGTGGAGGGGGGTGGTCCCAGGGTGGGAACCCCCAGGGTCGGGGCCCAGGCATCTGCATTCTTCAGCCTCCCAGTGGCCTAACCACAGGCAGGGTGTGCATAATACTCATACTATTGAGGGCTTCCAGAAACATGCAAAGAGGCAGGGGAACAGAAGAGGAAGATCTGAGCTGGTTTTAGGAAGCTTCTTCAAGGGCAGGAGGGTCTTAAGCTGAGACGGGGAGCTCTGTCTACACAGAGATGCAGATTTAACACTCACTTTGTCTAACCCTTTCCTCCTCCACATGCCTTCCTTTCTCACTCACACACCTGCCCCTTGCCTCTTTGAGAGAGATTTACTTTATTAATTAAAAAATAACTATGCTTTTTTTTTTGATGGAGCCTCACTCTGTCGCCCAGGCTGGAGTGCAGTGGTGTGATCTCAGCTCACTGTAACCTCTGCTTCCCAGGTTCAAGTGATTCTCCTACCTCAACCTCCCAAGTAGCTGAGATGATAGGCATAAAAAATAACTGTTTTCTTAATTATAAAAGTAGATGCTTGTTAGACATTTGAGAAACACTGAAATGTAGGAAAAAATTCAAATAACCCACAGTTCACCCAGAGAGTTGCCGCTGACATTTCCGTGTTTATTTTAGATAGAAAAACACCACTTTTTTCAACCAGCATCATAATATACATTGAGTTTTGTGTCCTGATTTTTTTCACTTAAGATACAATGTAAACATCTTCCTGTGTTGTTCAATATTCTTCTAAAACAACAATTCGCATAACTACATGGCACCCCTGGTCTGTGGGCGCCATCATTTAACCAGCCCTCTCGTGGTGAACATTTATGTTGTTTCCAGGGTTTTGTCTTTATAACTAAGCCCGTAATGAATTCCGTGTGTATGTAAACTGCTGCATGCATTTGATTATCTCCTGGAGTGGCCTTGCTCATCCTGACTTTTGTAAGGTGTTTGATGCACGTCCCTTGCCAAAGCCCTCATCCCAGCCCCTGTCACCTCTCACCTTCCCTGCTGCCATAGGCACCCACCTGTCCTTCCTGCTTCCTCTATTAACCGCCCCTGGCAAGTCATGGCAAGAGGACTCCTTGAGCTCAGGAAGTTCAAGACTAGACTGAGCAACATGGCAAAACCCTGTCTCTACAAAAAATACAAAAACTAGCCAAGCATGGTG
This sequence comes from Homo sapiens, assembly GCF_000001405.40. Classification (NCBI taxonomy): domain Eukaryota; kingdom Metazoa; phylum Chordata; class Mammalia; order Primates; family Hominidae; genus Homo; species Homo sapiens. The sequence goes on along the minus strand of NC_000011.10, from coordinate 119,819,793 downwards.
GCACACACCTATAGTCCCAGCTACTTGGGAGGCTGAGGTATGAGGATTGCTTGAGCACAGAAAGCAGAGGTTACAGTAAGCGGAGATTGCACCACTGCACACCTGGGCGACACAGTGAGACTCTGTCTCAAAAAAAAAAAAGAGTGGGGTCAGGGGAGAGCATTAGGGAAAAGAGCTAATGCATGTGGGGCTTAATACCTAAGTGATGGGTTGATAGGTGCAGCAAACCACCATGGCACACGTTTACCTATGTCATGAACCTGCACATCCTGTGCATGTACTCTGGAACTTAAAAAAATAATAATTTTTAAAAAAAGATTTAAAGGTTCTAGAGATCTACTGTACAACATTGTGCAGTTAACAATACTATACTGTATACTTAAAATTTTTAAAGAGGGTAGATCTCATGTTATATGTTTTTAAAATAACAATAAATAATAATTTTACAAAACGGCGGCAGTTTTCAAAAAAAAAAGCAGTAAGGGCAGATTGTGTGTGCTGCCCCTGCTGAAAACCCAGGAGGGCCCCCAACACCCGAGGCAAGTCAGCATTTGCAATGCATCGCCCACCTGCCAATTTCTCCTACTGCTTCCCGTCATGCTCCCCTCACCCGCTCTGCCTCTCTGGCCTCTTCTCAGCTCACCAAAAATCTCTGCCACTGCAGGACCTTTGCACATGCTGTTCCATCTGCCAGTGACATCTTATTCTCTTCCTGTGGCTTGTTTCTTCTCTAGTATTTGTGACTCAGCTCAAAGCTGCCTCCTTGGAAAAGCCTTCGCTGACCTCCCTTCACTCACCCTCTCCCCTCAGCTCCGCGTGTGTGTGTGTGTGTGTGTGTGTGTGTGTGTGTGTGTGTGTGTGAGAGAGAGAGAGAGTGAATGTTTAAGGCATTTTTTTTTTTTGAGATGGAGTCTTGCTCTGTCACTTAGGATGGAGTGCAGTGGCACAACCTCCACCTCCCAGGTTCAAGCGATTTTCCTGCCTCAACCTCCTGAGTGGCTGGGACTACAGTTGCGTGCCACTAGGCCCAGCTAATTTTTGTATTTCCAATAGAGACAGAGTTTCACCACACTGGCCAGGCTGGTCTCGAACTTCTGACATCAGACAATCTGCCTGCCTTGACCTCCCAAAGTGCTGGGATTACAGGCGTGAGCCACGATGCCCAGCTCCTTCTTAAGGCTCTTTACATTTTGTAAATATTTAGTTGCATTTTGATGTGTTAATTTCAAGTTTCCCCTGATAAATGGTACAATCTGTGGGGGCAAGGACTTAGTTTCAGTCGATGCTATCCTCCCAGGTTCTAACCTAGTGCTTGGCAAAAAGTAGGTTCTCAGAAAACATCATCCAATTGTCTTCTAAAAAGGTTGCACTCACCTACCCTTCCGCCAGGAATGCATGAGAATGCAGTTTCACTAAATCCTCACCAGCATCAGGCATGATGCTTTAAAAGCAATCTTTGCTAATCTGATGGCAAAAATAATAGCTGACTATTTAGATTTGCATTATTTTGACTATTAGTGAGGTTGAACATTTTTAATGTTTACCAGTCTTCTTTCGTGATCAATAATAAAAAGGCCTGTTCATGACCTCATTCTTAAAGCTGTTCCAGAAAAGGGCCTCAGCTTCTGAACTCTTCTAGAAGTAAGCATTTATTCCTGAAGTCTAACCTCAATCCTTCCTGCTGCTGTTTCCTTTTTTAGCTTCCTCTTATTGAGCTCCTTGTGGGGCTGGCGAGAAAGCACATAAATGCCCTGTCATTCGGCATCCCTCTCTTGCCTCTTCTGCCCAGCGTGGTGGAGCAAAGCCTGCATGTGTCCCCCTCCCAACACCCCCAAGCTCTGAGTGGCAAATTAAACGATTCGATTCAAGAAGACAGGCTGCTCTGGTGAGATGCAATCGTCTCTGACTAAAATCTCTTTCTCAGATATATAATGGTCTAATCAATATTAATAGAGAGGCTTATCTGTTTTCCTCATCTCCTATGTCCTTAAGAGTAGATAAAATGCTTGTAAAATAGGGTCCTATTCAGCATATACTGATTGCTTCCAAAACGCATTTTCTTGAGATCTGTCATCAAGTGAGAGTCATTACTGAGCAGCTAGGCCCAGCACCACCGTTGACAAATATGGGGAAGATTCTTTGATTATTTGGCCCAACATGTGATTTAAGGGCTGCAGCTTCTTTGGCTTCCAAATTTGTTCTTGTCTGTCCTACAGGGGGATCTTGGAAGCTGGACGAGTTTTAGATAAATGGAGGTTGAGAGGAGGGGAGGCTTAGGAGCAGGCTCTGGAACTGAAGTGCCATCTTGCCTTCTTGAGAGGAGACCACAGGGCCTTGGGAGGTGAGTAAGTGCCCTGTCCCTGGCGGTAAGGAAGGAGCAGTGAACAGACACCCCTGGTATCCCATATCGGAGGCCCATCTCCACGGGGAGGAGAAGCCAGAAGAGGACAGGAAAGCTTCAGAATTTGGGTGGCTGGGGAGGTCAGTTGGGCCATGGGCAGGGTTGTGTTGAGAGCAGAGGCCTGGACTTGGCATCCCAAGGCACGTGTCGTGATCGGCTTTGCCACTAATTAACTGTGTGAGCCTGGGTAAGTCACCCAGACTCTTTGAGCCGTTTTGTTTGTCCTTAATCTAGGAAGAGCCCAGTGCCTTCCAGACTCAAGTTCTCATCCCTCACTCACCCCAATTTTCATAACGGTGCAACTCAGCAAGTGGTTCATACAGTGTGCATAAAAAATCATCAGAGTAGCAAAACAGAAAATTAGAACCAACTTTAAAATCCACAAATGACTAAGCAAGCTGCAAACATGTGGTCTGACCCAGTTTATCACATATGACATGCATAACATGTAATCCAGTGCAACCATTTACATGGAGGTCTATATGTACCGACACAAAAAGTCCACCAAGTCATATTGCTGGGTGGAAAAGCAAGTTGCAGAATGACTCATACACTGTGAGGGATGGGGAGAAACAGAACACAGTGCATGCATGTCTGCAAATGCTTAAAGAAAGTCTGAAAGGATGTAAAAAGCTGATAACAGCGGTTACTTCTGAGTTACCCCCTGCAGGGAAGGGGAAATGATCAAGATGGGCAGAGAGGGTCAAAGGGATTTTTAGCATTCTCTGTAATTCTTTGAATTTTTAAAAGGGGGAAGGCATTCATCCATTTCTTGTATAAATAGTAATTGTTAATAAAGACACTTAGGTAAATTGAGTTTCCACATGGAAAGATGTTTATCTTCATCCCCTATCCCACATCATCAACAACAACAAAAAATCCCAGATGGATCACAGACTTAAGTGTCAAAGGCCTAATAATGAAGCTTTTAGAAGGAAACGGAATGTTTTCAAGAGGTGGTGGTAGGGAAAAAAAAATTTGAACAGGATCTAAAAAGCATTAACTAGAAAGAAAAAAGCCAATAAGTTAGATTATGTTAAAATTAAGAAATCTTCAAAGAGAAGATTCCTACTCCCAGTGTAAAGCTGATGGCCGACTGGCAACCGTGGGAGGAGAGCCAGAGTTGGAAAATCATCGTTCTGGAACGATCGCAGTAAAGATCGGTTCAGGCAAGAATCATCAGTGGATGCTAAATCCAGAGGACATTTTGATGAGAAGCAGAATATTTGCATGGCCTCAACCTGCACATCCCCACTGGTTGCTTATTAGTTTCAAGGGAAAAAAATTGTAACTATACAATGGAAAAACGACACCACCTTGACAGGCTGATTAAAATTAACATCAGTCATGAGGGACATTGTGTGGCTCCAGGTGTCCGACCCTAAGAAGGACATATCATTTATATATTATTCCATTCAGCAATGCAGTATTACCTCTAATCATAATAAAATATCAGACAAACAAAAAGAGGAATGTTCTATTTAAAAGGGAAGTGGGGGAGAGACTGCATTCTTCAAAATGTCAATGTCATAAAAGACAAAGAAAGGCTATGATGTGTTCCCAATTAAAGGAGACTAAGGAGGCATGACAACTAAGTCCAATACCTGATCCTAGATAGGATTCTGTATTGGAAGGGAAAATGATAAAGTACATTATTAGATCAACTGAAAAAAATTGGAACACAGAAGATCAGATCAAAGTATTGTATCAATGTGAAATTGACTGAAGCTGATAACTGTAGTATGGTCACATAAGAAAATATTCCTAAGAAATGTATATTTACATGCTGACCTATTTGGGAGTAAAGAGTTGCCATGTATGCAACTTACTCTGCAATGGTTCAGAAAAACGTGAGTGTGTGTGTGTGTGTGTTTGTGTGTGTGTGTATAGAGAGACAGGTATGGAAAGAGGGTACAAATAATAAAGCAAATGGTGTAAAATGGTAACAAAAGGTGAATCTGAGTTAAGGCTATTATAGAACTCTTGTACTACTTTTATTCTCGTAACTTGTCAGTGAATTTGAAAATATTCCAAAATAACTTTAAAAATAGAGAGTGAAACAGCAAATACTCTCTGGAGTATTTGCTCCAGAGAGCAAAAAATGGAATAAAATATTTGCAATACAGATGTCCAACAAGGAATTCATAATCAGAATATAAAAAGAATTCCTACAAACAAGAAAAAGATAAATTATCCACTAAAAAAAAAATGGGCAAAAGACTTGAAGGAGCACTTCACCAAAGAGGATATTTGAATGGCTAATTAACACAAGGTGCTCAACTTCATTAGCCATCAAAGAAAGGCAAATGAAAACCAAGACACAATATTGCCATACACCCATCATAATGGTTAAAATTTAAAAGGCAGGCAATTCCATGTGTGGTCAAGTAAATAGAGAAATTGGAACTTGTCATTTCTGGTGGGGCTATAAATTAGCACAAGCCATTCAGAAAAGAGTCTATGGGCTGGACACAGTGGTTCACACTTGTAATCACAGCACTTTGGAAGGCCAAGGCAAGAGGATTGCTTGAGCCCAGAGTTTGAGATCAGCCTAGGCAACATAGTGAAACCCTGTCTCTACTAAACATAAAACAAAAATACATGAAGTTCTTGCCCATGCCTATGTCCTGAATGGTATTGCCTAGATTTTCTTCTAGGGTTTTTATGGTTTTAGGTCTAACATTTAAGTCTTTAATCCATCTTGAATTAATTTTTATATAAGGTGTAACGAAGGGATCCAGTTTCAGCTTTCTGCATATGGCTAGCCAGTTTTACCTGCATATTGTGCACATGTACCCTAGAACTTAAAGTATAAAAAAAAAAAAAAAGAAATAGTCAGGCACAGTGGTGCACACACCTGTGGTCTCAGCTACTCAGGAGGCTGAGGTGGGAGGATCACTTGAGCCCAGGAGGTCAAGGCTGCAGTGGGCTGTGATTGCACCACTGCACTCCAGCCTGGGCGACGTGAGACCCCATCTCAGAAAAAAAAAAAAGATAGTTTTGCTGTATATTAGTTATCTATTGCCATGTACCAAATGACCCCAAAACCACATGGCTCAAAACGACAAACATCTATTATCTCACAGTTGCTGTGGGTGAGGAATGCAGCAGGCCAAGCATGGTACCTCTGGTTCGAAGTTTCTCATGAGGTTGCTGTCAAAACTGTGAGCCAGAACTGTGGTCTTATCTGAAGGCACGACTGGGAAAAGGTCAGCTTCTAAGTTCACTCACATAGTTGGTGGGAGGATTCAGTTCCTCTTAAGCTGTTAGCTGGAAGTCTCCCTCAGTTCCTTACTATGTGGGCCTCTCTCTACATGGGGCAGCTCACACTATAGGAGCTGGCTTTCTTCAGAGTGGGCAAGCAAGAGACAGCACACAAGACAGAAGCCACAGCGTTTTCCTAACTAATTTCAGAAGTGACGTCCCATTATTTCTGCCATATTCTATTGTCAGAGATGAGTCAGTAAGTTCAGCCTACACTTGAGGGGAGGAGATTACACAAAGATGTGAAGACAAAAAGGAGAGGCGCACTGGGGGCCATCGTAGAGGCTGCTACCACAGACAACATCTTTAAAGCTGAACACAAGCATATGCTCGACCTAGCAACCCCACTCCGGCAGAACTGAGTGCATATGAGCACCAAAATATTATACAAGAATGTTCATGGCAGCACTATTCATAATAGCCCAACTGGAAACAGTCCAAATACCCATCTACAGAAGAATGGAAAAATAAATTGTGTATAGTCATACAAAGGAATACTACACATCAATGAGAACACGCAAACTACAAGTACATGCAATATAAATAAATCTCAAAAACAGTGTTTAGGGAAATTTTGCCAGACACAAGTGACTACATAGTGTATAGTTTCATTTATATAAAGTTTTTAAAAAGGGGGATAAAATGAAGTTAGAAGTCATAATGGCGGTTGTCCTTGGTGGAGGGAGGTAGACAGGCTAGAAGAAGGCAAAAGGGAATTTCTGAGGTCTAGAGATGTTTCTGTTTGTAGATCAGATGCTGATTTTCCAGGTGTGCTCACCTTGCAAAAATCCATTCAGCTGCACATTTACAAACATGCACCTTCATGTACACGGCCTTCAATTAAAAGCCTCCATTAACAAGAATAATCTGGAGACTTGTTAAGTTCAGATTCTAGAATCACTTATGGCCCCTCTCAAAATCCCAAATCAATGAGTGAAGGTGGGGTAAGTAGAGGTGAATTGTCCCAAAACCTACCTTTGGAACAAGCTACCAAGTGAGTCTCCTTGTTCTGGGTCACACTTGGAGAAACATTGGCAACCCATTTCATTTTTAATAACAATGCAATTCATGTGTATGTAGTGACAGCATGGGAGTGAGGGAATATTGTAGTACAACCATCGTTTCAAATTCTCCCTTTGCCTCTACCTGAGGGTATATAATGTGGGGCCCGAAATCTGTCCACCAGAGGCACCTTTCTTTGGCTCTTTAAAGAGAGTTTTTAAGAGTCAGGTTCCTACTAGAATAGTAGGAATACCATGGGTAAGGAACTTGCCTGTCTTGTTCACTATCGTACCCGACCCAGCAGAGTGTTTCGCTTGCAACAGGTAAATGAATTAGCTGACTCATTGAACGAAACATGAATGTCTGAAAGATTGAAATATGGTTTATCACACATACACACACGCATACACACACATGCACATGGATGTACACACACACACAAACACACTAAGCATGATGCAGAGGATTGTCAAATCCCATGCAGGGAGGACCTGAAGGAAGGATCTTCATTCAGGAGGTTTCATCCCCTCTAGGAGTCTTTCTCCATTTCTTCCCAGGGATGTCCCTAGTCTCCTGGTTGTATGATGATGCCCAAGTATCTCCACCTCTCCTGAATAGTTGTGCTACTCATCACCTCCACCAGATAATATGGTTTTGGTCTCAACCCCCGAGGGTTCAAACTGCCTTCCCATCACCATCAGACTCTGGGGCGGTGGTTATTGCAATGGAGGAGCTATCTCTCAACATCTTCAGATTGGATATTCATACCTGCACAAAACTCATGACAAGGACATCTTTGCAGAACTTCCAGGCTGTGGGTACATAGCCCAGCAGTGCCCCAGCTCTTCTGTGCCTATTCCTACCAAGGCAATTACGGCATTGATTGACAGTGTCCATATCTATATTGTCTCCTATAGGAGACTGCATTCCCCAGGGCTTAGCCCAGTGCCTGGCACCTTGTAGGTACTTCATATATGTTTTTTAATTTGCCTGAATGGAAGGAAGCAAAGCTGAGAGTCCCCACCCTTGCCAGGATAATTTTACTTTCTAGTCTACTGGGCCTGTTCTTGCCTGGACCCTGTCACCACCTCCCTCTCCTCACTGTGCCTCCTCCCCTTCCTGGGCCCCTTTTCTCTGCTCCCATTGAAGCTCAGCACCACTCCCTCCCTTTCCTCACCTTCACCTGGGGACAGTGGCCCCTTTCTCAATATAAGGTAATTCTCGCCTTCATTGTCCTCCACAGCTTGATCACTGGACCAAACTCCCAGCCTTGCCAATCAAGCATCTTCTCCAGGCCTCCTTCCCCAAACCCACCACCACCCTCTCCCTATGGAGAGGCTTCCAAGCTGTGCACAGGGCCTGAGAAGGGAAGCCTCCCCATTCATACCCTCACTCCTACCTTCAGAATGGAAATCATCAGCCCAATTTAGAACCACATGTGGTTAAAAACTTTAGAGAGGGGAGGAGCAGACAGGAAAGATAGCCAAGGGGCATGAAGAAACTTTTGGGGAGTGATGGATGTGTTCAGTATCTTAGTTGTGCTGACACTTCACAACAGTATCCATAAGTCAAAACCTATCCAATTGAACACACTGAGTATGTGCCATGTGCACTATGTCAATTATGCCTCAATAAAACTGTTTTACAAAAACAACCAAAAGAAAAAACAGGAGTAACTTTGGAGAGCATGCAGCCTGGTGTTCCCAAATGGTGTTTCACGTCAGAATTACCCAGGGAGTTCGTTAAGAAGATGCAGATTTACCCACAAAAGAATGGAGTCCAAGTCATTAGGGGTGGAGCCTGGGAATCAAGGTTTTCTCAGCAAACTTCTCAGGTACACCTGATGCACTTAAAACCAATGATCCTCAGTGTGGTCCTGGACAAGCAGCATCAGCATCACTGGGAGCCTTAATAGAAATGCACATCCTTGACCTATTGAGTCAGACACTCTGGGTGGGCCCCAGTAGTCTTTGGGTTAACAAGCCCTCCAGGTGATTCTGAAGCTAGCTACAATTTGAGAACCACTGATTCAGACCAAAGTGTCATTTAATTGATGATGAAAATAAAGTCCAGAAAGAGGAAGTGACTCACACAAGGTCTGTCAGAGGATTCTGAGAGTACAGTCTTGACTTTAAATATCCCATCTCCCTGGCCAGTACTCGCGCTGTGCTTTTCAAGACAAATGGAAAGTTCCAAGAAGCTTTTTAGAAAAAGTATATGACTGGCCCTAGAGTAGGCTGAGCTCTGTCCCCAGGGAGTTACAGAGACTTGGCCATGACGGACCCACCAGGGCAGCAGGTACGGTGAAGGCATGGACAGCCCCTCACTTCCTCATGGGTTCAGTGCTCCTCATAGTGGATACTGAGCACCCCGCTGTGCCTGGCCCATGCTGGGTGCTGAGACGCAGGAGGAATAGGACAGCGCCGTTGTTCTCCGGGGACTCCCCATCCAACAGGGCGTGCAGAGGCCTGCCCAGATCACCACGATAGGCTGACACAAGTAGGGGAGGCTCACCCAGACAGGGCACGACTGTCTGGAAGAGGGGACACCCTGCCCAGCTCACCCCACTTGTAATTCTGCTGTCCCACTCCCCTGGACCCTTCCCTTGCCACCCGTCTCTCTGGCCCCACGTGTTCCCAAACCCAGTCCCCTTCCTTTTCTTCCCATCAGCACAATGAACACAGGCTGCACATTTATATGGAACTTTATAGAGATTAAACAAAGAAGATACCAGAAGTCTGGCTGCCACAGGCCAAATTTCTGATCCTGCCAAGACCAGCAACTCAGTCCCGAGTGCTTCCTTATCCCACAGAACCCAGTTATTCTGCAGCAATTCCTTCCTCTCCATTCTGATGCCCATCCCTTCCTAAAATGTAGCACCAGGCGGACAAGATCTGGGCAAGCGGTGGGTGAGAAATGGGCTTGGACCCCTCAGTCCTCTCCACAATCAGGCCTGGAAGCCCTGACTTCTTGACCCCATTGCCAAGAGCAGATCAAGCTGCTTCTCCTACAAAGGCATTTCCAGGAAACGTTGGTCACAGGACAGCAAGGAGAAGAGCTTCAGGAGAGAGGAGGGCACAGCTGGGTGCAGAATCAGTAGAGGAAGCCCTATGGGGGGATTGAGAAGCTGGAAGACTCTCTCCTTCCATAGCCCCATTTGCAAATCCCCTCACACCCATTATACACAGCAATCCTCACAATGGTCTTTAAAGAGGTAGAAATAGTCTCAAAGGGGTGCGATAGCATGCCTGAGGAGAGGAAATAAATAGACATTGACCTGGGCTTACTGCATTCTGTGGTAGGCAGAAGAAAGTCCCTCCCAAAGCATCCACCTCCTGTTCCCCAGAGCCTGGGAATATGTGACTTTCCACAGCAAAATCGACTTTGCAGATATGATTAAGTTAAGGATCTTGAGATGAGGAGATTATCCTGGATTAGCCAGGTGGACCCAGGGTAGTCACAAGGGCCCTAATAAGTGAAGGAAAGGGTAGGGGGTCAGAATCAAAGTGATGCAGCCTGGGGCGGACTTCACAGGCTTTGAAGAGGGAGGAAGAGGCCACAGGGCCAAGGAACGCAGACTCTGGAAGCTGGCAAAGGCAAGAAACAGACTCCCCTTCAGAGCCTCCGGAAGGAATGCAGCCCCGCCAACACGTTTGTTTGAGCCCAGCGAGGCCCATTTGGACTTCTGACTCCCAGAACTAGAAGATCATAAATGTGCATTGTTTAAGCCACTAAGTTTGTGGTAGTTTGTTGCAGCAGCGAGGGGACACTCATCCAAGTCCCTAACAGAGGGCAAAGAAGTTTGCTGACAACGTCTCCTTGGATGGTCTCAGCAATCCCATGATCTGGTGTTATTTCCCGTTTCACAGATGAAGGCACTGAGGCTCAGAGGGTGGAGTGGCTTGCCCCAGGCCACCCAGCTGCTCTCAGGGCTGGGCTCCTCAGAAGCAGCACTTGAGGCAGAGATTTGGGGGCGTGTGGCTTCTTGAAGGAGCTCTCTTCAGCAAAACCTATAAAGGAGTGAGGGAAGCAGCATATGGAGGCTCAGGGCAGTCAGCCCTTAGCCTGATGCCTGTGTCACTCTGGGGCATTAATCAGCTGAGAAAGTTATCCCCTCTCCAGCAAGGGGCTCAGCCCTTTGTAGCCTCGAGTTGGCCAGTCGTTGGGTGATGGCTGCGGTGAGGAGGGTTTGGAGGTAACCTCCCAGGCTAGCACAGGTCTCTGCACAAGGGGAAGCTGCGGAGGAGCACACCAGCCTGCTAAAGAGGACATGGGCAGGTGACATCGTTCTACACAAGTGTGGTCATGCCTGTGGCCAGGAGTATCTGTGGGATGGTCAGGGAGCAATGTGCCATCAGCATGTCATGGAGCAGTGGCTGGTGCCAGGGACACATGTCCAGGCACTGTGAGGTGCCAGGGAGGGTTTAGGTGCCCCCATGATGCCCAGGCCTCCCTGTCCCAGCAGCATCCTCACTCCACTCACTCCATGAGTAGGAGCTGCCTCCTGGAAAAGGAAGCTGCCATGTCAGCACCTTCTGACAGCAACGCCTCGCCCCGCCTGCCGGCTCCTGAGACCAGAGCCTCAAAGGGTTCCAATCCTCTGAGGAAATTGGATGTTAACAGTGTTCACAGTTCCCTTTCTTCCTTCTCCTCCCCCGCCCCTTCTTTATGAGCCTGTCCCTGCAGCTATTAATATCCAACTTGAACGAAATGGCAACTGTATTTCAATATTTCAACTTTCCCATTTTATTTGCCACAAGCCGGGTTGTTTATCCACAGGCCGTGAGAGGAACGGGCTCTTGCTCCATCCCAGCCCCGTGCTCTGATGGCTGATAATACAGAACATAACGGCCATTACCTGGGCTAGGCGGAAACTGAGTGTTTCCTTTTGTGCATGTTTTCTGTGGTAAGGGCTCCTGCTCCCACCAGGAACCCTCGCACACATGTCACAGGATGGCCTAATGGAGCAGAAATGGGTTATCTGGGGAGGGCTGGCAGTGGCCACAGGGAGTGCCGAGAGGGTCTGCACCTATTGCCACTCCCTGCCACAGGCTGGTGGCCCAGGACCCTCATCAGGATGGGACAAGGGAAGGAGGGTGGAAGGCACCACAGGGGATATGGATGTCAAGGCAAGAGACTGGAACACTGCCCAGAGGATGACCAGGGCCGTTGCACCTGCCATTTGGAGAGGAGTCTGCTGTGCCTGATATCTTCTCAGCCCTTGAGGAGCCTAACAAGAATGCTGGGGCTCACCCCCTTCCACAGGTGGGGAAACTGGTGCCCAGTTAACCTCATCCTTGCCTGTGGACACCGGTGTGTGTCAGTGATGGAGTTCAGGTCTCCTGACTCACAGACTCCCGCAACCTCGGGCTCCAGCTCCCCACTCTAGGATGGAAAAAAGACAAGGCTTCCTGAGGCCAAGCTGCTCTTCCCTTCCAGACCAGCACCCCCAGCCAGGAGCCAACAGCAGCACGTGCTTCCCACCAAGCCCCTTGGCCTCCAAAACCCAGTTTCCTCTGTCACACCAGGTGGCAGGTGAAGGCCAAAGGCTGACTTTAATCCCCCAAAGCCAAATGCCACATGGTTCCTCCCCCAGCCCAGGTGCCCAGCCCCACCAATGCCCCAGACAGTACTGGGGACAAGTTTGTCCCAAAGACAGGCTGACCTCACTCCTGATGGGAAGTTAATCAGGGTCCGATTTGCTTGGGACGAAGGGACCCTAGAAGACAAAACACCCCAGATAGCTCCTGGGCATGGCTAATGGGCTACAGAGCAGTCAGCCAAGTTCAGCCGCATGGTGGGTGGCGCCCCCCTCCCCAGGAGGAGAGCTGGCCATGTAGTTACTAGAAGCTGTTGCTTTTGTGGTGCTCCTGCTGCATGTCATGCGCTGTGCAAGGAGCTGACATGCATCATCTCATGGAAGCAGCACATCAGGTCTATGACAGATCACATGAATGAACAGTCCCCACTTATTAAGGCCTTTTTCTTTATATTGCATCCTCTTAAAAACCTCAAGAGACCATCATGACAGAGAGCATGAGCCTCCTTTTGCTAGAGAGGAGGGTAAGGCCCAGAGAAGTTAGGCAACTTCAGGCTCCCCCAGCTGCTCAGTGTGGGGCTTTGGAAGTCTCCAGCCCCGTAAGAGCCCGAGGCCTGAGCCATTTCCACCGTGGCTCCCACAGAGGGTACCAGAGGCAGGCAGAAGGGCACTTCCATGTCCAGGACAAGTCCACACACTGGGCACTGGTCAGGAAAGCTTCAGGTGCCCACTCCCACTGTCACAGAGAGCAGCCCATGCAGACAGCCAGGCTGACAAGGACACTTTGCCCTGGGAGGAGAAAAGAGCCCCGCCCTGGCCTGCCCAGGACACTGCACTCATGAGCCCACACTGGGAGCACATTTGGCTCTGCAGGAGGCACTCACTGAGCGCCTAGTCCTGCCAGATTCTGTGCTAGTTTAAAGGCACATGGCTAGTAATCAGCAGAGCCTGGCAAAGATGCCCCAGCTCTGCCTCCAGGTCTGGTACTGTTTACAGCCCACTATGTGTTCCCTGTTATACACACTCCCAGAAAGGCATCCATGTGCACACACACTTACACACACACACACATCTACACACACTCCTGCTCCTGTCTGTGCACTGCCACTTTCACATAAGCATGAGTGTGCACACACACACACAGCCTTCCCTAACCAGCCACCCCTAAACTAGGTCAGGCCCTCTAGCCAAAATGAGGAGGAACGGAACAGATGGAGGGATGCAGCGTCTCAGCAACAAAGTTCCAGAAGAAGAGGGCTTAGAGAAGAGACAGGAGAGGGAACTGGGGAGGGTGTCATCTGCCTAGGAAGAGTGGGCACACCTGGGGAGACAGCGGATGCTTTCTGCAGGGAAGCCTGGGTGTGAGTCCGACATTGGAACAGGCTGGACTCAGGCAGCCCTGTGGCACCTTTAGAGATGGCTCAGAGAGGTGGGACCCGGTGGCGATTGGAGGGTTGGCCCCAGGGAATGTTTACAGACCTGCTCTGAGCCTCCTTTCCTCCATCTGTGAAATGGGGGGATGCTGAGAGTCAATCACCTGCCTCTGCTCCCACCCCACCAATCACAGCCAACACAGCTGGGCACGAAATCTGCTGAGCGTTGTTCTCTGCACTTCGCATGAATGACATCATTGATCCTCAAGCCCACCCTAGAAGGTGGATGCGGTGCTATAATCAGGCCCATTTCCAAGTAGAGAATTAAGGCATAGCACTTGCTGAAGATCAGAGTGAGCCAGGCTGAGAAGCCAGGCAGTGGGCCCCGAGGCCTGGGCCCCTCTCACTATCCTACCCACCACCCTACCCCTCTCCTCACGGCACCGAGGCTCAGTGACGGCAGCAGGCATTGGGGTTCACAGTGTAGGGGGAAGAAACCCCAAAAGTCCTCTTGTCCAGAAGTATCTCCCCAGCTGGCTTCCCCCAGGCCTTTAAAACAAATGTAGGCACTATCTCCAGAAGGTCACTGTTAAAAGACAATCGATACCTAAGAAGGCCTTCGCCTGCGAGCTCTTCAGCAGAGATTAGTCATTAGCGTTGGTTAGTTAGAAGGTTGACTTTGATTTTAGACAGAGGCATAGACAGAAATGTGGCCTGGAAGAAGAGCTCAGAACCATTCAAAGCAGAGGAGGACAGGCTGCCAGGGACAGTTGATGGGGGAAGGGCCGAGTCAGGTAAGGTTGGGAGCTCCAGAGACGGCACTGGGTGTCAATCGGGGGGATGTGGTAGGGTACAACACAGCCATTTTCCCACTGTTTTTCTGCAACACAATTCTGTTTTTCCTACATTTTCCCTGGAAGTGAAATACTGATTGAAGAGGAGAGAGCAGCTCTGGCTGATGGAGATGCGGTGGAGGGAACAAAGCCCTAATCACTCAAGCCCCGATTACCCTCCCACGTACGGCATCCCTAGAGCCTTGGGGCCCCCAGAAACCCAGTTTGCAAACCACAAGTCTACTATAAAGAGTAATGGCCCTGGAGTCAGGGTCCTGGGATCCACTTGCTGTGTGACATTGAGCTGGTCCCTTCCCCTCTCTGGGCTTAAGCAATCTTACCTGTAAGTTCTCTAAGGGGCCTCTCCTGGCTATGACAGTCTAGGTAAGTGGGGAGAGAAGTAAAGGAGGTTGGCCAGGAGTGGCCTTTACTGCCGAGTGAGGAGCTGTTTTGAGCCGGGCAGCCCATGAGAGCCGCTGACACACCTCCCTGTCTAGCCTGGCTCTGTGGCCACACTTCCCTTACCCCTGAGTCCTGACCTCAGCACCACACAGGCCTCCATGGACACCTGGAATTGGTGTGCAAGAACCGGATGACAGATGGCAAAAGAAGATGAAGTCTGGTTCCTGGAGTCCCGATTCAAGGGTACTCCTGATCTCCTGACCTCTCCCAAAGTCTCCCCATATCCTTCCAGTCTCTTACTCCTATATTTCCACGTGAAGAGGCCATGGGGTTTGGTGGGTTGCTATCAAGAGGTTGGAGTCAGCAGCCAGAGCTAGAGCCCAGTCCCCACTGCCTGGCTGTGTCTTTGCAGGCCATTAGGAAACATCACATTTTCTGCCCTTAGAAACCCTGTGGGGCCAGGAGAGCAGAGAGGGTTCCTTCCCATGTATATCTAGGATGTGAGGCTCAGTGAGATAAAGTGACTTAGCCGAGGTCACGCAGCTTAACCGTGGTAGAGCCATAACTAGGACCAGGCCTTTCCTGTGGTGTGACTCCTGCAGGGCAGGATTCCCAGCCTGAGAACCTCTCAGCACCAGGGACAGCTTGGGGAGGGAGATGCCCAGACCTCCTTTTGGGGATGTGGTAGAGTGTATACAGAGCCCAGTTAGCAATAGAGGCTGCCTCCAAAGAGGTCATGGGGCAGGGCAGGAGGGCAGCCAAGGCCCCTTCCACCTCTCCTTGCACCTGCTAAGGAAAAGTGGAAGGGGCCGTGGCTCTTCCTTGGGCACACAGCACTGTGGTGGCCACTTGGAAGAGTGACATTTGGCACCTGGCAAGCAAGCCAGCAGGAAGATGGAGCAATGGCTGCAGGTGTGCCAGCAGGACCTAGACACCAACTTGGCAAGGCCGGAAACAGAGCAGTCAGCTCCAAGACAGAAGGCTCTCGACCTTGGGTGGAGGAAGAACTGGAACCCCATACAGAAGCAAACTCAAACAGAAGCCCCCAGCCACGGCCCAGGGCCAGCCCACCTACCCCTCATGCTGCAGGGCTACAGGGAAGGAAAGGTGTTTCTGGAGTCTGCATGGGAGCCCTGGATATAAGGTCTGGGGCAAGACTTTGAAGGAGGAAGGTGACAGGACGAGGACACTGAGCTATCAGAGCCAAGGGGCAGGGCATGCAGCGGAGACTTGCTGTTGGCAGAAGGTCTGAGAAGCAGTCATCGTCCCCCATCTAAGCCTGTGCTCTTATCAGATGCCTCTTCCTCAGGACTGGGCAGCATTCAGGGTCGGGGGGGCACCTCAGGCTCCCATCTGCCACTGGAGAGGCTCCTCAGCAACCCTGCCTGTGTCCTCCCCAGCCCATTCCTCCTGCTCGCCCACTGATTCCATTATTCACTGAGTGAAGAAATCGGCATTGGGGCTCATCTCTCCTCTCAGCAGCTCCCTGCACCTGTCCCTACCCTCTAGTTTGGGGTGGAGGGAAAAACACTGGCAGGGTCCATGTGGTGTTGATTAGAGTATTGATCCTGGCTGCAGCCCTTGCAGTCACCCGCCTGGGCATCCATCAGTGCCAGGTGGGGAGGCCAGAAACTGGCCTCGGGGCTGGGCCCAGGGCCTTGGTCCAGACCGGAGTGTACCCTGGGCTGCTCTCTAGGGTGGGAGTAGGGGCAGGCCAGGGTCAGCCCCTGGTGGTCAGAGGTGTACCCACTTCTAATCCCGCGTCTCTTGCTCCTTTGCTCCATGGTCCATTGATCCATCACTACCTGTATCTGGCCATATGGGCTGATAGCTGCCCCTATCATTTATTAAACACCTCCAGCAGGCTAGGATGGCTCAGGGTTTTAAATTCTCACAGCAATCCATTGAGGTTCTCATTAGCACTCCAATTTTCCACACACAGAAACTGAGGCTCAGAGAAGTCAAGCGAGGTCATGCTGCTGGTCAGGGTTGTGTCCAGGTCCACATGCCACTTTTCCACCAGTCACACTGCTCCCCTAGCAAAGGAGCAGCGACGTGAATTGAGCTGCTAAGTGCCAGGGACACTTTCTCTCACTGAACACACATATTTATCTTGTGATGCAGAGGCTCATTATCCTCATGCTACAGATGACAACACTTCAGTAACTTGTCTGCAGGTTGTACAGCTAGGAAGAGGCAGGACCGGGATTCAAATCCTTATCTGTGGGACTCCGGACCCAAGCCCCTTATGTTTACATGACAATTGCCAGTTCAAGAGCAGTTTCACCTACACTGTCTCATTTTCTCTTCACACTCACCCTGACAGAGAACTGGTTTTTGGTTTTTTTGTTGCTGTTGTTTTTGTTTTTTGAGATGGAGTCTCCCTCTGTCGCCTAGGCTGGAGTGCAATGGCGCCATCTTGGCTCGCTACAACCTCTGCCTCCCGGGTTCAACCGGTTCTTTGGCCTCAGCCTCCCAAGTAGCTGGGACTACAGACACCACCCACCACACCAGGCTAATTTTTGTATTTTTAGTAGAGATGGGGTTTCACCATGTTGGCCAGGCTGGTCTCAAACTCCTGACCTCAGACATTCTGCCTGCCTCAGGCTCCCAAAGTGCTGGGATTACAGGCATGAGCCACCACGCCTGGCAGAGAACTGGTATTTTTATCCCCATTTTATAAATAGGGAAACTGAGGCATGGTATGATTAAGTAGCTGACGATGGCAGAACCAGAACTCCTGGGAATATCTGCTGACTCCTGATGCTTTTATGCCAAACCCAACCCCCAGTGGCCTCTCCTTAGACTAAACTGCTGCTTCCCATCTGCCTGCTGCTCTGCACCTTGTCTGCCATTCATCCAGCCCCTGAAATCTACCCTCCTCCTCCTCCTCCTCCTCCTCCTCCTCCTCCTCCTCCTCCTCCTCCAGGAAGCCCTCCTGAACTTGGCATAACACAGAGTGGCAGCTTCCCTCAGCCTCTCTGCTCCTCTCTGGAGCACAAACCAAGGATGGTACTGGGGCATCTTTCTCTCCATGGATTCAGTTCCTCTCCAGAAGAGAATTAAATGTGCTCAGTTCCACTTCAAAGCCTTCACTCCGGACCTTCTCCCTGCAGGAACACCCTGCCCTCTCCCTCTGCAAGCCTCCCCTCTCCCTACCTGCAATCCCTGCTCAAGTACCCTTCCTCCAGGAATCCACCTAATCCCCATCACTCATGTAATGGCCCACCACTGAGCTCAGGGGCTTTGGCAGTTTGCTTCTCTCAGAACCTCAATTTCCCCACCTGTCATACCCATGCATTTCATTAGAATCACCCAGAAGCTTTGTGAACCATTCAAACACCCGGGTGCCCCTACTGAGATTCTTACCCAGTGGATCTGGAGCACCCCTGGATAGCTCAACTGCTCCCAGCTCCACCTTCTCCCACTTTTAGCTCTCGTCGTGGAAGGCAGGTGGGAAAACAGGCGCCACCATCCTCACACCAGCCCTTGAGTGCTGGCGATGGTGTTAAGGCTGGAAAGCAGCTGTGATTGCAGATTGATCGGTTATGCACTGAGCTGGTTGTTGAGAAGAGAGAAGCAAGTTGTCGATACTGCATTACCCATGGGATGCAGAGCCTCTCCCTTGGGCTACCCAGGAGAGAGGGAGATGCTTCTGTGCTGCCCAAGGTGCTTTTGCAGGGTCTTAGGGGAGCACGTGGATGGGAACCCAAGGCACAGCCCCAGCCTCTGCCTCCCCAGCCCTGGACTTCTTCATTACTCCTCCCTCCTCCAGAACCAACTTGGAGCTCAATGTGGAACAGAAGAACTAAAATAGCACATCATTTAGAAATGTACTTTCGTTTGGTTTATAATTGTATAGTTTGACATGGATCTGGGAGCAAAGAACAGGCCATTTGCCCTCATTGTACTTCATGCGGGCATGTGTTGGCATTTCTCTAGTGCTACCAGGGCAGGGGGCCGGGAGGGCTGGTGGGGTCCAAGGTGTGGTTTTTCTGTGATTAGAACATTTCAGGTCAGGTCTACAGCTCCACACTGAGCCCACATGCTCTGAGGGTCTTCCCTTTCCAGCCCAGCCCTGCACGAGGCTGTGCATTGTGAGGAAAGAAGGACCACATGGGCGCCGGGGCCACTAGCCCTGTGCCACCTGGCCCTGGGGGGAGAAGAGATCACAGCTCTGTGCCCCAGTCTCACATTTCCCTTGGGGTCTGTAGCTGACCCACACTCAGGCTTCATGCTGGGCCTGCTTCACTGTAACTCTGGCCCACGCCCAGCCACATGAGCCTCCCATTGGGTCCCTATAGCTCAGCCACACAGGGGCCCATAGACAAACTCACAACTGAACCACAGGTAGCCAGGTGATTGGATTTACAAACCACAGTGGCTCATTGTCGGGGCTGGGGGTGCCTACAGGGTCTCCCCCTCTGGTCTCCTCTGTTTCCACTTCAGCTGTGGTCATAAGCATTAGAGCCAGGCTGGAATTTGGACCCTGGCTCTCAGTAAGCTACTTCATCACTCTAAAATGCAGTTCCTCCTCTGGAAAGTGGAGACAAAAATACTTACTCATAACAGTGCCATGAGAGCTAAACCCCAAGCACAGGGCTCACACATGACACGCTCAATTAGTGGTGGCTCTTAGGGCCATTCACAAGGCAGGCGCCAGCTCCACCCCTGCCATCAAGGAACACCTTCCAGATACCCAAGCACCTGCAGAGGCAGGCCAAGCTGTCAGTCTTACTCATCAAGTGGGACTTCCTTGTTCCAATTATCTGTCCCAGACCTTCCTTTTTGGATACAAGAGCAGTGTCTCCTGCTCTTAGGGGAAATGCTGGCTGCTCTCCAAGGCCACACTATCATGGCAGACCACTTCCCAGTGAGCCCAGCATTCAAGCAGGAGCTACCACAGATGGATACATTAGGGGTTGCCATATACCCTGACAAGGAGATCTTTTTAAGTAAAAGAAATGGCCACAGCTGTTCATTGTGTGACCATCCACTGATCACCCTCATGCACCAAGCACAGTGTTAGGCAATACCTGCAAACTGAGGCTCAGAAAGGTCAGGCGAGGTCAGACTTCTGGTCAGAGTTGTGGCCAGATCCACATGCCACTTTTCCACGAGCCACACCGCTCCCCTAGCAAAGAAGCGGTGACATGAATTGAGCAGGGCTAACTCACGTCAGTGCCGTGTGAAGCTCTGATGTGAGTTAGCCTGCTCTTGGGGTGCCTGGACACACAGGAGAGAGCCAGGCAAGAGTAGCTGGAGAACCATACAATGCACCACTGGTGCCAGACCTCTGAGTGAGGAAAGACTTCCCAGAGGAGGGATTGCTTGAGCTGAGTTTTGAAGGATGAGGAGGGGTTCCCTGGGCAGCCACAGGAAGGAAAGGTGTTCTGGGCAGAGACCACCACTAATGCAGAGGCTCCTGTGGCCCCATCACAGAGAGTGACTCTAGGTTCTATTATTGAATTCAGCCAACTCATCTACTATGAATAGATGCTCATGGTAGATTGAGCATCTACTATGTGCCAGCTCCTAGACTGGGCACTGAGAGGCTGAGGGAAATGGTGCTGGGCACTGGAGAGACAGATGGAATGACTCATGGCCCCTGCACCTGGGGAAGATTAGACAGGCATCTGGCAGGCACCCACACCCATAGATAGAGATATGAACAGAGTACAGAGGGAAAGAGGGACGGGAGAGGATGGTTTGGACAAGGACGAGGCAGGAGGATGGGGACTTGGGAAAGCTTCAGGGAGAGAGTGTGGCTCACCTGGGCCTTAGCGGAAGATGGGACTGTGAGAGGTCCCAGGAGCAGTGGGTAATGCCGGGGAGTTCAAAAAACACAGGATACAAAACCTACATACTTGAATTCAAATAGCTGATGACATTGGGCGACCCAATGTCAGTCAGTCTCCGAGGGATATCAATGGCTCACAATCAGGAAGAGTTTAATACACGACATTTTATAAATGTGTTGGCAGGGTGTAGGCAGAAGCAGGGCTGTTAACACCTCAAGGTCCGAAGGAAGGGAGTGGTTACCAGAACCCAGAAAGAGAGGCCACCACGTGAGTAGCACTGACCTCCAGTCAATGGACCTGGCCAGCCTGAGGTGACCACAGGAGAGGGATATGGGGGAAGAAATGCTTTGACTTCTCCTCCAACCTTTGGATCCCCTGCTGGGGCTTCCCATTGGCAGAACCCAGTGGGAATCCAGAGACACAGGGTCTGGTGGACTCAGTCCTAGCAGATCAGCTCCCTGGGGCAGAGACCAGGGACAGAGGATGGCCATGGATCTGGGGGTTAACAGAAGTTCCCTGGCACCTATAACAATCCTGACCCCGAGGTTCTTCCTCTGAAAGTGGGACAGCATGATCACAGTCCTAAGACCTTACCAGAGTTCGTGAAAGGATCATGTGAGATAGAAATGGCCAAAGGCTTTGCACAAAAGTAATCTGTGCTCCTTACAGCAGGCCTGCGAGGCATCCTTCAGTGCCTTCAGTCGGTCCTTTTAGAATTCATAAGGGAGATAATTTTACAGATGAGAAAACTCAAGTTCAAAGAAATTTAGTTGCCTCTCTATATTAGTTAACCCCTTACTTTGCAAGAGACAGAAACCCAAGTCAAACTGGCTTCAGCAAGAAGAAAAAAGTAATTGGCTCTCATAAGTGAGCAGTCCAGGAAAACAATATGGTTTTATTGTTTCAGACATGGTTGTATCCAGGCATTCATTCGATCAAGGTTACTGAGTATCTGTTTTCTCTATTGCTTCGCCCTGCTGTCCTGTGCTGGCTTTATTCTCAGGAAGAGTATTCCTGAGTGGTGAAAAAGCAGCTTCAGGTATATTTCCACCAGTTTAGCAATGCCAGGGGAAAGAGAGCCCCTTCCCCAAATTCCCAGCAAATGTTCTAAAGCTGACTTCCCTGACTCTGGACCAATCTGCATGTCCAGGCGATGAAAGCTCTCATTGGCCAGGCTGGGTCAAGCACCTCCCCTGCTCCCTGGAACAGGAAAGTAGGGCCAACACAGCTGAGAAAAGGCTAGGACAGGATGGGAAAAGGGACAGCCAGAGAGCTGACTTCCCAAAGGGAAGATGGCTGGGTGGCCAGAAACAAAGAGGGGAGTGGAGCTGTCCACCGGGCTGCCCAGGTATGCTTATGGCAGCCCATCCCAGGTCCAACCTGGCTGTCCGACTCCCAAGCTGTGTGTGTTTGGTCGGGGGAGGTTTATTTGTGTATTTTGGGTTTTTAGAAACTCTGCATCCTATGTCAGTGAGGTGCAATAAAAAGACAGGCGCATAGACGGGGCATGCATACAGGCTGGGGACGGCAGGAGTGATGAGGAAGGCAGGGCCTGTTCTGAAGGGTTCTGAGCTCTCAGCTAAGGGGTCTGGGGGCTGGCGCGGGCAGTGCTCAGGTCAGCCTGGCTGGTCCCAACCCCTCCATCTCAGGCTGACAGCCTCAGGATCAGGAGCTTGGGGGCTGATCTCTCGAGGTGCCTGCCCTGCTGAGTCCTCCTGCCACGTGTGTGACCTATTGCCCCCAGCTCCTCCCTCCTCTGCTTCCCCTCCACCTACTTAGAGCCTGATGTAAACGAAGCACCGGGAGTGCTTTGATTTCTTTTCTTTCCCACTTGAAGGCCTCCTCCCCCTCCTCACAAAAGCATGGCGTGTGTGTGCATGTGTGTGCCTGTGCACACGATGGCATGAGGCCCAGGAGCCCCCTTTTTCTCTGGGGCTGTGACGTCCCCATCAGGAGACAAGGGCTGCAGGCAGTGCAGAGAGGAGCATTTAAGGCTCTTGGCTCCCCGGCCTCTCTCTCGCTTTATTTACCACCCTTCCGAGGCACAGGGAGGATCTAAAGAGAGGATGGGGAATGGGATTTAATGCCAAAGCACTTCAGGTTCAGAGAGAGACAAGATTAGAAAAGGAGGGAGAAAGGAAAGGGGAGGGGAAGAGAGAAGAGAGGGGAGGATGAGGGCAGGGACAGAGAGGCAGGGATGAAGGCTGAGAAACAGAGGGAAAGGCAGCGACAGAGGTGGGGGAAGGCAGGCTGGTTCAGAGACAGGCAGGAGAGACACAAATACAGCACTGCCCAGGCCGAGCCCAACAGGAAGCTTGCAGATGGCCTCTATGGCCAAGCAGCCAGGCAGAGGGAGAGGACACAGGGAACCATTGGGTCTAGAGACCCAGGAGGAACAGGGCCATGGGGCTTCAAGCAATGAGTGAGTGTGTCTTGGCCTGAACTGGGGAGACAGATGTCCCCCAGCCTCTCTGGCATCACATTCCTCTTCCCTAGAGGGCCGAGTTCCAGCACATGGAGTGTAAATGGACGTGACAGGGCCCCTGCCCCTCTGGGCTCCTGTCTCCTTCCCAGCTGGTGTGCTGCGTGCCCCTGCTGGCCTCTGCAGCGCCTTCCTCCAAGGGGGTCAGCACGCCTGGCTCATCTTGGAGCCCTTCCAGCCCCACCCCACAACCCAGCCAGATCCACAGTCAGAGACTGGATGCCAGCATTAGAGCAAGGATGGGGTGTGGGGCCGGAAGTCCTCCTGCCCTGTCAGGCCCAGGAGCCCTGCCCCATCATAGGAAAGTGGCCAATGGCAGGTATAGATGAACCTTCCACCGAGTCTCCGTTCCAGCCTGACCACCATAGAGAAGAAGGTGCTGAGCCTACAGAGGTTTGTCTGAGGTCCCTGGAAACTGCCCAACTCAAGGTGCTGCTCCCCAATTACCACTGTGATCCCCAGTACCATGGGGGTACTCACTATTCCAGAGATGCCTTGGTGCCTCACTGCCCTGGTACCATCACCTGCTCATCTGATGGGGCCCAGAGGCCTGTATGAATTGGGACCATTGGGGGGTCCCAATGCTTCCCTCTCTCCCCTGCCTCCACTCCCCAGCATCTGCGCTGGCCAAGGGCAGCTAGACTTCCAGCGTTGATGTGTTACAGAATATGGATCATTATGACATCCCAAGGAAGGCCCCAGAGCAGAAGCTGGGAAGAAATAGATGGGCAGGCAGCCTCTCTGAGCCTCAGAGCTCATGAGGGGAGGAAGGGATTCTACATTCAGCCCCTCGCTGTCCTGTGACTCACTGTTCCGGAGGGGCCTGCCTCCCCCTCCTTCTCTGCATTTCTAGAATCCTATGCTCCATGAATTTTGCATCAGGTTCAGAGGTAGGAGGTATACTGCTGACACTGCCAAGCCTGCTTTCACTGTGCATGTGTGCATGTGTGCACGTGTGTGCATGCCATATATGTGCACACTAAACACCCCTGACCCTGCAGATGGTCTTGCACACTGACTCCAACACCCTGACTCACTTGCATCCATGGGCCTGTGCCTTCCTAATGCCCAATCACAATCTCGCCATGCCCATTGCAAAGTCAGGCACCCATCCTCACACCCTCACTGGTACACACGTGCACACCAGCCTGCGGTCACACTCAGATACCAGCCGCACACTCTCAGATCCGTCCGCAGCAGCCAAGGACTTTTCTGATGAGTTTCCTCATCTTACTCAGAGCAAATCCACATCTGGGCAGACACAGTCCCACACCCACGTTCCAACATACACCCCACCTGACCTGCCAAACACACTCAGACATTCCCAGCCTCACAGCCGGTGACTCACACCATCCAGCACTGAATGCGCGCGGCAATGCTCACGCTGCCTTTTCTCAATACTCATTTACATGCCCTTTAAAAAGCTATATGTTTTACTGCTTACAAAGCATTCTTATGCAGATTATCTTATTTATTCCTCTCAATAGCCCCAAGAAGTGGCATTTTGGTTATTATCATTTACTGTGAGGAAAGGAAAGCTCAGAGATGCCGGGGGCCCTTTCCAGGGTCCCATGGGTTGTATGAACCAAGGTGGGCAGGGATGCCTGTCTGTGTGGCTTCAAATATTCTGCTTATCCTCATAGCTGGTCACCGGCCTACACAGCATGTTTGTACCAACTGGAAAGAGGCATTCTCTTCAGGTCAACACAGCTCTGTGCCATGTGCCCTACTTGGCAACCAGAGCATGGGCTCAAGCTCAGACCTCACTCACCCCTTGGCTGTGCCCATGGGCACCTGCACCTGTACAGCACGCATAGCCGCTCTGCTCTTCCCAGGCACCTGCTGAGGGGTCCCTGCCCTCCTCAGCATCTCCATCTCTTTCCCTGTGCACTAGGCATGGCAGGGTCCTGCCCTAAACCACCTCTGAGACATAGCCCCTCACTTGACTTTGACCGAGAACCCCTGGCCCTGGACCCAAAATGCTTGGGAAGCCCCTCTTCCTGAGGCCTGGAAGGAAAGTCCCACAGGCAGCTCTAAGCCAGATGGAGAAACTTGGGGTGAGCTCTCTTGGGGGCCCCAGCCTCCCACACCCACCCGGCTCCCCGTTCCTCTTCCCTACACAGTGCCAATGTTGGAGCACGGAGGCCACCTGACCTCCCTTGCAGAGCCCCTCCACTTCCACTCCCTCCTTCTTTCCGGGAGCTTTCTGGGGCTCCGCATGCTGTTTGGTAAATAAATCGAGGGCAGCGGGAATAATATACCTGTCAAACGCAGCCGGCTTCCAATTTCTGCTGTCAGGCCCGCCCAGCCGTGCCACTCCAAACCCACTGACACGCTGCCACAAGCAATACATTTCCCGAGACCCCCAACGGCGGGGAGGGCTGGGCTCACCAGGGGATTCCCCACTAGTTGGTGTTGCTGCAGGGCAGACCCAAAGAAGAACTGCCCAATGGAAGAGCTGGTAGGAGAAGAGCTGTGGCAAGGCTGGGGGTGGGGGGCGGTTCTGGAAAAGCGGGTGAGTTTCTGGGCTGCCTTGGAGGGCAGTGGAGGCAGAGGCAGAGGAGTGGGTGAAATGACCCTCTGACCCTCTCTGCACAGGAGGGAGTCAGAGGTCATTGAACCCCATCACCATGGGAGTAGCTGCCCAATACTGGTCCTTCCTAATAAGTGGGCAATGCTGTTTTGAGGTAAAATCCTGGAAACTGAGGTCAGAAAGGAGCAGGGGTCACTAATTCCAGCCCTCTTCCCCCAGCTGAGCTGCGCTTTCATAGCCACAGGTGTTCGGGGCTTAGCCAATGTTAAAGACCTTCCAGGAACAGCTCCACCCAGCTCAGCACGAGGAGCTCTCTAGCCAGGGAGCCCTTGCTCCGGTCTGACCCTGACACTGTGGAGCTCAGATCATCTGCTCTGTGCTAACCTTGGGGCCACCAGAACAGGGCAGCACTGAGCCTTCCCTTTGCCGGCCCCCTGCCACCCCACACACTCACCCCACTCAGTGTCCCAGCCTTCTCATCCCTCAGGTGGAAAAGCCGCACCTTTCTCCTCGGCTCCCCACAGCCTCCAAGTCATGTCTATGAGCTCCCCAAGCCCTTGTGCTCCTAATTAACTGCTCAGCTGTGGGCCCGGTGGATGCAAGTGAGTCAGGGTGTGGGCCTCCCCACATGTCCTTAATGCCTCTGCGGGCTGGAAGAACCCTGGGAGCAGAACACACCCATTCCCATGGGGGTTCCAAGCAAGGCCTTTCACTGCCAGTTGCCCCACACCAGGTCAATTCAGGAAGGAGAGGCCCTTGGATTTGGAGCTGGAGGCTGGGGATAAGAAGCAGAGACGGCCCAGGCAGACATTCTTCCTGTAGCTTCTCTCTTTAAGAACCAGGGGCCTGGGACCTCCTAGCTAAGGGGTGACGTGGTGCACAGCATGGAATGCAGGGGGCCAGAACAAAGGTAGAGCCTCTTCTCTGGGAGAATTTTGTTGTTGATTCAAGGATGAGAGGACTTTCTCAGAGCAGTAGGGCCTGGCCCCCAAAAGCACAAGCCACTAAGCTGTGTCCCAGGCTCAACGCCCACTCCAAACCAGTGCCAAGCCATTTCCTCCATTTTCTTCAAGCACTGGCACACATCTGTACCCCTTGAAAATGCTCCCTCCAAATTTCAGCCCCTCCACATAGACAATTAGAGGTGGAAGGGAGCCAGGAGCTCCTCTCACCTGACTCCTCATTTTTACAGGGGGAGGAAACGGAGGCTGAAGAGGGTTCAAGGCCCAGAGAGGACCATGGTGAGTGATTTCCAGTAAACCAGGTATCTTTCTGAGCCTCAGTTTCCTTATCTGTAAAATGAGGAGAGAATCCCTGTCTATCATAGGGTCAATAAAAGATACACTTCATGAGAGCAAGGATTTTTTTCTTTTTTGCTACTGCTGTACTCCCAGGACCAAGCTTGACAGTAGGTATTTGTAATAGTAAGTCTGTCTCAGTGAATGAATGCAAAGCACTTAGTAGGTGCTTATTAAATGGGAGCCCCTGTTATTCAAAATCCTAGGGAGCTAGCAAGAAACCCTGGCCTCCTGACTCCTGCCCCACCCGCATGGCTTCTCCCCATCCCTGCACCGCAGCCCCAACCTTTTTTTTTTTTTTTTTTTTGAGATAGAGTCTCACTCTGTCACCCAGGCTGGAGTGCAGTGGCACAATCTTGGCTCACTGCAACGTCTGCCTCCTGGGTTCAAGTGATTCTCCCACCTCAGCCTTCCGAGTGGCTGGGATTACAGGCACACGCCACCACACCAGCTAATTTTTGTATTTTTGTAGAGACAGGGTTTCACCACGTTGGCCAGGCTGGTCTTGAACTCCTGACCTCGTGATTCGCCCACCTCGGCCTCTCAAAGTGCTGGGATTACAGGCATGAGCCACCACACCCCGCCAGCCCCAACCTTTCCTTAGGGAACTGGAAACAGGGCAGAAGTGAGGGAATCTCTCTATGAAGAAAGGGGTAGGCCTGAGCTCCCTTGTCACCACCCACTGAGGAGCCGACAGAGCAAGGGGGACCTAGCACATTTGTTTCCATGTCATGCAGAGGAACCAAAATAAACACAAACAAATTTGGCAACACAAGCTCAGGGTGGGCCAGCCCCACTCTGCCCTCCCTGCTGAGCCACTGCTGTTTGCTCATAGAGATGAAGCTGAGTAACTCTCAGCCACCCACTGAGCTGGGAAGCTAGCCCAGCCCAGCCTCCACACAGCCACAGGAGATGGGGGAGACAGGAGACTTGCAATCTTGCTCCTAGTCCTGGGGCCTCGGTGCCTTCCGAGGAAAAGCCTTCCTGGGCTGTGGCATGTGGGATTTAGTTCAGCTCCACGGGAGGCCTCCTGTCCCCTCGGTTTGCTGTACGCAGAGGTTATGGAGTATCAGTAGGAGGGGAGGGGGAGCAGGGACACGGGAGGCTGGTTAAAGGGCCCTCCTGCTTTGTGGCTGGGGTTGCATGAGCTGCCTTCTTGGGTCCAGGCTGCCTCTGGAGGTACAACCAAGCAAGGGGGGCCCCACACAACGCTCACTCAGTCCAGACCAGAGAAAGGGATGGAAAGGGCAGGGGGCCACCGTCCAGCTTCCATGTCAGCCACTTCTCGCATCCAGGGTCCCCACACCAAGATGCCCTCAAGCTATTTCCGTTTCTCTCTTTCTTTCTCTCTCTCACTCACTCACACTCACCCTCACACACAGTGAGCAGCAGGGTCCTCACAGCAGGAAGCTGGTTAAGGGTGCCCAGACAGTGAGTGGGGCAAGTGTCAGGGCAGTAGCCTGCACTCCTGGAGCTCCGTGCATCCCTCCTGCCCCAGCCGTCCTGCACCAGTGAGGGATGTGCAGACTCTCTGGCTGTCAGAGGACAGGAGGGTCTGGACAGGACCAGGCAGGGAGCCTCAACCACTGCAGCACCCCAAGGGAGGAACCTCCATTCAACTTGGAAGCACGCCTGTCCTCACCCCAGCCCCTGCCCACATGTGCACACACACAAGGCCCAGGAAGAGGAGGATCTGGATTAGCCAAACAAAAAGCCCAAGCTTGAAATGAAAGCCAGAAGGGCCCTGAGCTGGGCTTTGCTGGACGCGCTTTCTGTCGTGCACAAAAAGACTCTTAGCTGCAGCCCTGATCCTCACCAATTCCTGACGCCCTGCCTAAGCACTCCCTCCTCCCAGAAGCCTCCCCAGAATTTGTCCAGGCAGCCCTCTCTCCCTCCTCTTAAGGGGGCATAGCTGCAGTACCATATATGGTTGTAGAATTGGGTATTAACATTTTCTTTAGTATTCAAGTGAGATTTGCACACACACAATACACACATATGCAAACGCAAGAATAGATGCAGATATGCACTTATGCGTGTGTGTGTGTGTATGCAAGTGTGCACACCCCCCACCACATGCACACACGGTGCTGGGCCTCTGCCTTCATGTTCCAGCTTCAGTCTGATGCCATCATTCTGCTGTCCTGTCGGCATCTGTGTGATGGTACTAGCTTGTGGGGTGACCGAGTGTGGCCTCAGTCATTCCCTGGTGTCCCCACAGAAGCTCCTGGGACAGTGCACGGCTAACGACACTAGTCTGTGATCAGATGGACCTGGTTTGACTCTTGTCCCAAATGGTGTCAGGCAAGCCCCTCCCTGCCTCTGTGCCTGGGCTCCGGGTCGGCTTCCCTTGTAGTGTCACTGTAAGAATTAAACAAAAACATGGTACCCAGCAGGCGTTCTCTAACAGTATTTCCATTACTGTCCCTTCATAAAAGATTAGAGAGATGATGTAGATGAGGACAGATTTCAGCTCAGAAAGCAAGGAGCTTTTTCAAAGTGTCCAGTCTCTCCGGCAATGTCATCTTCTAATTCAGGGCAAGACAGGGGGAGCCCAGGCAAGCTCTGTCTTGCCGGGGCCGGGGACACACCCAGGATGGTGACAGCCCCCATGCTAGCTTGCTCTAGCTCCCACAGAGAGCCCCGCCTCCTGCACAGCTCCAACAGGCCCCCAGCTGCCTCAACCTCCCAAATGCATATCTATGGCCCGTGGGACATTTAGTGTGGCCACCAGGAATGAGTGTGAGGGGGCTGGAAGGATTTGTGGCTAGAAAGAGGGGACAAGCCCTGATGGCAAGTGTCAGTGTCAACACTGGGGTTGGAGTCATGCCAACCCCAGCCTGTGCACACACATATGCCATCAGCAAAAGCAAGGCTGGGCCAGGCCAACCTGAGACTCCCAGCCAGCCCAGGCCTCCCAGCTTCCTTAGCAGTCTTGCTGCACACACACAGCGCACACATGTTCGGCAAGACCAGAAGCCATGGAGTCTAGCACTACTGAGCTGGAGACTGTGGTGGGCCTTTGGGGGGTCTTTGCATACCCACAGATAGGAGGCCAAAGTGCCTGTGTGCACACACGCCCGTGTCCGCACATGCACCGTGAGCCTCTGGACAGGGAGGGGTCTGTCGCCTTTGTCACATTCATTCCAGAAGGATCCATGACCCCCAAAAGCTCAAAGTTGCCATCCTACTTTTCCATTCATGTTTCAGTTGAGGTAAGTAGAGGCCCAGAAAGGCCAACTCTCAGTCCAGTTCCCGGGGACAGACTTGGACCCTCAGCTAGGGATCCAGAGAGGACCAGAGAGGGGCCTGCCATGTGGACCCATGCACGCTGAGCTGCTGTCTGTCTCTGTCTCCCTTCCCGGGGTGACAGCTCACCCCCTCCTCTTCCTACCTGCCCCTCCACTCCTCCAGTACGGGCGAGGAGCCCCACCATCAGCCATCCTCCCACGACCTTCGTGAAGGACAGAGGAGAGGAGAGAAGTGCTCTTGGTAAGACCTCCACCCTGACAGCCGCCAGGCACCCAGAGCAGGGCCAAGAGGCGGGCAGGTGCGTGGGTGGTGGTGCCCCCTACACGCCAGCCTCGACAGCCCTCCCAGGCCTCCCTGCCTGCCTTCGAGTGTGATGAGTTTATCTCCATGGGACAGAGAGGTGCGTTTGACGGCAGAGATGGCTCAGGCTGAACTCCTCTGTAAGCGGGCTCCCCGGGGAAGGGATGAGAGAGATTGTATCACCTCTGTTTGTCAGTCAGTCAGGAAATGAGTCTTCCTGCAGGCCCTCCCAATGCCGCCATGTGCTCAGCCCAGCCGCCTCGACAACCAAAGGAGCTGTCAACATCCCACCGGCCCGGGGCACAGGACTCCTGGGGACATGAGGAGATGAGAAATAACTCACCCAACCAGCCCCCAAGAAAAAAGAAAAAAAAAAAGAAACCAAACAATCCTCGCCACTCTGCTTCCTTGTCCTGACGCTAGGGTAGATCTCTGAAGTTTGGGAAGAAGCAGCAGTTTGAGGGTAGAGAATACACCTGGGAGAGCAGGAACACATGGGGACCATTTCTGTGGGCACCCCAGGGGACCTCACCTCCAGGGCCCACGTCATCACCCCCGCCCATGTTGGCTCTCGCCCTGCAGGGTCTGCCTGCTCCTTCCCTGGGGACTGCCTGCTCTCTGCTCCACTCTGCCCAGGCAGCCAGCATCCGGGGAGGTCAGAGTCTCTCCACAGACTGGGGTCCAGGGTCCCTCTTCTGGATAAAGGAGACATGGCCAAGGAGTGGGGAGAGTCGGGGACCAAGGCCAGCACATGGGGCAGCCCACCTCATCTCCCTGGCTGTGTACCTAGACCTCCAAGACTCAGCTGCATGTTAGAGATTCAGGAGAGGAGGCTGAGGGGCCATCTGGGCCTCTTTGGATAGGGAAACCGGAATCAGATACAGGGGTGGCCAGACTTGGGGTCTGTGTCCCACTCAGAGGGGAGAGAAGGCCTTGCTAACGGGTCACCTGTGCAGCCAGTCATAAGTCATCGATGCGAAAGCCACAGAGGGCCCCTGGCTGCCACGTTCAGCAAAAGTGTCCGGAGGAGAAAGTATCTCCTCTGCCCTTTGTTCCCCCATCTCCCATCTCACCCCAAGCAGAGGCCCTGGCTCCTCCTCTCTATCTTCAGCCAACCCAGTGAGGATGGTGGGGAGCGCTCTATGTAGGGTGCTGACCAGAGGCCCAGGCAGCTTCCCCTGGGGCTGGGGCACTCCAGACCCCAGTAGGCCCCCACAACCTCCCAGCCCCCACCTATTTGCTGTGTGCTGTGATGTGAGATGTCAAATGTCTGTGAGTCTATTTCCTTATCTGTGAAATGGACCACCTGAAGTTAGGAGTTCAAGACCAGCCTGGCCAACATGGTGAAAACCCTGTCTCTACTGAAAAAAAAAAACAAAAACAAAAATTAGCTGGGCGTGGTGGCATGCGCCTGTAATCCCAGATACTTGGGAGGCTGGGACAGGAGAATTGCTTGAACCAGGGAGGTGGAGGTTTGCAGTGAGCCGAGATCTCGCCATTGCACTCCAGGCTGGGCAACAAAAGCAAAACTCCGTCTCAAAAAAAAAAAAAAAAATCTGTATATCCATCTGGCAGGGGGCAGGGAACAGGAATCAGGGATGAGCAGTTTACCTTTCCCACCACAGCTGAGCTCTGAATGCACAACGAGGGTCCCAGAGCAGAGACCAGCAGAGACTGGGGATTCAGCATGGGAGGCTGCTGGACCCAACAAGGACAAAGGAGCTGGCAGGGACTGGCAGGGGAGTGGTGGGGACGAGGACAGGCAGTGGTGGGGAGCCCTCTCCAAGGACAGAGGCCTGAGGTGCTCTCTTGTTGGTAGCTTGACCCCTACCCCAGTGGCTGGTGGGGGCTAGGGAGGGGCAGGGAGCCCTCTGCCCCTACTGTCATGCCCAGCACTGGGTCTGGCACACAGCAGCTGATGGCAGGCTGGGCACCCTTGACTGAGGCTGGGCAGGCTTTGAGCTGCTCGCTCACCCAGAAGGTGCTAATTGAGCTGATTAATTGAGCCAATTACCTTGGCCTCCCAGGAGGGCTGGGAGCGGGCCTGGCTCCTGGGGACCAGGTGCAATCCTACAGGATGGGCTGATGAGGGAGTCAGGCCCTCCATGGGTGGGCTGTGCTCTGCGCCTCCAGCCCTGCCCACCTGCACGAGCACAGGATGAAGGGTGGGCTGATGCCCACTCGAGCAAGGTGAGTGGGGCTCCTGGGCAAACCCAGGAGGGTCCGGCCAGAAGGGAGGTGGGGCTAGAGCAGGTGCGGGGACCCCAGGACAGGAAGGGGTGCTCCGGGCAAGTGACCGATTCTGTAGAGAAATGAATTACCCTTCCCTGCTGCACCTTCTGCTAATTTTGGAGTGTAAGTGAAAGAGAGAGCGAATGTGAAATGCAAATCATCAGGCCAAGCATTTGTGACATGCAGGAATGGTATGAATTACCTCTGCCTTTAGGCTCGGCCAATCTACATAGCACCCTGCAGGCACTGTGGCTGTTGTTGCCATTTTACAGATGAGAAAAATGAGGCTCAAGGGACTGCCACTGACTGAGGCCACACAGCTGACAAGGGAGGGGGTCAGATTCACACCCGAGTCCTCTAGGCTGCAAAAGCCTGAGGTGTGGCTGGGCTAGGGAGCCAGCAAGCATGGCAGCAGGAGGGAAGGCAAGGCCCATGTGCCTGTCGGCTGCCTGGGCTCAAGGAGTGCAAGGGCAGAGGCCTGGAAGCGTGTCTACCCACAAATGTGCGCTTGGCAGAATGTGAGTCCTTCCCTTGCAGCCCCTGGTCTCACCTGGGACCAGTCTCCAACCTTGAGCCCAGCGGAAGGCCAAGGATAGTCCCTAGACCAGAGGGAAGGAAGCTCCATGTCCCAGCAGTTCCTCTGTCTCCCTTTCTCCATCCACACCATCACTGGAGTCCACACCGACATCCTGGCTTGCCTGGACTCGTGTGATAATTTCTCACACGAGTGAATGGGAACACCTGTTCCCATTCAATTTTGTCTCCAGATGGAGGCCAGGGGGGTTTTCTTAAAAAAAAAAAAAGAAAGAAAGAAAAGAAAACACACACACATATCTAATCACACCCATTTTTGTCTTATTTTGTGTGTGCGTGTTCAAATGATAGGTCTGTTTATTTGAGTAATAGAAACTATCTTCATTTCAGAAGAGAAAAAGTGCCTTTTTAAAAAATTACTTTTATTGACATATACTTTACATAAAGTGTACCCATTTTAAGAGTATAGAAAATGAATTCTGACAAACATGTACACCTGTGTAACCACCAGCCCATCATAATATTTCCGTCACCTGAGAGAGTTCCCTTATATCCTTCCCCATCCCCCACCCCAGGAAACCACTGATTTCAAAGCCGCAAGTGCTAATGGATACCCACCTCTCTCTGGGACCATCTCCCAGAACTTATCTGCTGCAAACTGAGCTTTTAACTTCTCACAGACCAAATCTCCCCCTATAGTTTTTGTTTGTTTGTTTGTTTGAGACAGAGTCTGGCTCTGTCACCCAGGCTGGAGTGCAGTGGCGTAATCTCGGCTGCCTCAGCTTCCCGAGCAACTGGGATTACAGGCATGCACCACCATGCCTGCCTAATTTTTTTGCATTTTTAGTAGAAACGGGGTTTCACCATGTTGGCCAGGCTGGTCTCGAACTCCTGACCTTAGGTGATCCACCCACCTCAGCCTCCCAAAGTGCTGGGATTACAGGCATGAGCCACCCCACCCAGCCTCCTCCTGTAGTTCTAAACCACATCTAAACCAGGGCTTGGTTTATGGTTCCTGAGAGAATCTGAGCCAGTTTGCTGCTTGCTATGCAGACATCTTGCTCCTGCTCCCCCAGGACACACCCAAGATAAAGCATGTTCGGCTGGGTCTTGCCTCCAAGGAAACACTTAGGATGGTGAGGAGCTGCCAGACAGATGGAGGAAGCAGGGAGAGGAACTAAGGGGCCAGAGCCCAGGGCTATTCACGGGCCTCACCATTTCTCTGAATTCTTCAAGGAGTGGTCATTCATGTCAGGGCCCAGGTTAGGAAATGTGGCAATGGGTGCATGGGCTTCAAGCAAGTCAGTTCACCTCACTGAGCCCTGGTTTCCTAATCCAAAAGTGGGAGATGGAAATAATAGCACCTTGTCAGCAATAGCTTGTCAAGATTAAATAAGGCAATGCATGTGAAGCCCTGGTGCATAGCAAGTATTCACAAAATGCTAGATCAAATGATGACTAAACCTGCAATTCTGTAATCGTTTGTTTTTGATCCTCACATTTGTCAAGTGTTTTATAGTTTATGAAACACTTTTACATTTATTTTCTCATTTGATCCCACAGCAATCTTGTAAGTACACAGGACAAATACTATAGGCCCCATTTTACAGATGAGATAACAGAGGCCCAAAAGGGTAAAAGAAATTGTGCAATTTCTACGGGACCTCACGAGCAGCATAACTAAAGCTCTCTGACTTCTATCTGTATTTTTCCCCCACTGGACTTCCACTCTGCCATGTACACCCCTGCCTGCTGGGATCCATCGGGTTCAGCATGTAACCCAGCAGTCCAAGGAACCTCTGAGGCTTTGTGGAGGCTTTAAGAGCTGAGGCCCTTTTCTTTCAACTAAAGAAAAGGGTTTGGGGTGAACACGGCTGAAGGCCTTCAGATAACACATGTGCCTAGGAGATAGGGCTGAGGCTGCGGCTGGCATTAGGGTTAGGACAGAGAATTTTCCCTGCTTCGCAGGGCCAGAAAGGTGGAGGATGACACCCGCTGGAGGAGGAAGTGGTAACACGGCCCCCCTCTCAGCCTCCCAGGTCCTTATGAAACAGGTGGGTGGGCCCCAGCCACCATGGGCATTGATTTCCCCCTAGCAGAAAATGGAAAGTGAGTTAAAATCCTTCCTGCAAATTGCCAAACACCTGAGGAAAACAAACAAGTTTGGGATACATTCATTATCTATTGCTGTGTAACAAATTATCCCCAAACTTATTGGCTTAAACAAAGAAATGTTTATCATCTCAGTTTGTGTGAGTCACAGGCTGTGAGAGAATGTTGGCTGGGTGGTTCTGGCTCAAGTCCTCTCATGTGGCCACAGTCAAGAAGTTGGCCAAAGCTTCAGGCATCTGAAGGCAGAACCGGGGTTGGAAGATCCACCTCCCAGGTGGCTCACTTGCATGGTGCTGGGCAGGACGCCTCAGTTCCCCACCACGGGGAGGTTTCATAAAGAGGTTGTGTGAGTGTCTTCATAACAGGGCAGCTGCTTCCCACAGAGCCAGGAGAAAACCACAATACTTTTTATGACCTAGTCTCAGAAGTCACATGGCATAACTTCTGCCATATTCTATTTGTGAAAACTGAGCCTCAAAGTCCAGCCCACACTCAAGGGAGGAGAATTGGCTCCATCTTTTAAAGGGAACATCAAATAATTGCATACATATTTTAAATCACCGCAAAAGGATTAAACACCCTCAGATGGGTGAGCTCAGAACAGACCCAGGAGACAGCCTGCAGGTCAAGACCAGCATGTTAGAGGCCCTCCCAACAGCACCTGGGAGGGCTCTTCACCCCAGCTAGAGTCCCTGACTCCTGCCTTCATCATCACGCCACTTGTGCTACCCTGGATCAGGGGCCAAGTATCCCAGGAGGCTGCCTTCACTCGAGCCTGAGCATGGGGTTGGGGAGGAATTGGGGTACTGCACACTCCCAGCCACGGGGCCACCCTGCCTATAGCTCAGGGGGAGGAGGGCTCCATGTCTGCCCGGGTATGAGTTGCAGGAACATGTTGAGGTGTACCCTTGCCAATACTCTTGGGTCTGAAAAGGAAACTGCCTTCTGTGGTTTAAATGCTTGTCCCCTCCAAAACTCATGTTGGGATTTAATTTCCATGTAACAGTGTTAACAGCTGGGGCCTTTAAGAGGTCATTAGGCTGTGAGGGCCCCACCCTCACGGGAGGGCTTACTAAAAGGGCTTTCAGGCATAGGCTCCTTCTCTTGCCCTTCTGCCATGGGATGATGCAGAAAGAAGGCCCTCACCAGATGCCGGCCCCTCAATCCTGGACTTCCCAGCCTCCAGAGCTGTGAGAAGTACATTTCTGTTCGTTATAAACTGCCCAGTCTCAGGTATTCTCTTATAGCAGCACAAAAGAGAGTAAGATGCTGTCTTTCACTGGATCCTAGTGGGCCTGGGTGACACTAGAGCTGCAGAGGGGAGGCCTGCCTGCCTAGCCTCTCCTTCCAACAAATCCATCCCAAGGAGGCAGCCCCAGGGCCACCTGCCCCTGCCTGCTGGCTTCAGACAATTGGACCAATGGATACCTGCTCCAGCAGGAGACAGCCTCTTGGTGACCAACAGCCAATCAGATACTCTGTCTTAAGATCTTAGAACTAAGGGGCTCAGGGCTGGGGAGTCAGTCTGTGGCTAGGCCCGAAGCTGAGATCAGGCAGCCAGGGTAGACCGGGGGAGGCCCATGCAGCTATTTTAGGACCGTGTGTTGATGAGTAAGCAAAGAAAGCAGATCTGCAGAGCACGGCAGGAAAATGGAGCAGAGGGAGCAGCA
Organism: Homo sapiens; assembly: GCF_000001405.40. Lineage (NCBI taxonomy): Eukaryota > Metazoa > Chordata > Mammalia > Primates > Hominidae > Homo > Homo sapiens. The sequence continues at coordinate 119,782,765 of NC_000011.10, read as the reverse complement.
GGGACGAGACCCAATGTGGCCTCGGAGAGGGAAAATAGCGAGGGAAGGCAGCTCACTGGGTTTGGGAGCCTCTCAGCTCCCCTGAGACCTGGATGTTTTTCTGGCTGTGGGTCCCACAAGGCACTCCCGCATCCTTCTGATAAATCCCCCAGGCCTTCAGCAAGCTTAAGAGGGCTTCTGCTGCTCTCTCCAGGCTGCCAGACCCTCCCCGCCTAAGACCTGAAGGAGGCAGAAGAGATGGCAGGAACCACGGCCTCTTCTCAACACCACCAGGGAGGACCTTCTGCTAAAAGTGCTACATTCATACACATACTCTTTACACCCAGCGAATCCAAAGAAATAAAATGTGGCACTTAACTGTCGTGCTGATGTTTTCTTCTGGTATCTCTGTTCCGTCTTACTCTCCCTGTGGCGGAAGCCCAGCAGCAGCAAGAAATAAAAGTTCTGACACCACGGCAGATAATTACCCTCCCCGTCCCTCGGGGCAGAGGTGAGCAGGAAAGACAACACGTTCACAGAAAGGGCAGCCCTCTATGGGCTGGTGTTTGCAGTGTCCGGGCAGCGATGCTAACAGCCAGTGGAAGGGGATGGGAGGCATCCGCGGCTCTTACTGCCTGCGTTTGCATCATCTGGTCTTAAAGTGGGGTGAATTCCTACAGGAGGAACCACACCCGCCATCAAATGCAAGTTCAGTGGAACAGACTTTTGGATCATTCATTGATTCCTTCCAGAAACATGCACGCAGCCCTGGAAACATGCATGGAGACACTGAACTGGTTACACACTTGAAACCAATGCAGTCCCTGTCCTCAGGAGCTCACAGTCCAGCAGGGGAGATGGGAAGTGGAGAGCCCTTACCAAAGGATACACAGAAAGGGGCTTTAGTAGCTCACGGGACAGACAAACCCTTAAGGAATGGGCAGGATTTCAGTGGGAGAGAAGGAGATTCTAGATAAGGGAATGAAGGAGGCAGGAGGCCATGGTGGAGGGTGGGGCTGGGAGATCCACTTCACAAGCACCTGGGAGGCCTTCGCTGTAGCTCTAGTTCTTTGACTCAGAAAATCCCCTTTCTAGCCCCCTCACGCCTGTAATCCCAGCACTTTGGGAGGCCAAGGGGGGGCAGATCACCTGATGTCAGGAGTTCGAGACTAGCCTGGCCAACATGGCAAAACCCCATCTCTACTAAAAATAAAAAAATTAGCTGGGTGTGGTGGCGCACGCCTGTAATCCCAGCTAATTGGGAGGCTGAGGTAGGAGAATCGCTTGAACCCAGGAGGCAGAGGTTGCAATGAGCCGAGATTGTGCCACTGCAATCTAGCCTGGGTGACAGAGTGAGACTCCAAAAAAAAAGAAAGAAAGAAAGGAAAATCCCCTTTCCCCTCTGGGCCTCACTTTCTCATATGTCAACAAGAGGGAGCTGCCTTGGCAGCTCTGGCATTCTAGGGTCCGTGCTCGCAGGTGGGGAGGGGAGGGCTGGGGAGTGGAGTGCTTACATAGTAGAATATTGTCCAGCGGCTTCCCAAACACCATGCCTGGGTCAGACGAGCAACTATCCCCAGACCAGGCAGCCCCATCTGGTAAGATTCACTCATCTCCCTTTCTGTGAACATGTTAATCCAACAAGGGGTGGATCCTGGGTCCCATTCCCTTGAAGCACCCCCATGCCCAGTGATGGCAAACCTGAGATACCTTGGCAAGGGCCTGGACACCCGCGGGGAGAACAGCTTGTTTCCAACCGGCCCAGGGAGGTCACTCAATGAGTTTTAAGGAACTCCAGCTGGGGTGACAGAGTGAGACCCTGTCAGAAAGAAAGAGAGAGAGAGACCCTGTAAGAAAGAAAGAAAAGAAAGAAAGAAAGAAAGAAAGAAAAGAAAGAAAGAAAAGAAAGAAGAAAAAGAGAAAAAGAAAAAGGAAAGAAAGAAAGGAAAGAAAGATGAAAGAAAAAGAAAGAGAAAAGAAAAAGAGAGAAAAAGAAAGGAAAGAAAAAGGAAAGAAAGATGAAAGAAAGAAAACAAAGAAAGAAAAAGAAAGGGAGGGAGGGAAGGAAGGAAGGAAAAAGGAAAGAGAGAGAAAAGAAATCAGACTAGAGCAATCTGTCAAGTTCAGATCATAGAGGGTCTTATATGCTGGGCCAAGGGGTTAGGTTTTGGACTGGAGCAGTGGCTGATGGGAGCTGGGCTTTAGAAAATCATCCTGACAGCAGCAGGTGACATGCACAGGTATGGGCAATTGGAGGGGCTCCTAGCAGCTAGGGGAAAGCTCAGCCAGAGGTCAGAGCCAGGCGGAGGCAGCAGGACTGGAAAGGAGGCAGTAGGTGGGAGGGATTATGCGGGAGGTGGAACCCTCAGATTTTGGCCACTGACCAGAAATGAGAAGTGAGGAGGAGGAAAAAGCTTGGAGGCCTGGAAAAGTTTCCAGCTTTCCCTCCCCAGCACAGACTCAGGAAACCACACACATGGAGTCTCAAAACACCATGAGACTGTGTCTACCCAACACAAAACACCTGGGAATCCCAACATTCAGAAAGGCCCCAGATGCCATGTCTCCAAATATCGGGATAGCCATTCTGCTTTTTATCTAGATGCTTGCAAAGGTCATGGGAGTAATGGAGCTTCCTTGCCCCCCAGCCCCTGCCTCCAGGGTCCCCCCATGCCACTCTGCAGGGAGGCAGCAAAGAGCTGATGTGCAGGCAAAGGGGAGACCAAGCCCCTGCTCTCATCAGAGGCTTCGCCGGTATTTTTAGTGCCGCAATCAAGAGCAGGGCCCGCCTCTGGATCGGCTCAGGCAGTCGGGGCCGGGCAGGACTGTTAAAAATGGAACGGCACATACTGCAATCAGTGGTGGCAGGCGAGGGGCACCCGGCAGGGCAGCAGCTGTGGCATCTGAAGCTCTTGGCCCTGGAGTCTGGAGGGGACTTGGGGGAGCAGCCTCTGCATAGCATGCTGGGCTTCCATAGCCCTGATGCCCTGGCACTGCTTCTACCCCTGCCCTTTACACTGCCAGAGTTCCCACCCCTTGCAATGCACACCCACCCTTTCCCCGCAGACCTCTCTGAGATAGTCAACTCCAGAGCTCGGGTGCCTCGGGTGAGAGGGGGAGGGAGCACAGGCCAGTGATGTCAGGATGGAGTGCGGCGGGGGCTGGATAGAGTGAGACCCCACTTCCCTGTTCTGGTGGGAAGCAGAGCTGCCCTGAGTGCCCCTGCCAGAACTATGTCCCTCCCGGGGCAGGAAGGCACAGTCAGCGTCCCAGGACACCAGCAAGCTTATCACGCTAAGACCCAGGAGGCCCGGGTTTTGAGCCATTTCTGCCACTCTGTGACAGCTCTGGGGCCTCAGGCAAGTCACTTTCCCTCTCTGGCCTCCATCATGTTATCTGTAAAATGACAAGGCTGAAGTGCAGCACAGACATGACCGATTCTCTGCGCCAACAGCAAGCTGAGTGCAGGGTGACAGATACTTCTGAGGCCTGCTCACAGCCCACCCCACCAGCCCACAACAGAGAACGTCCAGTGATGGGCAGAGCTTGGGCCTGCAAGGGGGTCTGCCCTCACTGCCCCCTTCCAGAGCAGGAGCCCCTGGACAATCTCCAGAGGAGGGACGGGATGGGATGGTTCTGTCTTCATCACCCAGCCCTTCCAGGAGCTGAGAGGGCTCTGTGGGGTGAAAAGAGGACAAGAAAATGGGTAGGGATCACTCCAGGACACTGAGTGACCACAGAGGAAGGGACTGGAAATGCCGAGCCTCATTTTACAAGCGCTGGAGCTACAGTAGAGCAGACAGGGCACAAGGTGACCCAGCCAGATCTGGGCCTGCTCGGAGGCACGCACAGGACTTCTGAAGGCAGGAGCCACATCAGCTTTTTTGATCCTACCCTTGGAACCTGGATCCTTCAAGTGCCCTTCCCACAGAGGCCTCAGGGTCCCAATTCACCCCAGTGGAGCCCTCAGCCTCCCAGGCAGGCTGCCTGCAGGAAGGAGGAGGCTGGTGGTGTTTATTGAATTTGTGTACCAGCATAAATCTGTGTCGACCTGCCTCAGAACGGTGCTCAGACGACAGATGTGCTATCTTGGGAAGCATGTGTCCCTGTCTGTCCCAGAACCTTTCTACTCCCCCGGCAAGACAGATTCAGGTGTGAATCTGCCCGGGCACCACCTGAGCACCTCATGTGAGGAGGCGCCTTGAGAGGTCATTCCTTTCATCCCCTGGCGTCACTCCCCTGGCCACAACCGTGCCAAGTCAGGGTCTTCTTAAGGACATGCCCTGCACAAATGTGCTCTGTATCTGGTGGGCCCTGCAGATGTTCAGCAGCTGGAAGTCTCCCTGCTGAGCATGACAAGCCCGCTATTGCCTTCCCCGCTGAGGTCAAGTTGAGCCTGTGATCCTGAAGCCAGTGGCAGAAGAAAACTCCAGTTCACCCTGCTTGTCTTCTGGCTACCCTACAGGCACCAGATCCTTCCACTTGGAAGGTAGGGAAGTCACTATATCGGTACCCACACCCAGGGTGTCCAGACTAGAGAATCCCAAGGCTGGCATGTGGAAGAGCCACATATGTCACCGTGGCGTGGGTGGGTGGTGCATCTCGTGTTTCCTCAGCACCTCTGAAGGCGGGATGAGAATCCGCTGTCTGACAGCCTCGGGCCCCACAGCCTGCTGAAGGCTGAGCTGCACACCTAGCACTGCAGATGGCTGGGCTAAGTGAGGGCTGGAGGAGCAGACAGGGGTACAACGGGCACGCTCAATGCTGCTCGGCCTGGGAGATCCAGCAATGTCCACCTCCTGGAAGCAGCAAGAGAAGAGCTGAGCTTTTTACCCCCACCATGCCTGGCCTGCCCTGTTGGGCAGTGATGAGCTTGGTCATGGTCCTCTGAATTTGGGGAGGCTCTCTGCCAAGGGCTCAAAGCCCCCCAAAAGCTGCTGGAGGATCAAGAGAGGAGCTGGTTGGGACTGAAGAGGGTAGACTTGTATCAGCCCAGAGTCGAGGCCCAGCAGCTGGGAACAGGGAAGGTGGCAAGCATGCAGGCCATGTCATCACCTGCCAGAAAGACCTCAAGGGAACAAGAACATTCCGAGGGCTGTCCCTCACTGGAACAAGATCTGTGAGTGATGTAAAGCTTTCTGGTAAAGGCAAAGGAAGTTTCCAGACCACCAGGACCAAAGAGAAGACCTGAAAAACCGGGTCTGTTCTCTCAGCACCACCCCAGCCCAGAGGCCTCTCTCTGTCTAAGACCATGGTGAGCACAGCAGGATAGCACAGTGGCCCACTGTCTGTAGACTCTCAGATGCTCCTGGGCATGAAGACCCCATCCGTATGGCCAACAGGAGGACCTGGACCCCAAAAAGACCTTGACAGGCTGGGGTAGCAGTTCACATGTCCCATAGTAGCAGAGAGTGGGAAAGGGACAATTCTATTCTTACAAAGTTAGGCTGCACCATGAAAAAGAATGAGATCATGTCTTTTGCGGGGACACGGATGGAGCTGGAGGCCATTATCCTTAGTAAACTAACACAGGAACAGAAAACCAAATACTGCATGTTCTTACTTATAAGTGAGAGCTAACTGATGAAAACTCATGGACACATAGAGGGGAACAAAATACACTAGGGTCTCCTTAAGGGTGGAGGATGTGAGGAGGGAGAGGAGCAGAAAAAAAGAACTATTGGGTACCAGGCTTAGTACCTGGGTGATGAAATAATCCATACAACAAACCCCCGTGTTGTTTACCTATACAACAAACCTTCACATTTGTTATAACCCCTGAACCTAAAACAAAGGTTAAAAAATAAAAATAAAGCAGGGAAAAAATGTTTGGCTGTACAGGTACAAGAAGGGGTGGAGCCCGTTTCTCTGCAACACGTGGAAAATAGACTCAAGTTTTGGTTGAAAGCCAGCTTGAGACACGGTAAGAACATGATGAGGTCACTATCATCTAAACATGAGAATCTTGGGTGGGGCTGCACTGATAAAATATTGGCCAGACTGAGTGAGGTCAAGGTCTTTTGCCTCTGAAGTTCCATGCTCAGTCCCGGCTCTCCCACCATAAAGGAGGCACTGACACCCCCAGCACCTCCGCAGGAGAACAATGAAAGCATGTGGGGGAAGGGGCTAAAGTCATGTCCTGTATTTAATTTTACAAACATGTGACGCTGTATCCTGAGCACTCTTTCAAGTCCCCAGCACAACTATTAACTCACTCTGCCCTTGTGAGGCAGGCACCATTATCAGCCCACTTTGGGGGATGAGAGGCTGAAGCACAGCAAGCTGAAATAACTTGCTCAAGGTCATCCTGCTAGGAAGTTGTGCAGTCAAGATTCCAATCTGGGAGATCTGGCTCCAGAAACATGCTCCTAAACCCACGCTCTGCTGCCACCCTCATAAGAAGAGCTTAGCAGACAACAGGGAGTCTTCACCCTACAGCGGGAAGAGGCAGAGTGGCAAGAGCTGGGGCAGCCCATTGCAGATGTAATGTGCAGATTCTGTTCTGAGTGACCCAAGGCAGCAGCCTAGGGCACTGGGAAGTGTTTGGGGAGGCCAGATTCAACTCTGTATGAGGAAGGAGAGGTCTGACTCATTTTCACCTCTACTCTGTGCTATTTCCAGGGTTCCCATGCCTTCCCACTGTCCAGGTTTCTTCTTTGTGTCCTAGGGCAATTGTGCCGGCCCCAGATTTTTCTAGGGATCTCTTATGCATTTGTTTTATCTCCCCAACTGAACTGCATATACTCTGAGGCCAGAGACTGCACTTCAATTCTCTCCAAAGTCTCTCCCATTGTCTAGCTCCATGCTAGGTACTTGAAGGAATCATGGAATCTAAAGGTGGGAAGTGACTTCCTCAAGTTCTCCTGCTCAACTTCTCAACCATGCAGGATTCCCCTTTGTGTCAGGGCAGCTACAAGAGTGTATTAACTTTGGTCACCTCCAGTAATGGAGAGCTCAGTACCACTCAGGGCACCCATCGGTGGGTGTACAATTCCAATTAGAATGAGAGCGTCTCGATATTCTAGGACAGCTTGTCGAGGGGGATGGTATGGGAGGAGAGAAGGGTGACGCAAGTAGAAGGTGGGGCCATATAGGCTAAAATCTTTTATGCAAAAGAAAATATAGCACTTCCTATTTGTGGGAATCCTGAGATAGCAGGTTAGAGCCTTCTGGTGCTACAGAGAGGAAGCAGAAATGATCGCCTCACCCCCTTCTCAGGAGCAGGTGACAGAAGCAATGAGGACCAGTCCCAGCAGATAGCTATAGAGTGAGGAACAGCAAAGATGAAGCAGGAATCCAAGATTCTGCCTCTTGGGGCTTTCTAACCTGTTGACACCCAGAAAAGAGGCCAGGGGTAAACCTTTCTGTGCCATGCACTCAGATGGCAAGTTCCCAGAGCCAAAAGCTATCTAAACACGCCCTCCACCCTACCTGGGGCTCCTGGAGCACTGTGAAATAAGATAGGCGGCAAGTACCAAATACACCGTGGATTCTGAGAAGAATAATGTAAACTGGCTCACTAATACATTTTTCATATTGAGCACACACTGAAATGACACTATTTTGGATACATTGGGTTAAATAAAATATATTATTAAATTTTTAGAAAACCATTTTAACTATGGCATCCCAATTGTGGAACAAAGACAAAATCCCTGTTAGTGCTAAGGGGTCAGAGAGTCAGCAACCAGACGTTTAGGAGAGAGATGGCCCACTGCAGTGTGAGGAAGGGGTGGGGCGATGGCCTTGGGGAAAGCATTGAAGGCAAGGGCAGAGATGGGAAATGTCAAAAGGCGGCCATTCATGGTGGGGGGAGTGAAGTGCACTGAGAAAACAGGGCTGGGTGGGGAAGGAGTTGGCAGGTGAGAACAGGAGAAAAGGAATGGGGGGATAGCTCCCAATGGGGGCCCATCAAAGGGCCTGGCTTTCTTCCCATCCAGCTCCATCCAAACTTCACTCTCTGTGGCCTGTTTCCTCAACATTCAGTCAGTAATTAGTCATTGAAGAGCACCTACCCCCAGCCAGGCTATCTGCTAGTTGTGCGGAGAACAGCAGTGAGATCTACTGGGTTCCTGTCCTCAAGGGGCTCACAGTGGGATAGTCAAACAGACAGAAGACTTCTGTGCTTGTGCACTGACCTTTCCAGACCCAGGACCAGCCATTTCAGCCCTGGCATCAAGTCAATGAGTCTTCCTCAAAGGAACAGCCCAACCCCCAATACCCCCTCCTGCCTGCAGATAAGTCCTAGCCAGTCAAGTTTTCTGAGAGTCTAGTCTGGAAAGCCCAATACTCTCTGTAGTCTGGGGGCCCACACCTGGGAACTCTGGGCCTTGGCACCCATGACCACCAGGCCTGCAGCCTGGTGGGGGCATCAAAGGGCATGAAGAGCCTCCCTGCCTTCTTAGGCTCTGTCCAGGGTGCTGAATTCACTGAGCTGACTGGTTTCTCCAAAGGAAAGAAATACTGCTTGACTCTGCTACCCAACCCAATATGCCTCAAGAAAACAGAGCCCACAGACCTTAGCCCACATTCTCACATCTGCCAGATCTGGGTTCCCAGACCTATCTCCTCTGACCTAATTTCTCCCTCAACCAAACTCACTGAAGGACCAAGCAACAGATGGCAGGATGACAGGAGCTGGGCTCAGCCCTCTTCCCCAGCTTCCCAGCCTGACCCAGAGGAAGCCAACAGAGGCAGGAAAAAGCACCCCTGGGTCCTCCTGAGTTAGAGTCTGTCACTCATTTACATGATTCCTTGGACATCTCAAAAATATAAGAGGAAGGGAAGACCCCACTGTCATATCTTACAAATCAGAAATTGGGCTTGGAGTTCTGCATGTATACTAGTAATTCAGCCATACACACTCTGCACCCCACCCCACTCCACTCACATGGGCACACATGGACACAATGAAAGGGACAGAGGAAACAGCCCATCGTATAGAGGTTGCCTAAGTGTCAGAGGCTCTGCCACATCCCTGACCCAGTCAATAGGCTAGCAATCCATTCCAGTCATGATGACAACAAGGCCCATCACTTAGACAGAAAACTGGGCAAAGCTGCTCAGAGATGGTATTGGGAGAGGCTGTCCTTGTGGCTTAAATCTCCTTCGCTAAAGACTTGTGCCCTTATCACCCGCAAGCTCTGAGATGCTCAGTGACCATGCCCCTGCTTCCAGAGTAGAGTAAAAGTGCAGCAGGAGAAATGGAAGCTGGATATAAGAATGGCTTCTAGAATGGGAATCAGGAGAGGCCAGCTCTGCATGACCTTGAGCAAGTCAAGTTTCCTGTGGGCCTCCATCTCACCCTGCTAGTAAAGTGAATGATTGCTAGGGTTCCTGACAGCTTCATTCTTTGGCACATGCCATTCATGTTGGTTCTGATGTGCACGTTGTCAGCATGCCCAGCTTCAGAGGGCAAGTCCATGTGTAACCCTGAAACCTGGCACGCTGACAACATACACATCAGAAACAACATGAACAACATGTGTGCCAAAGGATGCCAAACCTGTCTGCTGGAAATCAGCCTGCCACTGCCCTCTATGGAGACACGGGAAGAACACTGCCTTCCTCCCATCCCATGACATCCCACAGCATCTCTCTATGTCCATTGTTAAATGAGAACAAACAAAAGAGCCTGGCACAGTGCCTGGCTCATAGCAGCTGCTCCAGAAAGACCCAACTCCCCTCATGTCTTGAATGTTTATCTCTTTTCTTATGGGATGATGGGGACAGGGGAAGTGGAAAGAGGAGGGGAAGAACAAGGTCAGGGAGGCTGGGAGAGTAAGAGGGACTATAGCTGCCATCATTAATCACCTTCCATCGCAACCTGCATCTTGTGAATCAGCATCTGTGATACTGATAGAGGCTGCTGGAGGGATGGAGGTGACACAGTCACAGGCAGGATGTGATTGCATGGGGGAGGGGGAGGCAAGGTTGAGTCCTGCTTTCAGGGCTTAATCTCAGTTGGATACACACACACATGCACGCACGCACGCACGCACAAACATTGCCATTCCACAGGCTGCAGAGCCCCCTCCTCCTGCTGCCACCCCATCTGTGCTCAGGCTGCAGCCCCCTCTGTCTACTCCCCATGGCCAGGAGGACAAGGAAGGCAACTGCTGATTAATATTTTACACATTAAGAATTCTATGAAGCCAGTCCCATTAGAGAAGCAGAGACTGTGTAATGAGGCAAACTGTTGTAGTGGAAAGTACATGAGCTGGCCTAGGACATGTGTGCCCCCTCCTAATCCTCACCCAAGACCTGCTTGCTGAATGAGTAGGCATTGATTTGTTCCCAGTAAAACTTGCTGCCCACTAGCTGTGTGACCTTGCCCAACTCACATCTCCTCTCTGGGCCTCAGTTCCATCATCTGTGCAGTGACTAGGTTGGATTACAAGATCCCCAGAGCCCTTTCTGGTTCTAAGAGTCTGTGATTCTCTGGTTCTATAAGCTATTTGCATGTCCCAGCAGATGGCCACCAGCAATAGTCATTGGTTGAGTTGGTTCCCACCAATTCCCTGTAAGAAATGAGCACATACAGCAAATGCTCTTTTTGGCTCCTATCCATGCAACAGTTTATAATAAAAATTCTGATTTATCAACTGTTTTCATTATAAGCAAGGAAGGGGAGAGCAGAGCAGCACAGAATTGCAGGTGGACTCTTTAAAGCTATTCTGTTCTGCTAACAAGGAGCAAGTACCTACCACTCCCTCTCATCTTTTTTTTTTTTTTTTTTTTTTTTTTTTTTTTTTTGAGATGGATTCTCGCTCTGTCGCCCAGGCTGGAGTGCAGTGGTGCGATCTCTGCTCACTGCAAGCTCCGCCTCCCGGGTTCACGCCATTCTCCTGCCTCAGCCTCCCGAGTAGCTGGGACTACAGGCGCCCGCCACGATGCCTGGCTATTTTTTTGTGTGTTTTTAGTAGAGATAGGATTTCACCGTGTTAGCCAGGGTGGTCTCGATCTCCTGACCTCGTGATCCACCCGCCTTGGCCTCCCAAAGTGCTGGGATTACAGGCATAAGCCACCGCGCCTGGCCACTCCCTCTCATCTTTAAACATCCAAACACATTCTCTCTCTCTCTCTATCTCTCTCTCGCATACTCTCTGTCTATATTCTCTCTCTCCCCTTTCGTCTTTCAAAATAAATGAATGAATGAGTGAACGAATGAAGTTGAATATTGTGAAAGGCAGAAATCTAAGATGGCTTCAGGATTCCTGCCTCCTTGTGTAGATGCTCTACCACAATCCCCTTTTTTGTGGTGTGGGTGGGCCTCATGCGTATGATGGGGTGAGGTAATTAAGGTCTCAGATTAGTTTGTTTTGAGTCACTTAAAAGGAATAATATCCTGGGTGGGCCTGGCTTAAACAGGTGAAAGCCCTTAAAAGAGGAACTGGCCCTTCCTGAATGGAGACAGACAGAGTCTCCTGGCGGCCTTAAAGAAGTGAGCTGCCAGGCGAGGAAGCCTGTGAGAGCTACATGGCGGGAAACTCTGAGAAGCTTCTAGAAGCCAAGAGAGATGGGATGACAGCCAGCAAGAGAATGGGACCTCATTCCTATAACCACAAGAAACTGAATATTACCAACAACCACATGAGCTTGAAAGAGGACCCCCAGCTCCAGAGAGGAGTACAGACCAGCCGACACCTGAACGGCAGCTTTAGGAGATCCTGAGCGAGAACCCTGCTGACCTGAGCTTGGACTCCTGACCCACAGAAACTGTGAGGTGATAAAATGGATGTCATTTTAAGCTGCTGTGTTTGTGGTCATTCCTTACTCAGGCATAGAAAATAAACACTAATATCTAATCAAATAAAACACCACCCAAATAGCATCTTCCAATAGGAGTTTGTCTGGATCCTCTCTGATGCCAAGTACAAGTGCTCTGCCGTGCCTGCTGTTTGGGAGCTGACCAGGACCCCTCCCTCCAACCCTAATTGCTGAGACTAGGCCACAAAGACAGTGGCTCCTCTACCCAGGACAGCTGCCTTTTCCCACATGAAGGCAATGACATCTGTCCAGCCCAGTGCCAACACAGGATGGCAGAGACTACCCCAGGGGACAAGTGCCCTTCCACTTCTCCCAGCCAGTGTGGTGATGGCAGGCAAATGGCTCCATTAGCTTCCAGGCCAACTGACAGCCAAGCCAGGCATTATGTCAACTGCCTCCAGGAGGGTGTCCCACTCCCACCTTCCACAGTGGAGCACCTTAGCACCCAGTTCAGAGGCCTGCCCTCTGCCCTTCCTCCTCTGTGTCCTCCCTCCTGCCCTCCCTGTCTGCCTGCCCTTTGGAACACAAGCCCTCTCTGCCTCTGCCTGCCACTTCTGCCCTAGCACATCAGGAGTCTCAGCCAATGTGACACTGGAGGGCAGGGGGCAGAAAACCGGCAGAGGCTTTGGAATGTCCTGTACGGAGGCCCTGGGAAGCTCTCTTTGGTTAGGCTTCCAAAAAAGAAACCTCCTGTGGGTAGAGCACATGAGGGTGTGCAGGTGGAGCACGTGACCTATCCCCTTATCCAAGCACCTCCCCCAGCCCCTGCCTTTCCTCCTATGTGGAGCCCAACTCCTTCACTGATTCACACAGGCTGAGGGTGAGCAGGGCGAACTTCTGGAGGTGAGGAAACCTATGCACAGTTCCCAGGGCCCGGAGTCTCTTCACCTACCCACTCCCCCGTCCCCTGAATATGGCAAGAGGGCTGCTGTCCCCAAGCCCCTGAGAGAGACATCTGCTAATTACACCTTCCTCTAGTAAGTAGCCCAGGACTTCTCTGTTTCCCTGCCTTCCTTCTTTCAATCCTGGTCCCACCTCCCCATGAAGCCAGATGAGAAGTAAGGAATGGGACTAGATGGGGCAGTGAGGTTTCTGAAAGCTTAACCAAAGACAGCTTGAAAGATCCCTACAGTTTATCCTTTTATTAAAAGCAGAGAAACTGCACTGGCCTTACCTCTGGCCACTTGAGAAACAGGGGTACAGGGGAAAGGAATTGGTTCATAAGCCACTGACCCTGAAAAAGAACTTCCTGGGGCTGATTTAGTGCCCTTGGGGCTTGTTTGCACATGTCTGCAAATGCCCCACCTCAGGCTGAGGTCCTGAATTCATAGCCACCCCCTAAAAAGTGACCCTAGGCCCACCCATACCATGTCCCCTCCCTCTCTGAACAGAGTAGCATTTTCCCTTCCCCTGCATTTTGCACAGGCTGGGTCAGAGCTTCCTAAATTGCGGTCTCTTGATGATGTAGATCAAACTCTCCTGGGGGCCATGTCAAAGATACAGATTCCTGGCTCATTTAATAAATGCCCCAAGTAAGCCTCATGCACACTAAAGCTTGAGAGCCCTGTCTAGTTTCTCTGCAGCCATCACTCTCATACTTTGCTACCAAGTAAATACTGAGCAAGAGGGAAAACCATGTACGAGCAATATCATGGGTTTGACCCACTTTGTAGGTTATCCGGTACTGGGCAATTTACTTAACCTCTCTCTCGAAGCCTCAGCTTTCACAGGCATAACCTGAGAACATCCATGTTTCTGTATTTTCAGAAAGATTAAAATAGCATCTATTCACTCCACTATTATACATTGAGCTCATACTCTGTGCTAGATGCAAAGATGAACCTGACAGTCCCTGTCCTGGAATTCAATCTTGTAGGAGAGAAACACTTAAAAAGTAATTAATTAAGAAAACAAGAATTTGTCAGATAATACAAAGGGCTGTGCAAATAATTTATAATAGTGTGATGGTAAACTACTGAAGTTCACTCAAGAAGAAAAAATAAGCTGAATTGTCCTATATTTATTAAACAAATTGAAGTTGTAGTTTAAAACCTTTCCATGAAGAAAACCTCAGACCTAGATGGTTTCACTAGTGAATTCTAACAAACATTTGAGGAAGAAATAATACCAAATCTACACAAACACTTCCAAAAAATTAAAGAGGAGGAACTACTTAAAAACTCATTTTATGAGACCAGCATTACTCTGATACAAAACCAGACAAAGGTTACAAGAAGATGATGGACTGATATCCCTTATAAACATAGATGCAAAAATTCTAATCCAAATTCTATCAAATACAACTCAACAGTATATAAAAAGACAATATATCATAACCAAATGGGGTATATACCAGGAATACAAAATTGATTTAACATTCAAAAATCAATCATTTAACTGGGTGTGGTGTTGCATGCCTGTAATACCAGCTACTCAGGAGGCTGAGACAGGAGGATCACTTGAGCCCAGGAGTTTAGGGCTGTAATGCACTATGACTGTGCCTGTGAATGGCCACTGCACTCCAGCCTAGGCAACACAGCAAGACCCATCTCTTTTAAAAAAGTCAGTAACATAACTTGCTATTTTAATAGATTACAAAAGAAAAACCATATTATCACCTCAATAGATGCAGAAACAGCATTTGACAAAATCCAAAATCCATTTCTGATTAAAAAAAAAACTCTGAGCAAACTAGGAATAGAAAGAAATTTCCTCAGACCAATAAAATGCACCTATGTCTTTTTTAAAATACAGTTAACATCATATCTAATGGTGAAAGACTGACTGCTTTCCCCCTAAGATCCGGAACAAGGCAAGGATATCTGCTCTCACCACTTCTGTTTAACAATGTGCTAGAGATTTTAGCCAGTGCAATAAGGCAATAAAAAGAAATAAAAGGTATCCAGATTAGAAAGAAAGAAGTAAAATTATGTTTATTCACAGTTGGCAGGATAATCTGTGTAGAAAATCCAATAGTGGGTGAGAGTGGGGCTACAACAAAAAAGAAAGAAAGAAAAGAAAATCCAATAAAATCCACAAAAACTAATAAGCAAGTTTAGCAAGGTTGCAGGATATATGCTCAGTAATACACATATCAATTGTATCTCATCACCAATCATTTGGAAATTGAAACTTTAAAAAATATCTTTTACAATAGCATCATGAAATATGAAATACTTAGGGATAAATCTGACCAAAGATGTGCAAAACAGGTACACTGAAAATTACAAAACATTGCAGAAATTAAAGAAAACCTAAATAAAAACAGAGATATACTGTGTTAATGGATCAAAAGACTCAATATTGTGAGAATATCAATTCTATCCAAATTGATCTATAAATTCAATGCAATCCCAACCAAAATCCCAGCAGGATTTTTAATTGAAATTAACAGTCTGATTCTAAAATTCATATGGAAATGCAAAAAACCTAGAGGAACCAAAACAACTTTGAAAAAGAACAAAGTTAGAGGACTCATACTACCTGACTTCAAGGCTTGTTATAAAGCTAAGGTAACTACAGTATCGTGGTATTGGCATCAAGACAGACAGACAGGTTCATGGAACAGAATAGAAAGACCAGAAATAGACTCATACCTGTCTGGTCAATTGCTGTTTTACAAAGGTACAAAGGCAATGCAGTAAAGAAAGGACAACCTTTCAACAAATTGTGCTGGAATAATTGGCTATCATATGCAAAGGAGAACTATCCGCACAGCATGCCATATATTCATAATGCAAAATTGTTTTGTACGATAAATGCAAAATACAAAAGTTAACTCAAAATGGATCATATGTGTAAATGTAAAGCCTAAAACTAAAACTATATAATTTCTAGAAGAAAATCTTCATGACCATGAGTTAGGCAAAGATTTTTCAGACACAACACCAAAAAGCACAATTTATAAAGGAAGAAATTGATAAATTAGACTTCAAGAAAATTAAGAACTTCGATTCTTTGAAAGACACTATTAAGAGAATGAAAAGACACACCAGATACTGAAGAAAATATTTGCAAATCACATATCTGATCAAAGACTTGTATCTAGATATTAAAAGTATGTCCTACAACTCAATAGTAAGAAATCAAACAATTTCAAACAGGCAGGCAAGATATATAAATAGATAGTTCACTAAAGAAGATATACAAATGGCAAAGAAGCAAATGAAAAGATCCTTAACATTATTAGTCATTAGGGAAATGCAAATTAAAACCACAATGAGCAATCACTACATAGCTATTAGAATAGCTAAAGATAAAAAGACTGACCATACCAATTTTTGTCAAGGATGTGGAGGAATGGGAATTCTCATACATACAAGGATGCTGGAGGGAATGTAAAATAGTACAACCACTTTGGAAAACAGTACAGGCAAGTTTCTTAAAAAGTTAAGTATGGGCCGGGTGTGGTGGCTCACACCTGTAATCCCAGCACTTTCGGAGGCCAAGGCAGGCAGATCACTTGAGGTCAGGGGTTCAAGACCAGCCTGGCCAACATGGCAAAACCCTGTCTTACCAAAAATACAAAAATTAGCCGGATATGGTGGTGCATGCCTGTAGTACCAGCTACTCAGGAGGCTGAGGCAGGAGAATCGCTTGAGCCAGGGAGGCGGAGGTTGTAGTGAGCTGAGATGGCGCCACTGCACTCCAGCCTGGAAAACAGAGGGAGACCCTGTCTCAAAAAATACAATTAAAAAAAAAAGTTAAGTATAATACAGCCCTTCCACTCCTAGGTATTTATCAAAGAGAACCAACTTGTACACAAATGTTCATGCAGCCTTATATATAATAGCCAAACCTGGAAACAACCCAAATGTTCATCAGCCAGTGAATATGGACAAACAAAATGGTGGTAAGTCCATATAATGGAGTGCTACTCAGAGACATAAATGAATAAACCATTGACACATGCAGCATGGATAAATCTCTACTGAGCTGAGTGAAAAAAGCCAGACCCTCCAAAATAAGAGTCCATCTTGTATAATTCCATTTATATGAAATTCTATTAAATGCAAACTAATCGATAGTGACAGAAGGCAGACCAGTGGTTGTGGGGGGCAGTGGGTGGAGAGAAGGGGAGGGATTACAAAGGTGGATGAAGAAACATTTGAGGGTGATGGCTATGCTTACTATCTTGATCGTGGTGATGGCCACAGGTATATGCATATGTCAAAATGTCTCCAATTGAGTGTTATACATCTGTTTACTGTGTGTCAGTTATACCTCAATAAAGCTATTTTTACAAATGCAGTGATAGGATAGAGCATCTGGTGGCCATTTTAGATTATTCATCAGGGAAGGCCTCCCTGAGGCGATGACATTAAGCTGAGCTCTGATTGACAAGAAGTAACAGCCAAGCGGGGGTCTGGGGAAGAGCATTCCAGGCAGCAGGAACAGCACAGGCAAGGCCATAGGAGGTGAGAAGGAGACTGGCCTGTTTGAGGAAGAGACAGGTTCATTTCCAGGGAGGGGCAAGTGGTGCAAGGCGGGGTCAGAAAGGCAGACGAACCCAGGACAGTGGGGCTTTGCAGACTAGGCAGGAGATTTGGTTTACGTTCTAAGTAGGTGAGAAACCACTGGGTGGATCCTAAATAGAAGAGTGACATGATCTGTTCCTGATTATTCGGAGTTTTAAAAAATCATTTTATTTTGTATAAAAGGCATGTATTACCTATTAAAATATTATTTTGTATAAAAGGCATGTATTACCTACTAAAAATAAAATACATATTTAAAACAAGATCGTTCTCACTGTCATATGGAGAATAGATTGCAAATGCATGAGAGTAGAAGCAGGAAGCTCCGTGGAAAGGCTACTGCAGTCACCAGGCAGGAGAAGGAGGCTGGGGCCAGAGTGGTGGCAGTGGAGGTGGGAGGGGGCCTCTGAAATCTGGTTTTGAGATAGGGTCTAGAGCACATACTGGTGAGAGGGGCGTGGTGGAAAAAGGGGGCTTCGAGGCTGGTCCTGCATATGTGTGTGCAGCTGGTCCTCAGGACGTGGCTGCCTTCTGACCTCCATAGACCCTCTCCATCATTCCCTCCCCTGGGCAGCCCAGAGAACCTGGGACATACCCAGAACCCTCTGGCTTAGCCACCTGTGGTTGGTTATGTCTTCCTCCCTCTCTGGACAAAGATCTCTTCTTCCTACCCCAGCACCTAGTACAGTGCCTGACACAAGGCATGCATCCAACACCTGTTTGTGGAATAAGCAAGTGAAAGGACGAATGGCTGATGAGCTATTAATAATTAACTCATGGGAGCAAGGGAGGTAAGGAAGACATTCCCACCTGCTCTGGCCTCAGTATTAGACCTTCTCCTGCCCTGCCCCACCCCCAGTTACCTCCCCATCAACTTCAGCAGCCCTGCTGTTCTGTCTACCCAGAAGCTGCAACCGCGTGGCAGGCTGCTGGGCAGTCAGTGCTAGCCGGCTCCTGCCAGCAGGCCCTGACCTAGTTTGAGAGCCAGCCGAGGAGGATGATGTCACAGAGAATGCAGCTCCTCAGACTGAGGCTTAGCAAGCTGGCTCTGAGGCTGGATTCAGCTTAAATGCCAGAAATTTGGATAGCATGCTGTCCACAGGGATATCAGAGAAAGATGGGGGCAGGACTAAGGGCAGGACTAGTAGCACCTTGGAGAGACTATTCTCTTCTGGGCACCTGGATCTGGTTTTCAAGCCCTTTTAAGGGCAGCCTGGATTGTGCGCTGTGAGGCCTGTCTCCCAAGTCCTGTGGGGAGGTGTCAGGAACACTGGGGAAGGACCAGGCAGATGTGAAGAGCTCCTCAAGTACCTCTCCAATGACTTCAGTCATTAATGAGTTTGTGAATTCAAACATTTTCTGGCCAGGTGTGGTGGCTCACACAATGGCTGAGGAAGGAGGATCACTTGAGGCCAGGAGTTCAAGACTTGCCTGGGCAAAATCGAAACACCCTGTCTCTACAAAAGAAAAAAGCAAAAGAAAAAGAGAGAGAGAGAGAGAAAGAGAAAGAAAAAAAGAAAGAAAGGAAAGAAAGAAAGAAAGAAAGAAAGAAAGAAAGAAAGAAAGAAAGAAAGAAAGAAAGAAAGAAAGAAAAGAAAGAAAAAGAAAGAAAGAAAGAAAGAAAGAAAGAAAGAAAGAAAGAAAGAAAGAAAGAAAGAAAGAAAGAAAGAAAGAGAAAAAATAATTAATTGAAAAAATGTATTTTCCAAACATTTAAATATCCACAGGGCAGGTCAAGCACAGTGCTACTGCTGAGGGGCTGGGTGGTTAGGACATGGCCTCCACTCTCAGTTGCTCACTATCAAAGGTCAGAGAGAAACATCAATAAAAAAAGCCAAACCATAAGCAGTTAATTGTTAAAACAAAGAGATGTGCCTAACTGTGTGGCCAGCTCAGTGAGGCAGAAGCCTGGGAGACTTCTCAGTGGAGCAGAAGCCTGGGAGACCTCTCAGTGGAGGTGGATCTCAGAGAAGATGCAAAGAATGCGTGGAATCTCTCTCAGTGGCTAAGGGGTACAGCCAATCCCAACAGAGGGGTCAGCACAGGCCAAGGTCTCAAGAACCAAGGGAGCATGGTACATCAGCGGCAGCACAAGTTCATGACCAGAGAACCGCCCTCGATGTGGGGAGGGAGAGGTGGGCTGCAGAGGAACACAGGGAACATGACGCCAGACAGGCAGCGAGTGCTGTGCTCAAATGTTCATATGTCGTTCTGTCAGCAATGGGGAGCTAGTGTCCAGGAGGAGACCTGGACAGCATTTTAGGGTGTCGGCAGCCTGGTGGATGCAATGGGGTCCAGAGTGTAAGGTGGGAGGCGGGGGCACTGAGGAGACCTGTGTCCTGATGGGCAACCGTGAAGTCCAGAGCAATGGAGCTGGAAGGGAGGGCGCTGGGCAGACCCTGTGAGGCAGCTCTGGCCCCTGCACTCTGGGGCTCAGCTTGTGCCCAGCTCATGCTCTCTGCTCCCACCCTTCACTCTGCATGCTGGGCACCCCACAGAGCCCAAAACATCCTTCCCTCAGGGGTATGAACGTTAAGTCCTTTCTGCCCTCCCTTTACTGCCCCGACCTCCAGCCTCAACTTAATGCTGTGTATGGAGGAAATGGGAAGAGCTGCAGAGACAAAACAGGACATGAGCAAGGTACAGCAGTGGCCACCGTGGTAGGAATGGGCTGCCGGGTCTCCCTGCAGGCCTAGGAGGGTCTCCTTTCAGAAGCAAGATCTGAGGTTCTCCCCATTGCAGCCCACCCTTGCATCTGGGCTTCTGCCGAGCACCACCTTTGAGATGAGCCCATGGACAGGGGTCCTCAAAGCTTGGACTCTTCCCCACCAAACCATGAAATAGAAGCATGGCCCCCCGGGGAGGCCAGATGAAACTATTGAGGGAAAAGCCTTCCCACCCCACCCCCAACATTGAACACTCAGTCCCTTTGGAGTGGCACCTCCCAAAGGCTGGACATCCAGGAGGCCCTGACTGCATCCCCAGGGATAGAGAATGCTTCTGAGTGGTCTCAAGCAGGGGGAAGGGAAAGTGGGGCTGGATCTCTTAGCTAGAGGGAGTAAGCCCTGAGTGCCCACTTGATGCAGTGTGACACCAAGCCCCCAAGGCAGCGTGGATAGTCCACATCATGGTAACTGAGTCTGACATCTCCCTGGTGCCCTCGGCACACACCTTCCCAGCCTCCTCTACCCCAGGACCCTGGAAGGTCAGGGCCAGCCAAAGGATGGCCTTGAAGACCCACTATGGTCCAGGGGGTTTACATTGCAGGGGCTGGCGTGCACCTACACCTGCGCAGGTGGGTAGGAGAAAGGGATTTTCCCAGGCCTGTGAGTCAGCTGGGGCAAAGGGAAGGTGTGTGGGTGGAGCAAGAAGGCAGATTTCAGGATGGGACAACTGAGGCAGCTGGAGAAAGACAGTTTGGTGCCATAGAAAAAGCCCTGAGAGAAAGCAGCCCAGGTCTCATCCCAGCTGGGACACTCCCTTGGGGTAAATCACCTAACCTCCCTGAACCTCAGTATCTTCATCTATAAAATAGAGAAAATAATATTCCCACCACATAGGGTTCTTGTGGAAAACAAAGGGGATGATATACAGGAGAGCTCACTGAAAAGGAAATGCTGGCCGGGCGTGGTGGCTCATACCTCTAATCTCAGCACTTTGGGAGGTCGAGGTGGGTGGATCACTTGAGGTCAGGAGTTCGAGACCAGCCTGGCCAACATGGTGAAACCCCATCTCCACTGAAAACACAAAACAATTAGCCAGGTGTGGTGGCATGTGTCTGTAATTCCAGCTACTCGGGAGGCTGAGGCAGGAGGATCCCTTGAACCCGGGAGGCAGAGGTTGCAGTGAGCCAAGATTGTGCCACTGTACTCCAGCTTGGGTGACAGAGCAAAACTCCATCAAAAACAAAGAAAGGAAGGAAGGAAGGAAGGGAGAGAGAAAGAAAAGAAAAGAAAAGGAAATGCTAAACAGAGGTCAGTCCAGGTTGTGAAGGGATGAAGCTGGAGCCTGTGACGGTATGAGCCACCAGGGAGTGGTGGCCAGGGGCAGCTGGGCTAGGCAGCAGGACCAAACTCTCCCTCCCAGCAGACAGAGGTGGTGGGAGGGGGGGCCTTGCTGAGATTGTCATGTGGGTCTGGCCCCATTCCCTACCTTGAGGTCTACAGGGGCTCAAGACTTTGGGGGAGTCTCTTCCCATAGTGTTTCTCAGCCTTCACAACTGAAGGAGCAGGCAGAGATTAGGCAGGGGGTACCTCGGGGCCATAAACACCCCAGCCCGACCCCACTCACCTGGGCCTTTCTGATGAGCAGCTTTAGAATCCACTTTGACCTTCAAGAATAAAACCATCATTCTTACCAGAACCACTTGATATGTTCCATTGTATCCAGTGGAACCAAGTAACAAAGCCGAGTCCCCATAATGTCCTGTGATAACAGTAACAATCATTACTAGCATTTGGACACCCTGTAGAATTACAAGGCACCTGCCTGTTTAATTGCCTTCCTTAATTCTCACTGCAACCGTAGAAGGTAGGTGGTGAATTATGATCCCCATTTTTAAGTTGAGGAAATGGGGGTGTTCAGAGAGCTAAATAACTTGCCTAAGCTTACACAGCTGTGTAGCAACAGAAGCAAGCTCTGAGCCCCTCTCCAGCCACCATAACCCCATATGCATCGCTAATGCCCCTTGACGTTCCTCACAGAACCCTGCAGATGCTTCACCTCCTAAATAGAGAGGATCTGGACTGGGAAGCCATGAAGTTTCCAGAGACCAGCATGGGCTCCATTCTGTCTGTGTCTGAGCCGTGCTATTCTGCCCCTCCTGGGAGATCTAGGGAGGGAGGGTGGCCACACCCCCATATTGCCAGCCGGCATCTCCTGAGCACCTGCTGTGCATGGGGTATTGGGGAAGATGCCTGCAATACGGGGATGAGTGCAACACGGACAATCAAGGACAAAGACGGGAACTGTGGGATGCAGACTCACAGCACTTCACTCCTTTGTGGCATCTAACTCAGGCCTCGCAT
Source organism: Homo sapiens (assembly GCF_000001405.40). Taxonomy (NCBI): domain Eukaryota; kingdom Metazoa; phylum Chordata; class Mammalia; order Primates; family Hominidae; genus Homo; species Homo sapiens. Next base: position 119,760,513 of record NC_000011.10, on the reverse strand, counting down.
TTCATAGATGAGGAAACTGAGCGAGGTGCAGACAGGCTTGCAGAGCAGGGTAGGCAAACTTTTTCTGTAAAAGGCCAGAGAGTAAATATTTTAGGCTTTGCGGGCTGCATATATGTCTCTACAGCATATTATTCTTTGATTTTTTTAAATAATCCAACCTTTTAAAAAGTAGAAACTATTCTTAGCTTAAGGGCTACACAAAATAGGCTGGTTACAGGCAGAATTTTGCCCCCAGGCTACAGTTTGCCAAACTCTGTTCTAGGAAAACATGTAGCCAGTTGCTTCCTGAGCTGGGGTTCATTCAATCAGCCAACCAATATTTGGAGCACTTGCTATGCTCCAAGTGCTGTGCCAAGACCTGGAGGGAAACATCACATGCTCCATGCCGCCAAGTTGCCTGCAGTTTGGTGGGGGAGACAGGTAAGCAAATCATGTCACCTCAATGCATAGTGGGAGGCTATGCAGGACAGGACACCCAGAGGAAAGAAAAGCGAGCTATTCTGGGGTTTTCTGTGTGCTCCCTCCAACACATGGTGGCACGGGTCAAAGGGTGTCACAATCTCTGTGTACTTATCTGTGCCTTCCCCAAGTCTGTATGTTACATGAGGGCAATGACCTGTGTCCATTTGTCCACTACACTGTTTCCAGCACCTCAGACAATGTCCAGCAACAGCAAGCAAGCAATATGTGCCAAAGAAAAGAATGAATGAATCGTACAACGACATAGCTACAGCTCTCAATGTGAAGGTGGGGTGTCTGCTGGGAGCTATAAGAGGAACTCAAGAGACTGAGGGATTGTTCACCTTATCCCCCTCGATTGTTGAACAAAGTGGGTTCATGGAGCCTGGAAATACAGCCCCGGGCACCAGAAACCTTCTTCCTGCTCCATTTTCTCTCCAGCCCCCTCAACCCTCCTCCAACCCTGGCCCTCTCTGCTGACTCATACAGCAGCCACTAACCACACCCCAGCCAAGCGTGCTTAATTAAGCCCCAGTTACCCACAGCTTCTGAGCAAGAGGAAAAGACAGGACTCTGGTGGTGTGCCCATCCAGAGGGAGCTGGGTCGGGTGTGGGATCCGGGGGGATGCATGTGCGTGACAGTGGGGCACTCATTGGGAACCCGCAGTAAAATAACAATAGCTCATATTTACTGAGCAGGCACCCTGTGCCAGGAATTGCGCTAATCCTTTCTGTAATATTAACTTAAACCTGCTCATAGCAAATTTATGACATAGTATTACTTTTAATTGCAAAAACCGCAATCACATGTGCACCAACCTAATACTATTACGTCCATTTTACAAATGAGGAAACTGAGGCTCAGAGAAGCTACATGACTCACCCAAGGTCACATAACTAGTAAGTAACAGAGTTTAAAGGACTCCCGTTTTCTGGTTTCCCATAGCAGGGGGGAGGGAGTGTTTAGAGAGAGGAAGGGCAGCCTTGTCCAAAACCCTGACCCCACTGTCCGGTGGCCTGGGCTCCTTCTGATAGCAAGGCCCATCCTGACTCACACACAAGGGGGCAATTCCATCTTTATCTCAACCTACATTTATCATACACCTCCTATGTGCCACACTCAGGGGACATGAATCAAGAGACGAAGTCTCTCCCATAGGAAGCTCACAGGCTGGTGAGGGAGCAGCACTATAACTATGCTGGGCCTTTAGGGTCCACTGGTGCCTGGGGATGGGGCAGAGGCCAAAAAGTAGCATGCATTGCATTCCTACCAGTGCCAGACACTGGGGATGGCACATCTTTTACCTTTCCTTCATAACCTAGAGTATATGTATTTTTGGTGTGATTGTTCTACACTAGACCATATATTCCATGACATGAGCCAAGTATCTCAGGGTATGGCAGAGTACTTGGCATGAAGTTAATGCTCAGTAAATATTTTTAAATGAATGACTGAATAAAACATAGCTCCTGCCCTCGTGGAACTTACTGTCCAGGCAAGGAAATCAAGATATAAACAGATGATTGCAATATGGTGTGATGAATGCAACAGGAATGAGAAGACAGCCTCCATCCAGGGAGCTGTGCAAGGCATCCTGGGAGAAAGATGCTGAGGCCAGGTCTTGAAGAAAAAACAGTAGCTTCCCACGGATATGGGGATGAAGGGCCCTTGGGGCTAAGAAGACAGCCCTTGCAAAGGCAAGGAGATGTGACTTAGTGGAATGAATGAGTGGATATACTGTTTGTTCCCTTCAGAAAAAAGACTGAGCTGGGTACAGTGGCTCATATCTGTAATCTCAGCACTTTGGGATGCTGAGGCTGGAGGATAGCTTGAGGCCAGGAGTTTGAGACCAGCCTGGGAAACATAGCAAGACCCCCATCTCTACAAAAACTAAAAAAAAAAAAAAAAAGCCAGGCATGGTGGCATGTGCCTATAGTCCCAGCTACTTGGGAGGCTGATGTGGGAGGATTGCTTGAGCCTAGGAGGTCAAGGTTGCAGTGAGCCATGATTGCACCACTGCACTCCCACCTGGGTGACAGAGTGAGACCTCATCTCAAGAGAAAACAAAAGAGAAAGAAAGAAGACTGTATGAGCGGCCAGGTCGGAGTGGGTTTGATCTTCCTGGGCCTGGGAATCTTACAAATGTGGCAGCCCTGCCCTGGACAGGACACCCCATCCCAAAGCTAGGAGACATATTTCTAGCATGTGGGTGCATGGAGAAACTCCACATGGCTTCGTGGGGCTGAATTATGGGTGGGGGAGGTGAGGTGGAGGGAGGCAAAGAGACACAGCTGGAGCTGGGGGCTGGTTCCAGATCCCAGGGGCCCTGACTGCCATGCCAGGGAGATTGGACCTTATTCCTTAGGCAACGGGGGTTACTGAAGGATGCTGAGCAATCGAGTATGTATTCAATCTGTGTTTTAGAAAATGGCCCTGGCACGAGTGTGGAGGTTGGGTTGGGAGAAGGTGAGCTTGGGGACAAGCACACCAATCCGGAGGCTGGTGAGGGACTCAGGTGCATCCAGTGGGCAGAGCAGTGAGGACAGCAGGCAGGCGAGGAGAGGCACAAGCATGACATGGAATGGGCAGAACCAAGTGACCATTTGGCTGTGAGAGAGGAAAGAGGTCATTTAAGCTCTCAGAGTCTCAGTCTCTGCCTCTATAAAATGAAGATAAGACGATCTGCACAACAGGGTCATTGTGGGCATTCGCAGAGATAAAGGCTAAAAGGCCTGAACAGGGTCTGACAGGTGGTAGATGGTCTTTTCCTCCTTGCCTCTTGCTGTGCCTTTATGACATGTCTTATGCTTTTTTTTTCACTTTTAAAAAATTGTGGTATATACAGTATAACATAAAAATACACATAACATAAAATTTACCATCTTAGCCATTATTAAGTGTACTAAATACATAATGTGCAACCATCATTACTCTCCAGCTCCATAACTCTTTTCATCTTGTCAAACTGAAACTCTGTACCCATTCAATGATCATTCCCTGTTCTCTCTCCTCCCAGCTCCGGGCAACCACTATGCTACTTTCTGTCTCTATGATTTTCACTACTCTAGCTGCCTCATATAAGTGGAATCATACCGTGTTTTTCCTTTTGTGACTGGCTGCTTTTGCTTGGTATACTGTCCTAAGGTTCATTTATGTTGTAGTGAGTCAGAATTTTCTTCCTTTTTAAGGCTGACTATTCTATTGTATGTAGGGACCACATTTTGCTTACCCATTCATCTGTTGATGGACATCTGGGTTGCTTCTGTGTTTTAGCTATTGTGAATAATGCTGCTATGAACATGGGTATACAAACATCTCTTCAAGACCCTGCTTTCAGTTCTTCTGGGCATATGCCCAGAAGTGAAATTGCTGGGTCACATGGCAATTCTATGTTTAATTTTTTGAGGAGCTGCCATACTGTTCTCCACAGCAGCTGCACCATTTCACATTCCTACCAACAGCGCACAGGGGTTCCAAGTTCTCTACATCCTCACCAACACTTGTCATTTTGGGGTTTTTTTGCCAGTAGTCATCCTCATGGGTGTGAGGTGGGCCACGTCTTATATTTTTTGCATCACGCAGTAGAGCCAAGCTCAGAGGAAATGAACAATACTGGCATAGGTGGGCAGTGTCCCCAGGGCTAGAGCAGCACTCACATGCAGAGGCATGTGCCCTGGCAGTGGGATGGGGTGTCCTGTCCAGGGCAAGGCTGCACACATCTATAAGATTCACAGGCCCAGGCAGATCAAACCCACTCAGGCCTGGCCGCTCATACACAATCTTCTTTCTGAAGGGAGCAAGCAGTGTGTTCACTCTTCATTCCACTGAGTCCACTGGGAAAACAGAAACCACTCTAGGCCTTTCAAGCAGAGGGATTTAAACGAGGGATTTGGTTGTACAGGTAACAGAAGAGGTAGAGCAACCCAGATTAGCAACAGCAGGAAGTTGTCCCCTTCCTGGGGCTGGAAGGAGGCAACGTCTCTAGGAGCCTCGATGCTGAGGCCATCAGACAGAAACTGGAGCCACCACAGGCCCCCCACAGGGAGCTGCACAGCAGGACAGGGCTGATCAGCAGAAGCCAGAGGAGACACAGATACTGCAGGGACATGGCCTGAAACAGACAGAGGGAAGAAATATATCCTGGCTTTTCCCCTCCTCCCACGATCCACCTTCTTCCAGTGCCTCCTCTGATTGGCTGAACCAATCTAGAAGCCAGAAGGTAAGGGAGCCTGGGAAATGCAGCTCCCAGCAACACCAGGCAGGGCAGGGAACAGGAGACAGATCTGGAGCCACCGGCAAGTGATCGGCCCACTCATTCATCCTTTCGCTCCCTCATCTGTTCGGTCAACATTTATTGAGCACCCAGGTGCTGGGGACATGATAACAAACAAGAATTCTGGGTCCTGTCCTCACCAAGCTTAAGGCCAGCAGTTCCTGGACTGTATCCCTCACTGCCCATCCCTGTTGGCCAGGGGCACCCTCTCACCTAGCCTGGGGGCAAGGGCTGCTGCAAAGCTTCCGGGGGCCCCTGGGAAGCTCCCAGTGTACAGAGAAGATGGAGCTGGGCTGTGCTCAGGCTGTGGATGTGGTGGAGCAAGGAGCCCAGCCGGCTCTGCCTCCTCCTCAGCTGAAAGCCCAGCTCGGAACACAATGTCTCCAAAAAGAGAAAAAAACCCTTAAATCCCACTGTTTGTCTTTGGAGCCTGGGAAGCGAGGATCTAGTGAACATAAAACGTGCGGGCTGCTCAGAAGTTGCCTTTGAAACCTCCCCAGGCCGGCTTTGTCAAGGAGCAGCATTGCCTTTCAAAGCTGCTGGGCTCCAATCTGCCCTCTCCCCTCTCCCCGCTTAACCGTAGCAGGCAGCGGCTAATCAGTGGGAGATGTTAAACGCTCCCTAATTCACAGAAGTCCCCAGGCTTCTGGGGAACTGGTAGCAGGGCCGGTGAGCTGGGTGCCTCCATTCCTGCTCGCCCCACCTCACGCCAGCCTCACCTCAGCCCGGTCCCCTCTGAAGGCTTCTCCTCTACGTGAAGCTCACCCCTCCTCCCTCATGCTGGCCTGTGCTCAACCCACCTCTGCTTCCCAAAGTTGTGTCCTCTCCTGGAATCTGCCTCTTCCAAGGAGACCTCCCAGACATAACACACAAATGATGACCAGCCACACCCTGGGTCTCTGCCCTCAACCTGGCTTTTCTCCACATCCCTTCCCATGTGTCCAGGCCCAGGGGTCCCTCGCTGGTCACCACTCGGCATAGCCTCCCTGAGGGAAAAGGTCTCCCCCTTACCCACAGATGAAGTGAGCGAGTGCCCCTGGCCAAGGGGATGGGCAGTGCTGGGCTTTAAGCTTGGCGAGGACGGGACCCAGAATTCTTGTCATTTTCTCCCCAGCACCTGGGTGCTCCAGAAATGTAATGAATGAGTGAGGGAGTGAAAGGTTGAACAAGCGTGCTGATCATCTGCTGTGGCTCCCAGATCCACTGCCTGCTGTTCCCTGTCCTGTTTTGTGCATTTCCCAGGCTCTCTTACCTTCTGGCTTCTGGATCCCTGATCCCTGAGTATTTACGCCAGCTAAGGGGAAGGACAAGTGAAAAAATCCATGGCTTCACCACAAAGACATCCACAGATAGGCAGTCTGGCCCAGAGTCATAACCTGACAGTGACGTACTTTCTGTGACCTTGGGTAAGGCACACCTCTCTCTGGGCTTCAACTCCTCATCTGTAAGGCAAGGGGGTTGTACTAGACCAACAGTTCTCAAACTGGGGTGTGCGTCTGAGTAACCCAGAGAGCCTCTTGAACATGAGTCACTGGGCCTACCCCCAGATTATTGACTCGGCAAAACCTAAGAATCTGCATTTTGAAGATGTCTTCAGGTGATGCTGATGCTTCTGGTCTCGGGGACCACACCAGGAACCAGTGGGCTGGCTGGCTGGATTTTAAGCCTCATTTGTCAGAGTTAAAAAGGGCTGCAGGATGCTTGCTCACTCAGGGGCATGCAGAAGTGGTCATGGGGGTGAGGGTGCTGGGCAGAGCTCCCACCCACCTTAACGCAGGCATTTTGGCTTTAATCAGTTTTGTTTGTTTGCATGTCCAGGTAAGCATGGTCAGAGCCGACGTTCCACACATGAAGTGAAATGTTTGGAAACCTGCTGACTAGGCTAGGAGTCAGGGTGGTCCCTTCGAGCGCTGACATTTCAGGGTCCCATGATCACTCCACACCCCTCCTGGGCTGTTCCTACTTCCCTTTTCTTTCTCACAGCCAAGAAGGGGGTGCAGCAAGAGCAAGACTCAGGATTCGGGTCTTTAATCTTAGGGGAGGGGGTGTGGGGACGGATGGAGAGGTGGGTCATTGTCCTAGGTCACTGTCATCAGTAGGCACATTTCAATCCAGAGATGTGCCATAGAGTGTAGTGGAGTGAGCACACACTGCAGGCAGCCCCCATCCTGAGAAGGAGGCGAGGTCCCACCTGAGTTGGGGAAGTTCCTGGAAAACCCAGAGTAGCTAAAGCTGCATCTGCATGTGCATGTGTGTGTCCGCATGTCTGCACATCTGTGGTCTGTATAAACAAATAAGTCACAGAGAGGGAGATTTTGATTGGAATGATCAGGGTGCAGCTAGACTCTAAATAAAGTAGAAGTCTCCTAGATGCTCAAAATTTAAACTAAAGACCTTTAATTCCAAACTGATACATCTGATGAAGAAACTGAGGTTCCTCTGGAGCAAGAACCAGGGTTTCTGACTCCTGGGTGCAGGCTCTGGCCCCCTGATCTAGATGGATGTCAAAGCCTCTCCCACGTACCAGAATGACATCAGCTGAAATCAATGGATCATGGCAAATGGACAAAAATTTTCACAGAAAAGAATCCAAGGCAAACTAATCCCTTTCCAGCCCTGCTTGTCCCCACCCACGTAGCCATTCCCTGGCCAGCTGCTCCTACGGCTGCCACTTCCAGGAGGGGGCCTGCCCAGCTCTGTACCCAGCTGGGAGAGCCTGCATGGAGGCTGGGAAGGGGACCCAAAAGGCTACACAGACTGAGAGGTCAGTAGCAGGCCTGGTAGAGCCCCCTCAACAGTCAGAGCTCACAGGAAGGCAGAGGGCACTAGGCAGTGGGGAAAGAAACAGAAGAAGAAATAGCCCAGACCCTTTAAAGATCAGTGGGGTTCTCCAGGCCCCAGAGCTGTGCATGGATTGGAGTGAAAGACCAGAAGATAAGCAGCTAAGAAGCAGAGGGAGGGACAGACTGAGGGTTGTGTGTGCATGTGTATGCCTGGGCGTGTGTGTGTGACACACAACAGAGTTATCAGACTATGTACATGTGTTTGTGCAAACCTAAGAGAGGCCAACAGACAGTAGAAAATTATGCAGGCTTAGGAAGAAGAGACACACACGCACACACATACACACACACACACACAAATACACACACACACACACACACACAGAGACTGGATGTGGATAAGGCTGGGAACAGAAGAGCCAAGGGGAGCACCAGGCGGTGAAGGGCTGTAAGAGTGAGCCCGGTGCAGGCCTGTTTTTGTCTGTGATGACAGGCTATGACAGAGGACAACGGAGCATGTCTGTGCATGTGTGCAGTGTGGGTGCATGCCCCAGTAATCTGGAGGGCAAGAAGACCATGGGCACCCTTGCATTCAACAGCCCACAGGACTGGACACCCCCAAAAGCATGCTCCCACACTTCTGGGGCCAGGCTTCCCCACTGTCCCTTTCCTGGGATCTTTTCTAACAGCCCCCCTACCCCCAGCTACTACCCAGGTCCTCTCCTGCCCTTGCCTCCCAGGCTTGCCACCCTGCCCCTCTGCTAGGGAGTTTCCTTCTTCCTCCCCAGGAGTTAATGTCACCAGAATATGACAGTCCCAGCCCTAGGACAATAATCTCTGCTTTGGGGACAATGGATGGCATCCCAGTTGGTACAGCTCCAACCCTAGACCCCAACCCCACCTCACCTGTTTCTGTCTCCAAACAGCGGATCCAGTACAGACCTTGAGTCCTACAATCCTGATATCAAAGTTCACCTCTGCCTCTTATACCACACGACCTTGAGCAAGTTGCTTAGGCCTTCTCAAGCCCCCATTTCTTCTGTTAATGAAGAAGAAGAATAGGGTTCTTGTGAGGATCAAATGAGCTAATGAGTTAACGAATGTGAAGCCCCTGGCATTGTGCCAACCATAAAGTAGGTACTTCCCTTTCTGGTCTCTTTAAGTCATGCTCCAATCGGGTAAGTTTCTGTTAAAAAGTCCCAGGGGCTTCCCAGGTAGCGGCATCTTCTTGAAATCCTGAAGGTCCAGGAATCAAGCAGCTAGGAAGAGAAATGTGGAGGGGGATGCAGAGAAGGAAGCAGGCAGGAAGCAGGCACCGCTGGGGGCCGATATGACAGGAATCAGGGACCAGATGAGTAGACTCACCTCCTCAGTCTCCTCCCGCAGTGACCAAGAAACCCCTGCCCCATCAGCAGCGCCTCCAGGGACACAGGAGGCCTGGGAGGAGGCAGAGGTCAGGAAGGGAATTCAGGGGTTGGTGTGCTCATGCCCGGTCTCCTTGCACTTCCTTAATTCCAAAAAGAGGGAGCCAAGAACCACCCCCAAGTTAGACATATCTGAGGGCACAGTCAGCCCATACTCCTCAGCACCTGACTGGGGAGGAGACGGGAATGGGAAGGAGGCTTTCTCCAAAGGGCTCTTCATGGGCTTCCTTTCCCTGTGCAGATGATCAGGAGCCAGGGGTGTCCTGCTCATCAGCACCATGTGATCTAATGCAGAGGAGCTGCACCATTCACTCCTCCCCAAAACTCATTTGTCAAAAGCGGCATACATTATAAATATGTAATGTGGGCTGGGTGCAGTGGCTCACGCCTGTAATCCCAGCACTTTGGGAGGCTGAGGCGGGTGGATCACTTGAGGTCAGGAGTTCAAGACCAGCCTGGCCAACATGATGAAACCCTGGCTCTACTAAAAATACAAAAATTAGCCAGGTGTGGTGGCATGCACCTGTAATCCCGGTTACTCAGGAGGCTGAGGCAGGAGGATCACTTAAACTCAGGAGGTGGAAGTTGCAGTAAGCCGAGATTGCACCACTGCACTCCAGCCTGGGTGACAGAGTGAGACTCCATCTCAAAATAAATAAATAAATAAAGTGTTTCATTCATTCCTTCATTCCTCTAAGGAGGTAGTAGAGCACAACAGCTAAAAGCATGGACTCTGGAGCCAAACTGTCTGGCTTGAATCCCAGCTCCACCAACTAATGGCTGTGTTGCCTTGGGCAATTTACTTAACCTCTCTGTAGCTCAGTTTCCTCATCTGTAAAATAGCAACTATCAATAGCTGCCTCACAGGAGTATTGCGAGGTGTATATGTGTATGTCCAGTGCTTAGAATAATGGCTGACATGTAATAAAAACTAAGCTTGTGCTAGCTGCTATTGTCACATACTCGGTCATCAAGAAATTATTGAGCACATATGTCAGGGTCGGTTCCAGGCTCCAGATCCCATAATGAGCCATCCAGATGCAGCCTCTGCTCTCATGGAGCTTACAGTTTCATGGGAGAGACAAACTTTCACTAATCCTGTAAAAATGTCCGTATATAACGTGACGAGAGCTACAAAGACCAAGGACGCAGCGCCCTGAGGACCTGTAGGGCACTAACTGAGATTTGCAGGTCAGAGAGGAGCTCTTGGGGGTGACGCATGTCCCTGCCATGTCTGACTATCCTGAGGGTGCCATCAGCGTCAGCAGGCACCCAGTGGGGACAAAGCCCAGCCTGTGCCCTTCACAGGCCTGGCCACAGCATGTGTCTGCTCACACCCTCAGTGTGAGAAGCCCAGGCAGCACCAACGTTCCTAACATGCTACCTGCCACCTGCCACCACCCCACTTCTGGGTCCCAAGGTGGCCTGGGAACAGAACCAGGATTCCTGCTTCGAGTCCTCACATTGTCCAGTCAAGAACAGGCACTCTTCCTGTGGGATTTCCTGGCAAAATTTGGCCACCTTGAAGGTCCCAGCTCCCCCTCAGGAGTCCTACTACCTTCCGTAGAGACTGTCCTCAATCTGATCCCAAGCCAGGAAGATGAAGCAATGGATTGTCCGAGGTGCTTTACTGTTTGCTCAGCAAATGTTTCCAGGTGTCTCATTCTATCACCACAACTTCATGCAGTCACTGTTGTGATTATTATTATTATACCTATTTTACAGGTGAGGAAACAGACTCAGAAAAGATAAGCCACTTTCCCAAGGTCACAGAGCTTTTAAGTAGAACAGCTAGCACTCCAACCCAGGTCTGCTTGATTATGATCTTTGAAATAACATGAGTGACTATAATAATAGACAATCCTTCTATAGCACTTTCTACATGACAGGTATCAGCCTATAAACTTTATATATTTAAATCATTTAATCCTCATAATAAACCTATGAGGTAGATGCTATTGTTATTCTCATTTTACAGGTGAGGAAACTGAGGCACGGAGAGGCTAAGCCACCTGCCCAAGGCCAGTTAGATGGGGCATAAGGCAGAGTCACCATGAGGAGAGTCAGAGAATGGTGGCGCTGGGAACGGCCTTAGCAGCCCTCAGTCAGAGGCCCAGGGGGAGGACGGGACAGACTTGAGGCTGTGGTGGAGCAACCCTGCAACCCTGCACCCCTGGTGGCGCCTGCTGCTCCACAGGCTGCCTCTCTGACCCATCTGTCTCCAAGGATGCAGGGGTCTAGGTTGCCCTTGGAGTCTGCCCTTCCCTCCCCCTTCAGTTTGCCCACACTAGTGAGGGCAGGGCACTGCCTTGTCCCACTCCGTATCTCTTCTTCACCCAGCCCTATTGCCCCCATCAAGAGACACCCCTCGGCTGTGGAGTCAGGTATGGCCGAGTCCAAGGCTGCCCCACCCACAGTGATGGAAGAGGTGAAGGAGAAGGGTCAGCTCATGGCCAGCTCAGAGGCCTCAGGAAGGGTGGTGGAGAGCAGCAGAGGAGCCCCTCCACTCGGGTCTCTCTCTCCAGGTGACCTTGACCCAGCACAGTGGGCCTATCCTAAAAAAACGGGCCCCAGAGGGGGGCAAAGGGTGCCCTTGCAATATCATAGCTTCCACCCAGAGAAGGATACAGACCACGACTCTTCCTTGTCCCAGATACCCCACTTCCTCTCCCACCTCCACCTACTCCAGAGACACCTCTGCCCTTCTCAGAGCCAGTCCCTCTCCCAGGAGCACAGGCCCTTCTCTGTCCTTCTCACCACAGCTTAGGAAAGGGCATGGGGTGAAGGACACAGGCAAGAGGCAAGGATTAAAGGCAGCAAAGTACTTGGGAAACTAGAGAATTCCTCTAGCTTTTGCCTTTAGCCAATGGCACCATCCTGGTGCCGCCACCTGAAACCCATGGGGTCTCCACCACTTTGGCCTGCATGCTTTCCACAAGCTGAGCCACCTCTTCCCTAGGGGGCAAGGGGAATAAGAGGAAGGTTTGTTCAAGAGCTGCCCCTGGCCAGGAAGTGGAAAGACCCCTCCAGCTGGGCCAGGTGAGGTAGAGCAGAGGGAGAGAACACAGGAGCGGAGGCAGCACGTGCCACAGCCCGTCAAGGTGACCCTGACTGTTTCTCTTTCTCTTGCAGGTCCCCAGACACAGCTCTCCAGAGGTCTAGTGCAGAGGACAGAGCCGATGCACAGACAAAAAGAAACCCTCAGGGCGAGGCTGGGACAGGGCCCCAGGATGGGAAGGCAGGGCGGGAGGCAGGTTGTGGAGGGGCTGTGGGTCCCACCTTCAAGTTGCACTAAAGCACCTTGAGGAGGCCTTGTGCTGAGCTGGCTTGTTTCTGCCTCCCAGCTGGACCACAAAATGGGAGGAAACATCCCATAAAGTTGCCGAACTGCCTCTGTGGCCGGAAGTGCTGCCAGGGGCTGCCGGTTCCCTCTCTAATTGCTCTTAATTTCTATGATTTGCAGGTCTCAGGCTCATGGAGGGCCCATTCCCCATTGTGATGGACGGGCAGGCACAGTCAGCCTGTTGAGTCAGCCCCTGCAGGCTCTGACTTGGCCCGGCTGGGTCCTGCAAGGTATAGGGCACCCACCTCTCTCCTCCTCTTCCTGGGCCCAATCCAGAACCCTGGGCCACAAGCCCCCACTGAAGCTCCGTCCTTTCTCCCGTTTCACCTTTGCAGGAGGGTCCCGCGGCCTTTCACACAATAATAGAATGAGGACAGATGATGCGCTTGGGACCTGGGTTCAGGTTGGAGCTCTGTCATGTACCTCTGGGAGCCCCTCCTAGGGCCTGGCACATAGTAGGTGCTCAATAAATACATGATCCTCCACTGCTCCGCTGACCTACAGGGGACTTGGCCTTATACCATGTGAAATTTGGACATTTCCTTGTGACAGTGACTGAGGTACAACTGTGGAGTCAGGCTGCCTCTATCTGAATCCTGAATATGCTGCTGTCAAAGTAAACTTGGGCAAGTTGCTTAGCTTCTCGGTGCCTCAGTGTCTTTATCTTTAAAATGGGGGTAATAACATTACCCACCTTACATCCATCTTTTGTGTGAAAAACTTCAAGTATGTTGTGGTAGGCAGAATAATGGACCTCAAAGCTGTCAGCACCCTAATCCCTGGGACCTGTGAATACGTTGCCCTGCGTGGCTAAGGGACTTTGTGGATGTGTTTAGAGAATGACCCTTGATATGGAGAGAGGATCCTGGATGCTCTAGGTATCCCCGACCTAATCATATGAGTCCTTAAAACAAAGACCCCATCCTGGCTGGGTTAGAGAGACAGGTGATAACAGAAGAAGCATCTGAGAGAGAGATGCATTATTTGCTGGCTTTGAAAATGGAGTGGGGAGGGGAGTCACAAACCAAGGAAGATGGTGGCCTCCAGAAATCAGAAAAGGCAAGGAAGTGAAATCACCCCTGGAGCCTCCTGAAAGGAACACAGCCCTTCCAACATCTGGATCTTTGTTTGTTTGTTTTTGTTTTTGAGACAGAGTTTCACTCTTGTCGCCCAGGCCGGAGTGCAATGGCACAATCTTGGCTCACTGCAACCTCCGCCTCCCCTCCTGCGTTCAAGCGATTCTCCTGCCTCAGCCTCCCAAGTAGCTGGAATTACAGGTGCCCACCACCACACCCGGCTAATGTTTTGTATTTTTAGTAGAGATGGGGTTTCACGATGTTGGCCAGGCTGGTCTCGAACTCCTGACCTTGTGATCCACCCCCCCCCCCCCCCACCCTTGGCCTCTCAAAGTGCTGGGATTACAGGCGTGAGCCACCGCGCCTGGCCCCAACATCTGGATTGTTAGCCCAGTGAGACTTGTGTCAGACTCCTAACCTACCACAGAGCTACACGATAATACATTTGTGTTGCTTTATGCCATAAGTTCAATGTTTAAAGTTTGTGATAATTTGTTACAGCAACTACAGAAAACGAATACATATGTGTAAGCACTTAGAGCGGTGTCTCTGGCACACAGTAAGAGCTCAAGAAATGCCAGCTTTCTGTTATTATTATTATAGCACTGCAGTCACACAGGGGAGAGGACATGCTGTTGCTCCACTCCAGGGCAGCTCCTCCCTGGTGTGAGCTCCTCAGAGCCCACAGCTTGCTTCGCTGGGTACTGGAGACCGACGGCAAGACCAGGGGGTAGGGACATCCTCAAAACAACACGTCACTCAGCACAGCCACTGTGTGGGCATCGGACAGATGATCAGACTCCTGCCGTCCCTTTCTTCTAAAGAACAGGAGTGTGGGCACCCTGGAAGAAAGCAGTGGGAGTACCTGGCATAGGCATGATGACATTCCTACAGCTGTCAGTGCAGAGAGGACAGCCCCAGGGCTTAATTGCACCCTACCCCATCCTCACACAACTGGGACTACCAAGGAGACAGAGTGGCCGGGGCAGGCTTGGCCATTTAAATGGTTTGCCATCCAAACGTTGTGCCAGCTGGACTATGGGGGGATGAGCAAGGCCTACAGTAGGAAGGACTTCGAGTCAGACAGAAGGAACGTGGGATTCCTCAGAAGATCCAAGAGAATGGGAAGGGCTGCTTCTGAACAGCGGCGGGCTGGCAGTGGGGCCAGGCAGACAAAACGGTCTCCAGAGGTCCAGTCCTTGATGGGTTGTGGGTCCCCCACACAGAGCAAGCCCCTCCCAATGCCCACTCCTACAGTCCCCTCACTCTGCCACCCCCCGACCAAGGGAAAGGGAGGCTTTGCTCCCACAGAACCTCCAGCCTGCCCACCTCCCCTTCATCCTTGCAGAAGCCTTTCGTCCCGAGTTTTCCTCCTCAGTGGCTCCCACATCCTCCCTGGCTACTGGGGGTCCTCAGAAATCTGTCCCCAACAGATCTTCTACCTCTGAAGGGCCAGCGAGGCCCAGTTTTGTGACTCCTCATAGTCCTTGGTCCTAGGGTAAGAGCCTTCGCCTCAGACCAGACTGAGCCCAACACAGAAACCAGACTGTCTGCAATACCCACAGACCCTGCCCCAGGAGACAAGGGCCACTGGCATTAGACCTGTGCACAAAAGCTCCCTTCGATGGCAAGTTCCCTGAGGGCAGGGTCCATGCCTCTCTAGTAGGCCCACGGTAGTAAGGCAACACCCACTACAGAGCCTGCAGCCTCTCAGAGAGGGCCCTGGAGAAAACCTAACCCCTTGCCATTTCTCCCAAGAGGGGAACTTGGCAGAAGGAGCCACTCCAAAGAGGCCACTGCTTACACCACAGGAGTGAGCAAGGCTGGGGGGCAGGAGAACCACCACTCCCAGGGGTACCCTGAACGCAGCTAAAGGGGCCACTGTCAGCATGAACCCGCCCTTCTCACCACCAACCTCCCTTGACACATTCCCACTGCTCTCTGCCCCACCTCCACGTTCACCAACCACAGCACTTCTCCCTGATCCTCCCTCCATAGCCCTTATCCTCCATCCCCGAACTCACAATCTCACTTTCTGCTAAAGAAACTCCCCTTCCCATCTCCACCTCAACTCCAACTCTAATCATAGGACCACTGCTAGTCCCTGTGATAACTTTGTGCAAATTAGAAAAGATGCCTCTTTCTCCAGGTGGATGCAGGCCTGATGAGAAAAGCATAGGCTGGATTTCAGCCCCCAACTCTTTCTTGGCCAGGTGTCCCTGCACAGTGCACAACCTAGCCACCTGCACACAGCAGCCCCGTTTGACAGACTCAGGGAGTGCACCCACTGAAGGGCCTTGATAGACAGCCCAGCCATGGAGACCCAGGAGAGTGGGCTAATTTATCCATGGTATCATGGCAAGCTGGTGGCACAGTCAAGGTTGAAGATCCAGGTATAATGACTCCCAATCCAGTGCTCATTCCCTCTCCCCACTCCACCTATGTCTCACTCTTGGGAACAAATGGCAAAGCCAAGACAGCAGAACCCATGAAAGCAGCGCCTGGGGAAGCCTTCTTGCACTAATTAGAAGAGAAATGATAACCTCATCTCAAGCTCTGTCTAGACATAAAATTGAACATAAAACTTTCTGAACCGTGTACCACCTAACCCTTGGCTGGTGTGGAATGTAAATACAGATCTTCCCTATTTATTACCCATCTACCAACCACATTAATCTCATGCTACTTCATTGTGAGTATGGCCCGTATGTCTGTCTAGGCCAATGTATCTGCTTGGCCTGGAAGCACCCAGATGGAGTTTCCAGCTTGCAAGGAACCCCTGAACACACTAGTGCTGAGAAGATGGCTTTTAATTCAGATGAAGGTGAGGGCAGTGGTGATGAAGAAGAAAGGGGATGGGAGGGGAAGGAAAAGGTGGGGAGGAGGAAGAAGAAAGGCAATTCCTGATGTCTTAATTTCATATCCAGTCTTCCCAGTTGCCTCTAACACCAGTGAGCTCTGCTTCCCAGAAATGGTGGTGAAGATACACACTCATGCCTGAGCATTCTTACTTGCTCTCTCTGTGTCTTTCTCTCTCTCTCTCTCTCTCTCTCTCTCTCTCTCTCTCTCTCTCTCTCTCTCTCTCTCTCTCTCTCTCTCTCTCTCTCTCTCTCTCTCTCTCTCTCTCTCTCTCTCTCGCTCTCTCTCTCTCTCTCTCTCTCTCTCTCTCGGCAGTGCCTGCAATATAATGTGGTGATTAAACTCAGGCAGAGCCAGGCTTCCTGATTGTATAACAGGCGTTGCCACCTCCTCGCTGTGGGACTTCAGACAAGTGTCTTAACTTCTCTGTGCCTCGGTTTTCTTTTCAACACAATGGGGATAACAACAAACATGACCTCATAGAGTTTCATGAAGATTATGAGAGTCAAGATACGTAAAGCACTTAGTACAGTGCCTGGCTAAGGAGGTATTCTGTAAGCATGAGCTGTAACTATCTTAGGGTGCTGTGTTTTTGGCATCTTGTCCTGGTCCCGTTTTCATGCAGATGGGATAGGGGGTGGGGAATTGTCCAGGTTGCTGGCACAGTTTCCAGCTCAGTATTCCAGCAGTCAGCAGAGATGGGCTGCCTGGGGAAGAAGTGAGCTTCCAGTCACTGGGAGTGATCAAGCAGAATCCAGATGAGCATTTGGCATGGATATGGCAGAACAGGTGAGGGAGGAGGGGGAAGGCCTCTTCCAAAGTCCCTTCCAACCCTGAGAGCCTGGGAATGTGTGAGTAAACCCACATCTCCAGGCACCTGCATGGACGGAGCCTTGCCCACAAATAAGGATGCATGTACAGGGGCACACTCTCTGCCCTGGCATTGAGGAGCAAGAAGAAGTGTTATAAACCAAGCAAACCAGCACCCCCACCCATGCTCTCCCCGGCCCCCAGCCAATTCCTGTGTGCATACAGGCATCCAGGTGGCGAGCGGGAGCTTTGAGGGAGGTACCAAGTAGATATCACTCCTAGCTCTCTTTTAACGGGTACCAACTGCCAGCCACACCCCACCCACCACAGGCCAGCTACGAGGCAGGGCTGGGGGCAGGAGCCAGGAACGGGTTAGATAGTAGGGTGTTCGTTCTACTTCTGATGTGCGTGGACTGATAGGGAACCTAGGAAAGTCCTGGCCTCCAAAGATCAGGGTGCCCAGAATTCAGGTGTTGTGGGAGGGAAGGCCTTTGCCCATCACGGAGGGAATCAAGCAGGCGTTTGTAGAAGGGCCGGGCACCCCACCTCCAGCAAAGGCTCAAATTCAGCTCCACCTTCAGGTCCAAGCAGCTTCCTTTTAGGGGTAGGATAAGAAGAGAGATTGCGAAAATCCTTGCTGCCTAAACTCTCCTGCCCTGGCCTTCTCCTCTCCTCGCCGCACCGCGCACAGTTTCCAGCCCTCCTTCCGCTGGGAGCCGCGCCCCCATTAGCCATTCCGCGCTGATAAGCCCGCGCTGCCCTGCCGCACACTCAGACCCTCCCTCAGCCCGTGATGCATTACTGCATATGATTTGTCTTTGCAGCAGCTGCCACAGCAGTTCTTCCTTCCTAACAATATTGGCTTCGCCTGGTGTTAAAAAGGGGCCGTAAGTGCCACCGAACATCTTTGCTGGGGAGAGGAGACCGCACACTGGGGGGATGGGGAGGCGGGCCCGCCCCGAATGAGCCATTTGCTGCGGATTCATCCAAAGGCCGATGATCCACTGGCAAAAATTAGGCAGGGGGTGGGGCGAGGGGTTGGGGAGGAGACAAGAGCTAGTAGGGGGCGAAGAGACGACATCCGGGAGGCGGGGCTTTCCCCCCAGGCCGGCGCGCCCAGCCCCACGCCCCCTCGCACCCCTGCCCACCCACCCCCGGGCCCTGCGGAGTGTCAGGCGCGGCAGGAGGCGGGGTGTACCTGTGTGTGCCTCTGTGTGTGCATGTGCGTGTGCGCGTGCCTCTGTATATGTGTGCGTGTACCTCTGTGTGTACCTGTGTGTGCGCGTGTGCCTGTGTGTGCCTCTGTGTGTGTGTGCGCGTGTGCATGTGTGTGTGCCTCTGTGTGTGTGTGCGCGTGTGCCTGTGTGTGCCTCTGTGTGTGTGTGTGCGCCTCTGTGTGTGCCTCTGTGCGTGTGTGTGCCTCTGTGTGTGTGTGCCTCTGTATATGTGTGCTTGTGCTTCTGGGTGTGTGCACCTCTGTGTGTGCGCATGTGTGTGCCTCTGGGTGTGTGTGCCTGTATGCCTCTGTGTGTGTATGCCTGTGTGTGCCTCTGTGTGTGTGTGTGCCTCTGTGTGTGTGTGCCTGTGTGTGCCTCTGTGTGTGTGTGCCTGTGTGTGCGTGTGCCTCTGTGTGTGCGTGTGTGCCTCTGTGTGTGTGTATGCCTCTGTGTGCGCGCGTGTGTGTGCGTGCGTGTCCCCACCAGCCTTCCTACCACAACCCGGCCGCTCTTCCCAATCAATGGTCTCTTTGTGGCGGAGGGACTGGAACGACGTGTGCGGGGGAGGGTGGGAGGCTGCCTCCTGGGCACCCGGCGCGCCCGACCCGAGCTGACAGCCGTGGGGCAGGGCTCCCCGTACCCCAGTAAAAGTACGTTCCCCCGAGTGTCTCTACCCTCTGTGGACCTAGAGAATGGGGCCGACAGAGGCGGTGGCTGGAGCCTCCCGGACTCTGCGCTATGGGGCGGTTGCAGGTCCCACACGGGGAAGGACAGGGACGCTCTCTCCGCGGCCCACGACCGCTAGGTGGCGCCGTGCCCGTCCCGCCTCCAGGAGGCCCCGCAGGGTCCCAGGCGCCCAGGGTACCTGGAGGCGAGGTGGGGAGGCGGAGAGGAGGTGGGGGCAGCATTCCCGCAGTCTCATTCATTCGTGCATTTGTCCATGCCCACTAAATTGGACAGTCGGACAGAGGGACAGGTGCACATCCTTCTCTTGAAGGTCTAAATGCCCAAACCTCAGAGAGACTAGAGAGATACCCCACAGGAAAAGTGAATCCAAGGTCATCTATGGCAAAGGCCAAGCGAGAGGTATACCCGGTGCGCTAAGTTCAGAAACAACCGTGGAATTCGACAGCACAGAACCCCGAGATGGGTTATCTTGACCATTCTGCGCCAGACCAATCAGATGGGGGAGAGTCATTCATTCCCGCCAGTGCCAGGCCCTGGGCTGGACTTCAGACACTCAATTGTGACCTGTCCTCAGGGAGTTTATGGACTAGTGGGGGAAAGACATCAGGCAGATAACTACACAAATAATTCCCTAGCTACAGCTGTCTTGCACGTGCACAGGTGTAGAAAAAGGGGAGAAGAGTCAACCCTCGCCCTGGGTTACCTGCTCCAGCCCTAACTAGGGTTGGAAGTAGGGGTGTTTGCCTTATGAAGAACATAAATCACTTCCTCTTAGTTCAAAATTGAAATAAAAGCAGTAGTCTAACATCTGAGGCACAGTCAAGGCAAGACTGACCATTTTTCGGGGGTAAACTGGGGACCACAGGAAAAGAGCCTGGAGACAAAGCGCTTAATTCTATGTGCGGGGCATGGTGCATGGTTACTCCTTTAATCTTCGGTCCACCCTGTGGAGCGGATGTTAAGCCTACTTTACAGAGCAGGACATTGAGGCCCAGGGAAGTAAGAGACTGGCCCAGAGTGCCAAGAGCCAGTTTATGACAGAGCTGGGACTGGACCCCATAACCGCCTCAGGCCCAAGTCCCATACCTCTTCTGCTATAACAGCCTGCCTCTAGGACCACGTCTGGATGCCCTGCTAGGGCCAGAGCAGTAGGGTGGAGGGAGATCAGAAAGAGAAAGGGGCTGGGCAGGTGAAGAAGCCTCCAGATTGGGGCCCTCATCACCACTCCCAGCTCATCACAGCCAGCCCTTTCTCTGCATCTCCTGACCAAAGCACCACCCGCTTAACATTCTGCTCAGTTTCCTCTGTACTCCGACTCCAAATGTTTATCAACACATGCTGTAATGTAATCAGCTCCTGGGAAAATACACACCAGGTAATGGATGCTGATAAGAGTGTCAAACAGATGTCCCCTCCCTGCCCCTCCCTCCCAGCCAGAGCTGGCACACCCAGGAGGCTGGGGAGGCATCTCTTGCCACACCACCCCTCCAGCCCTGGCAGCCGAGGCATTCCTCCAGAAGCTGCCCAGGCAGGCAACAGGGCCTGACCCTGTGGGGCCCAGCATTGTACCAGGCATTGTGCCGTGGACTTTACACACCTCACAGTAGCACTATAAGTTTGGTGTTACTATTCCCATTTTGCAGATAGAGAAACTAAGCCACAAAATAATGATGAAACCAGAGTGAAGCAGCAGCATCAGAAGTAGATTAAGGGGCCATCACTCCACTTCTCCATTCATCATCAGGCAACCTCCCCACTGAACATGGCCCTTTGAAGGAAGCTGCCCTCATTACCTTTCTAAGTTGTTGGATCTAAGGCCCCAGCCTGTATGGACTTGGCAAGTCAGGTGGAGGAAGGCTTGCAACATGTTCCTCATTTCTGGCCCAGCCAGGTAGGAGACAGGGTCCTGAACCTGTCCTGAAGGCTCAAGCAGAAGAGGGAGGCTCCCACTAGGCATGTGGGAGTAGAAGGGGATCCAAGGGAAAGGGAGAGCCTTCTTTGTCCTTTTCTCCTCCCTTTTCCTCAAGGGGCTTAAGGACCCACACGTGGACCTAGACAGAGGGGAGAGAAAGTGCACAGAGTTGAGGACAGCCCTGATGGAACAGGATCCCCCCACCCTCAGGACCTTCCAGGACCAGCTGTCTGAGGCTGGGCAGTCCTAAAGGAAATCGGTATTTGCTTTTCCCTCCAACGCAGTCAATTGCTCCTTTCATCTGGCAGGGAGTTGTAAATGAGAATTTATGGGATTTCTAATGATGGCGGTTTCCCTTTATCAGCCTCCAATTCCCACTTCTCAGCTGGGGTTGACTCAGGGAAATGTTTTGACCAGGAATCAAGAATCTAGCAGGCCCCTGCCCTGGCTGCTGCTTTCTGTAGTGAGGGCTGGAAGTTGTCAAATAGGCATGGGAAGCTCACTACCAAGAAGTCAGATCTGAGTTTCAGGCCGCCTCCCAGATGGCGAACTTCACCCCTCTAGCTTCTGTTTCTTCAACCATAAACCTGGGGTAATAATGCCTGCTCCACCCACCCGTCTCACAGGGCTGCTGCGAGGATCAAATGAGATTACAGGCCTGAAAGCCCTTTGAAAAATATGAAGCAATCATCCACCCTGGTTTTGCTATTATTATTATTGCGGTGGTGATTGTGTGTAGGTGCAAATGGGAAAACACATTATGGCAACCTGCACGTCTTTGAGAGTGAGCTTGTTTGTGTACACGGAAGTGTATGTGTCAGTTTGCGGAAGAGTCGAGCTCTTGTGTGTGCACCTGGGTTTAAAAGAATGTATGGGGCAATGTGTGTGCATCTATGAGTGTATCAGTACATGTGCACATATTAAAGTGTCTTAATATAATAATAGCATATTAAAATAGAATATAATGGTCCTATGGGCCAGGCATTGTGCTAGACACTTGATATGGATGCTCCTTTTTAATTCTTGTAATGTGTTTGTAAAGGCATGAGAAGGGGTCTGGGCCAGTGTAGGTGTGCGGGCATCTATGTGAGGCTGTGTATACAGCATTTGTGACATCCATGTGTCAGTGGTGAAAGGGCATGTCTCTGATGAAGGTAATGGCATGTAAACTAATACAATGCCTATTCATCTCATCCAGGTAGCAGGGAATCTCTCCATGTGCTCGCCTGAGTTTCAATGAAAGGATGGGCATAAATGTCAGTGAATCTGAATGTGTGTGCGCATGCATGTGTGTGCATTCACATGCATAGGGGTGCACACCTGCCTTCCTGTTCCTAGGCCGATTAGTATAATTGTTTGTTAATCATCAGCTGCCTGGGCTGTGTGAGCCCCCGGCATGCCCTGAGCGCCATTGCCACGCAGCCATCAAACCCACACAGACACACTGTGGTGACAGCAGCATGCTTGGGAGGGAGTGCCACTCTGCTCTCTGGAGTCACAGTCTGTGCCAGGCAGCAGACCCCTGCCAGGGGAATGTCCAGATTGACTACACCAGGTTTGGAGCTGCAGAAGTGCTCCACAGATGGGCTAGGCTCAGAGCCTTAGAGCAAGACAGACAGAGCCCAGAGGACCTGGGCCTAACAGGCAAACCAGAGCCTGGACCAGGAATGCCATCTGAGCACAATACGGGTTGGGGCTGCTGAGTGGCCAGGTATAAAACACGCTTGCTGGGCTACAGCCCTACCATGCACGGCTCCCTGTGACCCTCAGGATGAAGTCCAAACTCCATAATGCAGCACAAAGGCCCTCATGACATGGGCACGTGACTCCCCAGGCCCCTCTCTAACACTCACCTCTTGCACCGCACCAGCCAGACTGAATGAACTACTCTCAGTCCTTCGGAGCACCCAGCCTCTGGGCCTTCTTGCTGTCTTCTCCTGTGCCTGATTTCTCTACAACATGACATCCCTGGCCAGCCAGTCCTCATCCCTCAAGGGAGCTCTACTCATCTCTGCAGGAACATGCCCTGACCCTTCCTGACCCCCTAGACTAGGGAAGGGTCCCTGCACACCTGACATTCCTGAAGTCCCTAGCTTTCCCTGCTGTCCACTTCCTTATGGATCCTTGCCTCCCCCATTAGACTTTGGTCCCAGGAAGGAAGACAGCATGTTGCAGCCATTCACGGAATATCCAAATGCCTAGCACAGATCTGATTGTAGGTGGTCCATACACATTTCTTGAACGAATTATTGTTAAAAGCCAGTTGTGAGAGACCAGTTGTCTTAAGCTCTCCATATACAAATCATGATACCCATCCAGACAGGCTCTTGGTCTCTCAGATCTCAAGGCTGGGGAGAAGCACCCCTTTCCCCACTCTCTTCCTCCATCCCACCCCACCAATGATAATCATCATCCCCAACAGGTATGAAGATGGCATACAAAATGCCTTTACAAAGATCCTGGGAGTCGTCAGTGTCATCTTACAAGTGAGGAGACTGAGGCTGACAGAGGTATTAATAGCTTATTAATAGGGTGACCAACTTGTCCCACTTTGCCTAGGACCTTCCCAATTTTAGCACTGAAAGTCCCGTGTCCTGGGAACCACCCCCTCCTCAGCCCCAGGTAAACTCCAGGTTTCACGGTTAGTAAATGGCAGGTCCAGGACTCAAACCTAACTCCAGAACACAGCATCCTCTCCCTTGGCTGCCTCCTTGGTAGCATGTGGTCTCATGTTCCTCAGAATTCAGTTACCTGCATGGGCATTTTCTGCCCTCTGGATGTCACCTGCAGGCCACTTGGCAGCCTCCTGGATCACCTCTTTCTGGAAACATGTACTCAGGATGTACAGGGCATTAATATTAACCTAAATCAAATATAATTTGAAAGCTCATTTCTTCAGGAAAAGCACTTTACATAATAGAGAAATAAAATTAAATCTATTATTAAAGTAGCCTCATAATGATATTAAAGTAAATTTTAAATAAAATAAAAACTCTTCACCCACAAATTATTTTCATTTCTCCATGTCACCTTCACATTTTTCTCTTTATAAGTGTATATTTTTACAGAATTATAATGCAGTCTATGGATAATACTTGTTCTTTTCACTTCATATTATAGAAGGGTCTGGGTTGGACTTTCCTCATTTGGGGTTCTCCATGTCATTAGCATCAGTCATTAGCCCAGATCACAGGGAGTCTGGGCTCAGGGCTGCCTCCTTCCCAAAGCACTCCTTCTTCAGCAGGGATTCCTAACTCAAGGCCCCAGCTGGGCTTCAGCAGGTTGCCATGCAAACACTGTCCTTGTGCGTATGTGCAGTTTTCAGGGACACAGCGCTCATCAGATCCCGAAAAGGTCTGAGACCAAAGAGTCAAGACCCACAGCTCCACAGCCCGAGCCTTACCTCCCCACTCCCAGGCAGGCATCAACCATGAGCTTTTTCTGCTGGGGTTGGGCTGATCCAGGAACTCTGCTCTTCCCTAACAATACCTTCTATTTCTTGGTTTTCACATAACTTGCAAGAAAAATCTGGTTCCTCTAGACAAGTAGTCCATCCTGATAATTATCCTGACCATAACACCCATCCCTGGATATAAGAGCATCATCAAAGGGAGGAAAGTGTGGGTGGGAGGTTGAGTATCTTCCTTTCTCAAAGCCCTTTTCCCTTTCATCTTTCTACATAAGGCATGCTCCACACAGAAGCTCCACTCCGTCCCTTCCCATCTTCATGACCTAAGCTCTCCGGTCTATGCGGATCCTGGATGAAACCCTCTTCTCAGTATCACCGTTGAGTTTTAAGTGCTCCCATCCCTAATCAGGAGTGCCGCCTCTACTCACAACCAGAATTCTTTAGGATTTGGGACGTCATGATTCACAGAAGTATACTGAGGGCCTTCTGACCAGACACAAGGCATAGAACAATTTCCCTTCTTTCTGGAGAGTTAGATGGTTCAAGATGGAACTTGGGCCTTCCTATCACCTCTCAGAGCTCAGCCCCAAAAGCCATGCAGATCGCTGGGACACCATGGCCCACAAGGGAGAGGCTGGTGTCTGTTAACCATCCTGGCAGCACTTCAACACAGTGGATCATTGGACTGGGGAGTGGGTGCAGCTGTGTGTAGTTGCTCCATCCCCAAGAGCAATGGCAGCCAAGACTCTGCAGTGATCTCCATAGGAATAACAGTAATTAAATGTTGCTAAGCGCTGTGGGATACAGAGGCACCATCATAATCACCACAGCCACCAGCGTGATGACCATAGTAATTAGGTGCTGTGGCTTCCCATCTACCCTGGGAGCACTGCCTGAGGTGAGGTTGGCCTCAGGTTAGGGCAAGAGGGTAGCCATGCCAGCTGGGTCCTCTTTGGGGTTGGCTAAGGCTTCAGCCATACTTTCTTCATGGGATTCCTCCTCCTTTCCTCTCCCCTTGCTCTCAGCCTCAACTGACACCAGGGTAAGGACTGGGGACACAAAAGGGGGTGACCCCCATCCAGCATGCCACTCCAACATATCTTCTCCTATTGACAGATTTCAGGGGATTGGGGAATCTTGGGGAATTCTTAATAGGGCTCCTCTCACATCAAAGTGAACTTTATTAGCCAATTTCTGAATGACACAGAGGGGCCTGGGATATGACCAGGAGGGGAAGTCATTACTGTATTGACTTTGGGCCTTTTCCAAGCCCAACAGCTGCCTCTCTGAAAGAACCTGTGGAAGTCAAGGGAGGGCTCAGAGGAGAGTTTCCTAGGGATGGTACGTTCCCCAGGGCTGATCTCGTCTAGTCTCCCCACCTCATGCCTCCAGTCCTGAGGTGGGTGAGAAAGGTGAGCCCAACTGCCTGCTCTTCAAGTGGGCTGTCATTCCTGCAGTTATCAAGTCTCAGGGCCAGGAGGGAACATGGAACTCATTGCATCCATGCTCCATGCCAGGGCAAGAAGCCCATGCACAGCATGCCTGATGAACGGGCTTGCAGCCTGAGTCTGAAAAGTGACTGGGAGGTCAATCCATTGTCGGTCAACTAAGATCCCTCAACAGTCTTGCCTAGATTAAACTGAAATCTACCTCCCCCAAAAATATGACCATTGGTCCTGACTTTTCCCTATGAAGACACACAGATGATGCTTGCTCCTTTCTCCCTATAGATTTTGGAAGCTTGGTAGTCATACCCCACTTAACACTCCCTTTGGCCTTCTCAATTGTGAAGTCTGAAGCCGCTTTCCAACCTCTCTCTGCAGATAACTTCAGCTCCCACTGTACTGCAATGACCTTATTATAAACTTCCCCCTTCACTACTCCACCCCAAAACTTCCACCTTCACTACTCTCTTCACCTTCCCTCCAGGCTCAGAGAAAGATGGGTCTTCTCCTTTCCAAGGCTGACCCCTTCCCACCCTCAGTGCCCCCCAACCCAGGACTTGCTCCATAAATGACACCCTATTTCACTTCTTACACTTGCTTCTCCACTCCCTCACTGTCCACTAGCTCTTTTCCTTCTGACTACAAGATGCTCAGTAGCTTTTGATTTCCGATGAAAAAGGAGAAAATAAGCCTCTTGGTCTGTCTTGCTAACCCTCTCCGAGCTTCTCATCCACCTTGCTCATTCCGTCCGCCACCAAACTTCTCAAAAGCAGAGAGGATACCTGCTGCCTCTGCTTTTTCACCTTCCAGTTGCTCCTCCTCCCACTTTGATCTGGGTTCAGCCCCTGCCTAGTCACCAACATCCCTCTCTCAAAGGTCACTGGTGGTTTTGCCACTGCTTCCAAAGACCCCTTCTGATCCCCACCTGCTTTCTGCAGCATCAGACACTGTTAGCAACCTCCTCCACCTCCTCTATTAAATCCTCTTCTCACTTGGCTTCCATGACAACCCTCTCTCCTCACTCCCCTCCTCCTTCACTGACCAATCATCATCTGTCCATCCTACCCACGTTGTTGCCAGATTCATCTCCTGAAGCATAGCTCTGACAGTTCCCAATAAGTGCTTCTCTGTTCAGAAACTTTCCATGGCTCCCCACTGCCTGCAAAAATAAATAAATAAATAATGGAGTTGTAAAATCATGCAACTATATGTAATTCATAATATACAATAATCTGTCACGTTTTCAAACCTTTTTAAGCAGCAGAATCTTCAAAATCCATTAAGAGATATCTTTCTCAAAAGCCCAATTTTCAAGCACATGAAAACACATGCTCTTTAAATGTGGCTCCTGTTGAGCCCAGGAAATTCTAGGGTTTCCAAAACACAACTGGAAAACCAGTGAACAAATTAAACTCCTCAGTCTGCAGATGAGAAAACTGAGGTCCAGAGAGGGGAAGTGATTGGCAGAAAGTGGCACAGGATGTGAGTTAATCAACACATTTTCATTACAAGCCTATCAGGTACCAGGCATGTTCTAGGTGCCAGAGATATAGCAGAGAACAACAGCAACATGATCCCTGCCCTGGAGGAGCTGACAGTCTAATGGGGAGTGAATCAGGCACTATAAACCATCACGAAAGTGGTCCCAAGTATGCAAAGTCTATAGCAGGGGATGATTGGAAATCCCAGTGGCTCCTCCTTGAAGCCTCAGAGCAGGGTGAGATGAGGCTGCAGAAGCAGGCATGGGCCCCTTAGGCCTTGTTGAGGACTTGACACTGGTCTAAGAGTCTGGCAGGCCAAGAAATTGTTCCTGGGCATTGCAACTTGACCATCTGCATTTGAAAATAATCCACTACTAAATGTAATGTTGTATCCTGGATTAAATTGTGGAACAAAAAATAGACATTAGTGGGAAAAAACCTGGGGAAATCTGAATAAATTCTGTAGTTCAGTTAATAGTATTATACTAACACTAATTTCTTAGTTTTGATAGATGTACCATGGTTCTATAAGATGTTAACATTCAGGGAAGATGAATGAAGGGCATATGAAAACTCTGTACCATTTTCACAACTCTATTGCAAATCCAAAATTATTTCAAAATAAAGCTTGTAAAATATATATAAACCATTTTCAGGAAGGGGAAAACTGGATGTGGAGAGACAGATGACAATAATAATGATGACTAATACTTAGACAGTTTTTACTGTACACCAGGCATTGTTCCATGCACTTCACATGTTTGGCTCAAGGCTCATTTAATCCTCACAACTTCAAGAGGTAGGTGCTCTTATTTCTCCCTGTTTTACAGAGAAGGTACCTGAGCACAGAGAAGTTAAGTCACTTGCCCAAGGACACATAGCTATTGGGTGTCAGAGCTGGAGTTTAAGAATTCCAATCCAGGCAGATTAGCTCTCCAGAGTTCCATGTGCTGGACTGTTACATTTTACTCCCCATCTCAGTGCAGACTGGCTATACTGTCAGAAAGTATTGTAAAGACCAGGTAGAAATCATGAGTGCATGGACTAGATTAATAACAGGAGAAATGGAGCAATGTCACTAGACTTTATATATATATATATAAAGAATATATATATATAAAGGATATATATATATAAAGGATATATATATATATCTCAGGGGCATATCAGGGGCATATCAATGTCACTAGACTATATATATATATATAAAGGATATATATATATATATATATCTCAGGGGCAGAATCAACAAAATTGGAACATGGTGGTTCAGGAAGAGGTAAGAAGCAAGAGTGACTCCTGGGCTCACAGCTTAAGAGCAGGAACCAAAGCCTGCTTTCCTGCTGCTTGATCCTGTGTTTCTTCCCTGTCACTAAAGGAAACCTTCTGGTCCTTTTGCCTTCTGTTTGCGCCTACCTGTCCCTTTCTCTTATACATCTCTAAAACGCAAAACAAACTGGAATGCCTACTGTCCTAACACAGGTGGCACCTCTCCCACCTCCACGCACCTCCATGTTCTTGTACAAGCTGTTCCTTCCACTTAGGAGTCTCTCTCCTGCCTCTTTTGGTCCAAATCTGATCTGTCCTTCAGGGTCTCAGTTAAATGTCCCCTCCCCCAGCAACCTTCCCTGCTTGTTTAAAGATGATGAGTGAACAACCATACTATATCACTTACTTGCTTCCATCTTCTCCACCCAACCAATCCCCAGGCAGCCACATCTTCCCTGCTGGCCGCACCCTCTTTGGAAGCTCATTTAAGATCAGAGGATCAAAGAAGCCTGACCTAAAGATGGAGAGAGTGCAGCCGGGTACAGTGGCTCATGCCTGTAATCCCAGCACTTTGGGACACCAAGGAGGGCAGGTCACCTGAGGTCAGGAGTTCCAGACCAGCCTGGCCAACATGGAGAAACCCCGTCTCTACTAAAAATACAAAAATTAGCCGGGCGTGGTGGCACACACCTGTAATTCCAGCTACTCGGGAGGCTGAGACAGGAGAAACACTTGAACCTGGGAGACAGAGGTTGCAGTGAGGTGAGATGGCGCCACTGCACTCCAGCCTGGGCAACAGAGCAAGACTCTGTCTCAATGAAATAAAATAAAATAAAATTAAATTAAATTAAAATAAAATAAAATAAAATAAAATAAATAAAATAAAATAAAATAAAATAAAATAAAGATGGAGAGGATGGGA
The DNA here is from genome assembly GCF_000001405.40 of Homo sapiens. Classification (NCBI taxonomy): domain Eukaryota; kingdom Metazoa; phylum Chordata; class Mammalia; order Primates; family Hominidae; genus Homo; species Homo sapiens. The sequence goes on along the minus strand of NC_000011.10, from coordinate 119,731,143 downwards.
GGGTAAGAGCAGGGAACAAGAAGACATTGGTACATCTGGGATTGCCCCTTCAAACCATGCCTTCAGCTCCTGCAGTGTGCCTGGCACAGAGCTAAAGGCCATCACAATGAATTCAATTCAACCCTGGCCCTTAAAGCACTCAGCAGCCAGATGGGAGATTCCCAGCTGCCACAAACTAAATCTGATAGCGTGTTCCCCAGTTTAAAACCCTCCTAGCAGCTACCGGGCATGATTCACGAATCTGCAGACCTCTCCTTTCCTCAAGTCTTAGGCTCAGGCTAAACCAGTCAACCCTTTGTGGGCCCCCTACTCACCTGACTATTGCTTACCTTCATTCCTTTGCTCGTGCTGACCCTCTACCTTAAATCCAGTCTCTTTTATGTCTCTGCCCTCCAGCACTTACCTTGGTCTGATAGATGACTCACCGAGACCCTGTGTTCGCTTCCCTGAAGCCTTTACACCAACCCCACCCCGGGCTAAACTGGGCACTTTTTCTGTGACCCACCAAACCCACACAATCCCATATTAAATATTTGTTTACGACATCCGTTTCTATGTCTGTCTTCCCCCACCCTTCAACTAGATTGAGTTCCTTCAGGACAATGATGATGTCTCTGTATCCCCAAGCCAGGCACTGTGTTTTGACACAAAGAAAGCCCAGGTTACATTTGTTAAATGTAAAAGACCATACAGTGAGTGGGTGAGTGTTCATGACAATGCCAGATCTGACTACTTCCGCGAGAAACCGAGACACTCCAGGGCCGGATTCCAGACAGTGGGAATATGGCGCTGTCTTTGCCCCTTCTCCAGTGAGGAACCAGAATTTACGTGTTATCAGAAACAGCCACTTCCCCTCTGCTCCTGCCCGCCTAGAGGGCTGGGCAAAGGGTAGAGGGAGCAGTGTCCGGCCAGGGTCTGGGGAGAATTCGGCTCTCCTTAGTGGGAAACTCTGTCTGTCTTCCTCCCCCAGGGGGAGGGGATGGGGATAGGAGGACCAGAGTAAGGGGAAGAGGGAAGGCCCGGAGGGCGCAGTCGCCTTGGCAGAAATCCTACCACACCCGGATGTAGTGGGTGGTGAACGGGATGGGGCGGAGAGTCCCTGCCCTGCCAGGGACACTGACTGGACGATCCACTTTCGCGGGAATCCCACAAATCTCTCAAAACTAAGGTCCTGGAAACTGGAGGAGAGCTCGTTTTCAGGCTATGTTTGGGCAAGGGCGGGGCGCGGGGTGCTTCAATTTTTGGAAAAGGAACCCCCGAAGGGAGCAGGGATTAGAAAAGAAACTCTACCAGAAACCTCAGTGGGCCCGTCTCACCCACTCATGCCCACCACTGACTTCTCTGGCAGCTCCCCGTCGCCCCGCGCACCGCTGCCTCTCCGTGGAACGTCCAAGTGGTGCAGAGGAGAGGGATCTCCGGAGACTGGGTTCTGTTGCGAGCTATGCCACGTTCCGTCCCGGGCGGAACTCTTCTTTGGGCCTTTGTTTCCTCGTCTGTGAAATGGGGCCAGGGTGGGAGCAGAGGGCTTGCAGAAGCCCTGCCAGCTCCCACGCTGCTAGCCGGGATTCTCCATCCCGCCCTCTCCTCCACCGCCGCCCCCGGCCCGGTCCTAACTCCACCCCCACCCGCCGCGCCTCGGCGCCGCCGGCCGCTAGGGGTCACTGCCTGCCTTTGTCAGCGGAGGAGGAGGGCAGCCCGCGCTCCAGCCGGCTCCCCAGCTGGAAGGCGGCCGAGGGGTAGCTCCCGAGCGAGGGTCCTGAGCCGGACCCCGCAGCCCGCGCTCGCGATCCGCCTCTGCTTCGGTCGGGAAGGCGCGTGCGCTCGGGCTCCGACCGGGCCCCGGCGGGCGCGCATCGAGGCCAGGAGGGGGTTAACGCTAACCCCTCCCCTCTGGCTGACATCACGGGCGAGCGGGTGAGAGGCTGGAGCTCGGCGAGTGAGAGAAAGAGAGCGAGAGCAGCGAGCGCGGCTCCACATTGTTGCGGATCGCCGGCACCCGGCAGAGCGGCGGCGGCTGGGACGCGCGGCGCCTCCGACCCGTTCTCCTCGCGCCCGGCCGCGCAGCCAGAGCCACCCGGGCCGCCGACCGCCGAGCCCCGCGCCCGCCGCCTGGGCCCCGAGCCTTCTGCGCCGCCCGGGTGCGTCCCGCCACCCTCGGAGGACGGCCGGCCATGGACGCCTGCAAGTTGGAGCCGAGCGGGAGGGTGTGAGCGGGCCGGGGCCAGGAGCCCGCGCCGCGCAACCGGGCAGCCGGGCGCGCCGGGGGTGGGTCCCTCTCCCCAGCCCCGCTCTGCGTGGAAGAAGAGGGCGGGGACCGGCGCCGGGAGGAGAGCGGAGGAGGCGAAGGGGCATGACTCGTGCAACTTGCGGCGGGCATCTGCCGAGCCTCTGAGCCGGCGGCGGCCCGGGGCCCGGACTGCGGCCGCGCGGATCCCACCCAGCCCACCCCGCCCCGGCCGACGGCTGCAGCTGACCTGGATCCTTCGAGCGCCCGCCGACCGCCAGCGATCTTCCCTCATCTTCCGGGCTGGTTTCTGCTGCGCGAGGAGCGCTGCCCTCGCCGCCCCTCTCGCCGGACCCCCGGCCCCCGATGGCTCGGATGGGGCTTGCGGGCGCCGCTGGACGCTGGTGGGGACTCGCTCTCGGCTTGACCGCATTCTTCCTCCCAGGTAAGAGCGCTCACCTCTGCTGTCCCCACCCCCATCCAATGCCTCCCCGGGGCTGGGAGCCGGATGGCGGGCACGACTGGATTGTGGGGAGTGAAAGGAGCCAGAAAAGTTGGGTCACGGCTTGGGTAAAGGGGGTGGGAGGTGGCACGGCGGAGAAAGAGGTTGAGAAGCCGAACCGCCTGCCCTGCAGGGAAGCAGTCAGATGCACGTCTCTATGTAGCATGAAAGCACTTTCTCCGCTCAGTTCTTTACAAAAAATAATAATATGTAATAGCGTTCTGTTTATTTAATAACCAGCTCTCTGCTCGGGAAGCAGTTTGGAAACACTGCGTGTTACATAAATGCAAAATAATCACCGTAATCACCGTCTTGGGGTGGGAGACAACAGCCCCAGGGGGAGGGCGTCAGTCTCGGAGCTGCGGGTTTGGAGTATGGCGGGGGGGCTTCGTCTCTTTCGGCGGCCCCTTTGCCAGACGGCTCAGGACGCTCGGGCCCCCTCCCGCCCCACACCGCCCCACAGCGGGCGCGGAGAGTCGGCTGCTGCGGCAGAGGCGGCTCCTCGCTCACCTGCGGTTCCTTTCCTGGAGGGTGAGGCCGGGGCAGCCTCCTCCCGGCCTGGCGCGGGACCGGGCTCCCCCTCGGAACTCTGCTCCCAGCTCTGGGGGCTCTCCCTGGAGGAGACACCGCGGGCTTCCTGCCATCCAAGTAGCTGCATGACCCACTTTCCCGAGGGTGCCCCGCGTGTCCTTCCTCGAGGTGCGGGCTGCCGGCAGCCGAGGGGTTAACCTCGCGCCCGACCCCGGGGTGGCCCTGGTGGCCCATTCTGACGGGTGGGGTGGGGACGGAGGCTGGGACCAGCCCAGGCATATTGTGCTGGGGAATGAACTGGAAAATGCGTTTAGGAGGCAAATCCGACCGAGTCCCCTCGCCTGGATTTAACCCTTTGTGTCCCTGGGGAAGCTGCCGAGCTCGCCGGCTGACTGGACACCAAGCGTGGGTCAAGGGGTGTGGGGAGTTCCTCCAGCTCTCTGGGTAGAAACCAGAGACGACCTGCAGCTCTAGCAAGATGGGATTTTGGGGAGGGGGGCGGATCTTGACTGGAGCACGTGGTCCCCGCCTTGGGGTGGCAGAATAGGGGGTCAGTGTACAGAGACCATCTCCTCGTGGGGCAGGAATATTAGATCCCGAGTTCCTGCAATGTGCTTTGCCGCAGAATGGCCAGGCAGTTTGTTATCGAGGGAACAGTCTGGCTGCCTAGTTCCGGGGCTAGGGTGCACTCCTGGAAGGCAGAAGCCTGGCCTCATTCCCTTCTATGCCTCTTCTGCTGCCAGCCAGCTCACTACGAGGGCCCCGCCAATCTCACTAAGTGGTGGATGTCTGGGAAGCAGTTTGTGAAAGCCAGTACTGGGGTGCCTCCACCCGTGAAGCCTGGGGTGCTGCCCTGCTCGATGTGGGGGGTGGGGAAAATCCAGGGCTCACAGGTGTCACTGCCCACCCTGCCCCCAGAGGGTGGTCTTGGTGAGAGTGAGAGGTCTTCTCACACTGGATGGCCTGGGAAGCCAGCCAGAGATACAGAAGTTCGGGCTCTAGGACTTGCCTGGCCATGGGGATTTGAGCTTCCAGGAACCCTTCAATTACATATGTCCACATCCGGAACCCAGAGAAACGAGAGCTTCCCAGAGCTCTGGTTGGTCCAGCACACTAGGGGTTAACGTAATCCTGGGATGGACAAAGGGTGGTGGGAAGGGTTGGGAGAAGGGGAAGGAACTCACCCTATTCTCCTTCCTTTTGTTATTCTCTTTCCCCAGCTTTGTGATTCCTTCATGGTTAATTCCTTCATTGGGGGCTAGAGGCCTGCTGTGCTCCACCCACTCAGGAAGTGGGAGCAGGGAGGTGAACTCACCTGGCTCAAGGTGGATACAACCCCTGCCAAAAATCTACATGAAAGGGTGGGATGCAGAGAAAGGAACCAGGGTTGAGAGAGGTACTTAATAAATGCTCTTCCATTGACTGTAATTGACTGATGGGTAGCATCCATGCACCGAAGTTCCCGGACCGCCCAGCTCCTCTGCCCAGTGGCTGGGCTCCTGGTGCCTTCTCTGCTTGCTTGCTCTAGGGTCCACGGGTGCAGGGAGGCAGGTGGATATGGTTGTGCCCAGTCTGACACTTGGATGGAGGCTGGTTGGCCCAGAAGTTGCAAGCCCACACCCTACTTTGCATCACCTGCTGGCTTCCTCCCCATTGCCCGCTATAGCGTCTCTCTAGGGACTTGCCAGTCTGATGCTCTTTTCAGGGTTTTCCTGGGCTGTGACAGGGAACCTGGGTCTGGGGGTTTGAGGAGAGGAAGAGGGAGGGGCCTGGAGTGTGTGTGATTGCCCCCAACTTCAAAACACTCCCAATCTGGCTATTGAAGTGTAAACACAGAAGTATGTTTTCAACAACACAGACTTTACTAAGCAGTGTGGTGAAGCCCCAAAGGCCTCTGTTTCCTGAGATGACAATCCACAGTTTCTTCCTGTTAACTTAGAGGAGAGGGTCAGTGGGGCAGGTGGGTTACATCCCAAAAAGAGATAGGGGGAGCCCTAGGAGGAGGCAGAGGACCTGCTTGAGAAGCAGGTGTGTCGAGCTGTTGTCCCACCTACACCACACCCTCCCTAATTGGCTTCCCCACACCTTTTGTCTGGAAAGAGAACACACACCCCAGGTGTCATGCACACCCTCGGAAGACCTGTCGGGTCACAGCACACCCCTCTCTGCAGCCTCTCTCTGCAGCTTGTGCAGAGCTTGCTGCCATGTGGTCTTTGAAATTCCAAGTGTCGGGGCTATTGGGTTATTTTCCTTCCTCTCTCTCTATTTCTCACATACAGTGGTGTCCTTCAGCTTGCTGGGCAAGGCATTATGGCAAAACCAATTCTGCTGGCCTGGGGTTTGCAGCATGTGTAAATGGGAATCTCCTTACCCATTTATAAGGCAGCACTGTGGAGTGCCTTGGAATTGGATTCTAGGCCTCCGTAGTCAAGGCTGGAGGGGAAGAGGAGATACTGCAGAGCTTGGGCCCAGTTGCCCTGGCTGAGTGGCCCGGAAGGCATCTCTTGAACCTGAACTTCAGAGCATATGGGACAGGTAGCCCTTGTTGCCTGAGGCTTGCTGAGGCTAAGAGTGTTATTGGTTCCCTTCTCAGCCACTCACCTTTGTACAATGAATCCACCTTGGCTACTGTTTGACCCCCGGACTCTGCTGTATGTTTTCAGGATGGTTGAGCCGGCCAGAACCCTAGTGCTGATGACTGAGCAAGTGGACCAGGCTTGGGGGGCAGAGGGTCAGTTCCAGTTGCTGTCTATGATACTGCCATTGTTTAGCAGCTGACTAATGTTCATTGTTCAGCACAAACAGAAAATACCCAAGGGAGGTGTGAATGTATCTTCAATTTTTCCGATTGTATCTCTTCCTGGTTAACCTGGTGAATTGAATGCCTCCTACCTCAGAGAGGGACAGACAGAGAGGTGTCAGCATATTCACCTGTTTTGCTGATTTAAAAAAAACAAAAAACAAAAAAACTTTAAACATTAGCCAGTGTGCCAGGCTAAAATGGTCATGAGCCAGCTGTGGAACTTAAGCTGTGACATTTCTGACAGTCTGCATAGGGTCTCACCTTTAGTATAAAGTGTGTGTGTGCACACAGGTATACAGGGCTTTGGTGTTTGTGTTGGTGATCTACCATTCACTGTGTGTGTGTGCATCTATGGGGACTAGGAGTAGAAGGTGTATGTGCTTGTGTCTGTGGGTCACTATGGGACTAGGGCCATAAATATATAACATCGAATGTATATTCACATATAACTGACTGCTTAGAGTTTTCTGACTAGGACCTGTGAGTGGTCCAGACTTGAGAATGCCTATTTTATGTGTCAGAGTGTCGGTGAGGGTGACTTTGGGAGGGCACCCAGGATTTGCCCTTGGTTAGCTCTTCTAGGACACACTACCGGGTCCTTTGGGGGGTGGGAAGCCTCTATGATGCTTCCTTTTTCTGTTCTGCCCTTGGCTTTAGACTGGGCCTCTGCCTGCTCGCAGGGAGATGCTGAAGACCTTGACCACACCGGGAGAGATATTCCTCTCTTGTCAGCCTTCTGTTGTCTCCCTGGCAGGCATAGCAGCACTGGAACCTGGCATTACCTGGGGCCTGGCCTGCCCCACGAGTTCTCATGATCCATGAACGGCTGGGAGGGGCAAAGGGAGGCAGTTTTTCAGCTCCTAATTTGGCATCTTTGCTTCCTACATGGGTATTTAAGAAAAAGAATCATGGTGTGTGTGGGGAGGGGAGGTAGCATACTCTGGGCAATTAAAAAGGGTGTGAGCATGAGCTTTGGTCCTCCATGAGGGCCCTGCAGAGCTGTGTGTGCCCAGGTGGACAACATACGTGTGCCTGGAAGCATCCTGGGTTCACGCAGCAGAAAGCAGGAGCCCCCTTATTGGAAAAAGAAGTGGGAATAAGGGACAAGGAGTGGGGAAGAGGGTGGTCCTGGGAGCCCAGCACCCTGTGCCCAAGCCCAACTAGAAAACGTTTCCCCATGATGCCCACCGCTGTCCACAGAGACCAGGTCTGCAGAGCCAGCAGCAGATGTGCTGGCTGGGGCAGGAGGTAACTTAAGATCTGAGCACGGATCACCTTGCAGAGGGAATGCCCTGAGCTGGAGATAACACCCTTTAGTCCAGTTAACTCTTTAAGCTCTGGATTCTCTCGTGCTGTTGGGGGCTAGGAGATGGAGAAAGGGAAGAGATATGAGAAAACACATGGAACATAATATCTGTACCTCACCCCATTCCACAAGGAGAGATGAACTCAGTGTAACAGGAGAGACCCGAGATGGACACAAAGACAGACTTTCTGACAGCAGATTGTAGAATCTTCAGGGCAATAGATTATCCCAGGTTTGCCCTGGGTGGGGGCTGGGGAGGCAATAGGTATGTATTCTCAGGCGGGGGCAGCTAGTGGGAGGTCTGCCTTTCACAGCCTCCCAGGAGAGAGCAGAGCAGCAGTGGTCCCAGGCCCTGGTGGAGGGAGAGCAGCAGACAGCTCAGTTCCTCTCCCTACAACCTGATGATCACTCCATCTTGGCAGCCCAGCATAATGAGATTGCAAATTGGGGCCCACTGGCCTGGGTTGGAATCCCACCTCTACCAATTACTAGCTGAGTGACCTTGGTCAAGTCACTTTACAGGCCTCAGTTTTCCCTTTTTTTTTTTTTTTTTTTTTTTTTGAGACAGAGTCTCGCTCTCCCCCAGGCTGGAGTGCAGTGGCAAGATCTCAGCTCACTGCAACCTCTGCCTCCTGGGTTCAAGCGATTCTTCTGCCTCAGCCTCCCGAGTAGCTGGGACTACAGGCAGGTGCCACCACACCTGGCTAATTTTTTTTGTATTTTTAGTAGAGACGGGGTTTCACCCTGTTAGCCAGGATGGTCTCAGTCTCCTGATCTCATGATCCGCTCACCTCAGCCTCCCAAAGTTTTCGTATCTTTAAAATAGGTTTTTGTTAATACAGATGCCCAAAGAGGTTTGTGAAGATGAGATTGAGAATGTTGTATGAAAAGTGCGTAGCACATTGCCAGGCATGTGAACACATGCAGTGAAGTGAACTTCTATCCCCTATGCCTTCCCTCTCAATGGTCCTGGCCCCTCTGAGTCTGCTACTCGTGTTCCCTTGAGAAAGAGCCACTCAGCTGCCTGCGCACTGCTGACCTCACTTCCCGTGTCCCCAGCCAGGTGCTACTTGGGAAGCGAGTCCCTGCCCCCACTCGGGAGCCTGGCTGCCTGTGGGTAATGCACAGGTTCAGCTGAGGTGGTTGAGGGCTACCTAGGCAGCAGGTGCTGGGTGGCCTTTGTTCTGCCGCCTGTCACTGAGGGCTCTCCCGGCACCTGCCTCGCTCCCTGGCTGTGGCCCAGCTGGGGCACCATTGCCCATCTGGAGGCTAGCCGTGGCCATAGAGAGGGCCTGGGACTCAGCCCCTGCCTTCTTTCACTTCCACATTTGAGGGGAAGATGGACCACAGCACCATCCCTCCAGGACTCCACTCACCCCGTGAGATGATATCAGCCAGATGGGTAGAGAATCCCTGCTGGGGTCACCTCCTTCTCACTGGCAGAAAGTCCCTTCAGCCTCCTGTTACAGACTGAATCCTTTTGCAAATTGTCATAATACTGTCTGTGGCACTCTATAGCCACAGTTTCAGCTGAGCCTCTCAGGAGCCCCATGTGAATGGCATTAGTGTTGTATTAGTTCCATTTTAGAGATGAGGAGAGTAAGACCTAGGTTTAGTAATTTGCTGACCGTCTTATGCTCTTGTGGCCAAATTAGACACTGGGTCTTCTGACTGCAAATCCAGTAAACCAGAAGGATGAAAAGATCGGGAATGGACAGACGGAAGAGGATGAACCAGGCCAGTAGGATGTTAGAAAGTGTCCATGGGACGGTCCTCCACTTTACCAGCCACCACCAGCTCACACGCCTCCTACAGCAGGGCAGAGCCTGGCAGCTCCCTGGGGAAGTGAGTAATAAGTTGAGGATATAGGTTGGAGGGTGGCCCAGCCAGAGCTGACCACAGAGCCCAGGTTGGTGTAGAATAGAGGATGCCTAACAATGGAACGTTCCTGGGGGCCAGGGAAGCAGTGTCCTGGAGCATCTGTCTCTGGGTATCTGGGCTGAGACATGGGCAGGGCCCCTGAGGTGTGAGCACGGAGCCCTGGGGCACAGGCAGGCACAGTGCCAGGGTGTGGGCCTGGCCCGGAGCAGAGAGCAGGTGTGGACTAGACAGAGCAGCAGACAGGCACGGGGGCTGGCCCTCTCCTGGACTATCCCCCACCCACTCTGGTCAGCACAGACCCCAATTTCATTCTCAGTTTATGAGGAGTCTCATTACCAAACCACAGACAATAAAACCCTCCTGGCCACTCTGGCCTGGATCTCATTAGAGGACATTAGTTCCACTGGCTGGTGGCTCCACAGGGACACAGCTTCGGGAGTTGGGACACAGCTGCGGGCGTGGCCCAGGCAGCAAAACAGGCCAGTGGCCTTGGGCACCAGAATGTCCCACTGGGAGTCTGAGTTCAAGCTATGGGCTTAAATGGAGTCCCTCCCCACAAAGTCCTGGAATTCTTGCTTCCCAAAGCTGGAAATGTGTGTCCTGCCCACCCACTTGGATGCTCAGTTCTGCCCCCTGCCTGAAGAGGAGGACACAGCTCCCTCCAGGGCTGTTCTGGGGAGCCGGCCTTCTCCGGGAGGAGCTGGGTGGAAGCTCAGCAAATCATCATTCCATGGAGGAAGGCCCTTGGGGACAGGGGACAGAACAGCCTCCCACACTCAGTACATCTGGATGTGCTCTGAGATATACGCCCTAGCACCAGAGATGGACTCTGGAGTCCTCGCAACAGCCTTGGCCTGAATCTTGGCCTGTCTTTCTGTCTGAAAAGCAAATGTAGGGAGTTGGGGACCCTAGAGAGGAAGCATTTCCCCTCACCTATAGATGGAGTTTCACCGATGGCTGAAAGAGCCAGCCACTACGGAGAGCCAGCAGGTAGCCTTGGCAGGGGCTTCCTAGTCCCACCCCTCCCCAGCTCGCGTTCCTTGTCCTCAGTCATTGTGCTGGGGCCTTGGATTCCATCTTGTGGTTCTTCCCACCAAAGACAGGAGGATTTCTTTCTTAGCAGATTCTGGTGCCTGCTGACCGGCAGCCTTCTCTCTGCCTGTACCTTCCCCTCTGCTTTGCGTCCCTCCCCTGCAAGCCTGCATACCTGCTGGTCATCAGAACGCCGCCATGGCTTGAAGGAGGTGTCCATGAAAAACAAGACAGGAGCCAAGGCAAGCGTGTCCCTTCTCGATGCCTCAGGCTTGTGAAGGAAAATGAGCACCACGCCCAAATAACTGGCTTTTAGCACACACAGGCTCACGCGGGGTGCTCCCATGGGGGGCCACACGGGTCAGCCCACGCTTTCGCAGGTGCCTGCCAAATGAGTCAGTGGAGATGGGAGCGCCAATCTGCTGGGGCAGATGTGAGTCTGCCCTGCTGTGGAGGAAGGGGGACTGAAGGATTGCGTGGGCTCGTGGAGTGCCCCTGTGAGGGCCTGCCAGCAGCTGGTCTGGGGTACATGCCCCGGGCAGGACTGGGGAGGCAGCTGCTGTGACTGTTCTCTGTGCCCCATGCACCTTCTCCCTCAGTCCCCGCGTCTTGTGGACAAATGCTGTCAGGTGCTAGGACAAGGGCAGTGGAGGAGGTGCCTCTGGTCCTAGCCAGCTCTGCCACCACGTCATGTGGGTCCCACTGCAGGGGAGGATGGTGGCACATCCTCAGTCTGCTGCTCCAGTCTGCCCACACTGCTCCTTGGGTGAATCCACCTAAAGCACATCTGAGGGGGCACAGCACCACCCTAACTGGTCCCCCACTGCCCTCCCCCGCACACCATGCTTTCCATGCCCAGCGCTTTCCTGCCTCCGTGCCTTTGCACATGCTGTTCCCCCATTCCCGCTTATTTCCCATAAATATGAAATCTGAATACTGAAGTCAAGAGCCACTTCTATTGTGAAGCTTTCATGACCCGCTCCCCCCGCAAGCTAAGGATAACTTCTCTCATCTCAAATCCCCCAGCGCCTCATCCATGCCACCCCCTGCCAACAATTACTCTCCATCCTGCTATCCAGTCACTTGGGCCTGGGATTTATCTTCATCACAAGACTGAGAGCTCCATTGCTGATGAGGCTTGGTTTCTCCAGGGCCTGGCATAGGGGACCAGTAGGCCATGCTGGGTGGATAGACAGTTGCTTGTTTGAAACATTGATGAGGATAATAATAACACACTTGTATGGAGAATCCCTGGATGCCAGGCACTGTTGTAAACATCTTACATGTAATCACTTAGTTAATCTTCATAACAACTCATATGGAAGGTACTTCTGTTCTCCCCAGTTTTATATATGGAAAAATGAGGCCCAGATAGAGCTTAGGTAACTTGCCCAGGGTCACGCAGCTAGTAAGTGGCAGAGCCAGGATTCTGATTCCAGAAGTCAGGCCCCATGTCCGTGTTTATACCATGTGGCTGAGCTGCCTCTCTTCCTGGCGGGTGGCAGACAGGTGATGGAGGAAGACCATTTCCTAAGCCTGGAGTCCTCACAAGACTTTGCTTCCAGAATCTCTTCCCACCCCTGCATAGCACCTTCTTATTCACATTCCTGTCCCTTCAGTGGTGCAGCGATAACCTGGTGTTGTAGTTGTCCATGCCTGATGCATTTGGGGAGTTATTAGTGCTGAATCTTCAGAGAGTCTTGGCGCAGGTTGAACATCCCTAATCCAAAATCCGAAGCTTTTGGAGGCCGACATGACGCCACAAGTGGAAAATTCCACACTTATCCTCCTGAAGGGTCGCAATCCAAAGGCAGTCAAAACATTATTTCATCCACAGAATTATTAAAGCCACTGTATAAAATTACCTTCAGCCTATGTGTATAAGGTGTATATGAAATAGAAATGAAATTTCATGTTTAGACTTGGGTCCCATCCCCAAGATAACATTTCATGTATACAGATATTACAAAATCTGAACAAATTTGAAGTCTGAAACACTTTGGGTCTCAAGCATTAGGGATAAGGGATATTCAACCTGTATTACTGGTATATCCTGCCACAGACACTGTTGTGTCTTGGGAGTATTCATGTGGCTGTGCCAGAGTGGAATGTCTTGAAGTTATCACTATTGCATCTCCTGAGTCTTTGGGCATCACTGATACCATTTGGGCCCCCTCACACACACCATGTCTCACGGTGAGACCAGAGGCAGGTATAGTAGCTCCTCGGAGAGAATCTGCCTGGTCCCCCAGCGCGTGTTCCCAGGCCAGCCCCAGATCCTGGGTGGATCCAGGGCTCAGCAAGCTGATCCTATGCCAGAGCCTGTTCTAAACTTCTGGAAGGTTTCAGGCCCTCTTGCCCTCACCCAGAGATCCCAAAAGATGGCAAGGGAGGGCCCCTACTAGGGAGTGTGGATGGGGAAAAGGATTTAGGGTGTTCTCCTGGGCCGGCTGCTTTGATCTCCTGGGATGAAAGGGCTGGTGCTTCCTCTGCCCCAGGCAGGATCAGGACAGCAAGCTGGGGAGAGAGGCATTGATCCTGGGTCCAGGCGTCCTCAGCTTCATAGGCGAGGGCAGAGAACTATCCCAGGGAAGAAGATCACGGGGGCAGAAAAATCAAAGCCCTTCCCCAGGGTTGTGGCTGAGGACTGGGAGTTGACTTCAGACAGTCCCTGTGCAGATTGTCCTCTCGAGGGTCACCCAGGGTGATGCTCCTCCCAGCACACCCTGACCCTGCAGGTCACCATGCAGGCTCAGGCCTCACAGACTCTCTTGCTTAATTAGGAAGGTAATTCGGCTGCAAAACAGTCATCTGATCTGTGTCGACGCCAAAGCGAAATTCCTCCTAGACCCTCCGCTGTTCTAGATTATCCATGCTCCGTTAGCTTGAATTACCGCGCGGCCTCTGTGGCCCAGACACAAGCCAGAGCTATGTGATCAGCTCCTGGGGCTGGATCTGCCCTGCACCTAGGAAGTGCTTGGAAGCAACAGGAGGAAGGAGGGCATAGGACCTGCCTGACTCCCATCCAAGCCGGAGCATTGCCCAGCCAGCACGAAGGGACCAGCATTGCCCAGAGCCCCCCTACCCCCGGGCCTGCAGGTGCCTGCCGGGCTCCCAAGCTTAGCCACTTTTATGTCCCTCTCCTCTGCCCTCTGGGACCGGGCCCCTTTGAGGGTTTTGAATCAGTGGCAGAGGCTTTCTGCAGCAACTCCTAGGCATAAATTGGAGCGGAGGCAGGGACAGGCATCTCCCTGAGTGTAAATAACACTGTAAATAACACTGGAGCGGAGCAGCCACACTGCACTGGATTATTTTATCGTGATTGCCCACCTCCCCCACCCCCTGAACTGTCCCAATCTCATTGGCCTAGATTGCTGCATCTCTCAGAATGATGGAGGGGCTGCCTCTCCCTTCCCGGGCAGGGTGGCCAGCCCTGCCGTTGAGGCACCCTCCTACCCAGCAACTTCCCAGATTTATTCCCTGTCTTTATGGTGCCTGGAGAGTCATCAGTGTCCTGGGCCGGCAGAGCACTCTGATGGTCTCCACTGGCGTGATGGATAGGCCTTTGGGGGAACGTGTGCGACAGCCCCCTGCTCCCGGCCTGCCTCTGCCCTGACCACAGCACCGTTCCCCACCCTCCCAGGGGTCAGATGATGGGCCTCGTGGCCAGTCCTGAAGGGGCGGTGATGATGGAAGAGGGAGAGAGCATCAGTCCTCGGCGCCCACCTCTCAGTGCTGCTGCAGAGTCTTTCTGGCCTCCTCCCCAAGCTCTGCTCACAAACACCCTTCCCAGGAAATATCCCCATTACCCTCTCTCATCTCCCATCACTCCATTACTGCTAGCCCCTCGGCACTTGTGTACACAGTTTGCGCTGTAATGATAATCTGTGCTGGTTTATGTGTTTCTTTACAAGTGTTTTTATGTCCTCTGTGTGTGTATGAGGAAGGTTTATGGTGTGTGTGCGTGTATGAGGTCACGTGCTGTGTGTGTGTGCGTGCGTGCGTGCGCGCGCGTGTGCACGCGCCTGCTTCTGATTAGACTCTGATCGCCATCTTCTCCCACACACAGGTAGGGGGCCCTCACCCCCCTCCTGGGGTTGGGGGCACAGCCTGGCTACTAAGGGTGGGTGGAGAAGGAGGGGGAGCCAATCAAAGATGATGACTGTCCGGGCAAGGTCTACACTGCCCCCCAGCCGCCAGTTAGAGAACCGGCGAAGGTCAGTCTTAGATCATTGTTTTGTCTACAGGGTCACAAACAACTAGTTTGACTATTTTTCCCCAAGAAATTGACTGAACCCAGTGGTTATTTTGGAGTCAAATGATCTCAGTCTTTTATGACTTACCTGTGTCAGCGGGTGTATCTGTGTCTTCTCTAAACAAGTTCCCCTAGCTGTACAATGGGATGAGATGATAAGAGGCTGGAAGGGGCGAATAACATATGTGGTGTGCTTAGCACAAGCAATAATTTGCTTGATCCAGGGAAAGCCTTCGCACCGCTGGACTGTTGTGAGCTACCACTGGGAGGGACTCCCAGTCTGGAGAAGGAGGGTCCGTTCCCTGGGGCTGGGGAAGCCAGGCCCAGGAACCCTCCTGGCTGTGTGTGCCCCAGAACGCTGTGGGGAGCCCCTCTGCTGGGCTCCTGTGACTTCTCCAGGGTGGTCAATGCAAGCAGAGTATGTCTTAGTCTCAGGCCCCTGGGCTACTGGAGATCCGCCCCCCCAACCCAGATGATCACCTGGGCAGGTGCCTCCTGTGCTCCCTTCTGAAAGGAAAGCAAGGGTTTCACTCAAGGTGCAGAATTCTGGCTGCCCCAAGCGCCCAGTGCCAGTCCCTGTAGGAATCCCACTGCCCTGGATGTGTTGTGGGAGAGGCAGACAGGTTCATCCTGGCATTCACTCGACATGTGCCAGGCACAGAGGTGGGAGCTGTAGACAGCAACAAACATAATATCCAGTCCAGCACTGCATGGCATCCACGCTCTGACCTCTGACCTCACACACAGCAGGTGATCCCTGAGGGTGTCAGCTCTTTCAAGCAGGAATGCTAGTCGGGTTGAGGCCTGGGTGGATGGTGGAGAGATGGAGCTAGGGCCTTGTGGGTCAGGCCTCAGTCTCTTTAAGCCATCCTGTTTGGACGTGAAGGGACAGTGACACTAGGCAGGGGCCTGCATTCTCCTTCATTCTGCCAAGATGTGTTAAACACCTGAGCCCACTGGGCACAGTGGCTCATACCTATAGTCCTAGCACTTTGGGAGGCCGAGGCGGGTAGATAACCTGAGGTCAGGAGTTCGAGACCAGCCTGGCCAACATGGTGAAACCCTGTCTCTACTAAAAATACAAAAATTAGCCAGGCATGGTTATGGGCACCTGTAATCCCAGCTACTCAGGAGGCTGAGGCAGGAGAATCACTTGAACCCAGGAGGCGGAGGTTGCACTGAGCCGAGATCACACCATTGCACCCCAGCCTGGGCAACAAGAGTGAAACTCCATCTTAAAAAAAAATAAAAATAAAAAACTAACCTGAGCCCACTTGTTCCTCTCCCAGACCCAGGTCTGGAAAGAGCCTCCCAGCTGGGCCTGCAGCTGAAGGTACCTCCCTGCCCTGCAGGGGAAGGTGGAGAGGATGTCAGAGAATCCTGGAGTCTTAGCATTGGAAGGGAAATCAAATGCTGTAGCACCCCATTCACTTCCTAAAACCCCTAACCACATTCTGGCCTGTTGGTCATCCTCCAGCTGCAGCTGAATCCCTCCACTGACAGGGTACTCACCACCCTCCATGGAAGCCAGGACAGCCCTGACTGCCCCCAGCTCCCCCTTCCCCCTGAAGCTCCCTCCCATTAGTGTTGGAATCGCATGGAGCTCATGTGATCCTGCAGGCATTTACAGACAGCCTCGGCCCCCGTCTCACCTCTCCTGAGTCTCACACACCTCACCATCTCAGGTGCTCCCCTCAGATCCCCAGTAACAGCTCCATATGTGGGCTGCCACGCCCAGGGATGTCAGCCTAGGATTCCCAGCCACCACAGCTGTCCCAGATCTAGGAGGAGGCAGTGTGGGTGGGCCCTCCAAGCTTCCCCACCTCCCTCTATCCCTTTCCCACCCCCACCCCCTTCCCACCCCTGTTTTCCTTAGGATTAATGATAAATTTCAGTGAAAGATCCGCTTATCTCCAGTAGGAATTAAGGAATTAAGTTGGCGATGGGGAGAGAGGGGACAGGGAGAGGGAGCATACTGCAGAGGGTCAGGATGCAGAGGGACCGTGGGCAGGACAGGACAGGGCAGGGGACAGCGGGGATGTGGAGCATTCCCCTCTGCCTGCATCAGTTCACCCTGCGGTGGGCTGGGCTGTGCTCCCCACCTGCCTGCACCGCCATGGGGGATGGATGTGGGGCTGCTTGGGGATGGGTGTGGTGACTCGTGGAAGGAGGTACATCACAGGGATCCTGCAGGTGGGGTGACCTGGCAGCCTCCCGTGTCACCTGTTGCTGCTTCGTGCCATGGTGCAGTGGCTCTGTGGCATGTCATGGCCCTGGGAGGGCGAGCCACAGCATGTGTCAGGGTGAGGCACCCCGCTTTTGGCATTGGGATACAGAGGCACATTCTGCAGTTGGAAGTCCAGGGGCCACCACCCCACAGGTGGCTCATGAGTGCCATCCAGGCTCTAACACAACCCCCAGGCAGGCCCTGGCTGCCCCTCAATAGGGGCCCACCCAGAGGCTGCCGCTCCTGCCTCTTTGCTTCTTTGGTGGGACTGACTGAGTTGGGGTTCCTGCAGCAATGGCTGAAAGAATCTCTTACCCCTGGAGAATCTGAGCTTCGATGTACCCTCAGAGCAACTCAGAAGCCTCTGTCCTGAATACCAAGGGGGGGGCCACTCAGGGTCTGCAGCATCCCTTGCCCCCAAAGCCCAGGAGACTCTGTTTAGAGTTTCTCCCCAAGTCCCCAGGCTTGCTGCTCCTTGGCACCCCCCTGGCATCAGACATCTCACTGGCAAGCAACGCCGGGCCCAGGACTGTAGCCCCAAACAGTGCCTCCCCTCGCCGAACTCTGAGGCTAACCCAGGAGAGATAGGAGCTGCCCTCCAGAGGGCGGGGGGTGAGGAGGTGAGAAGTGAAGACTGGGTGGGCCAGAGGACATGACTGCCCCTCAGGTCATCCAGGCCAAGCTTCCTGCCCCAAATAAGTTTCAATCACTGCGGTCCCATTCTTTCCTGTCACCCCCAAGGCTGAGAGTAGCGGTTGGTGTTCAGTAGCAGCCACCAGAGCACCTGGAGATAAGAGGAGATAAGGGCAAGGCTGGGCAGAGACAGTCACAGTCTGGGGTAAGGGTGGGGAGGGGGCAGGGGAAGGGGGGAGACGGGGCACGTTGGGGGAGCTCAACACTCTGGAAGCTAGGGGAGGCCAGGAATTGGGGCCTCAAGTCCAGGAGTCAAACTGGTTAATAATTAGTGACTCTGGTTAATAAATCATGGATGGTTTTTTCTTCCTAATTTCAGCTTCTCCTTCCACCCCACAACCCTAGAGATCCTTCTAGGCTCTGCCCAGGCCTCAGAAAAGAAGCCCCCACACCTACCCCTGCCCTGGGCTGTCACCTCCCAGGCAAGATTCACCCTCTGTCCCTCCACAGCCCTCCATAGGCCTCTGCCCCCTCCCCCAGCTGGTTTCTGGTCTCCAAAGCCAGTGTGGTACTTAATCTCCAAGAGAGATTAGTGACCTGCTTTCACCACCCTCCCCCACAGGCTGCTTGGATGCCCCTAAATATTCCCTGCTGGAAGGGCAGGCCCCCATGGCCACCCAGAGAGCGTCTCCAGGTGCCCTCCTTGACGGTGCCACCCGCCCCACCCATTGACTCACTTGGCTGCAGGTCCTTTCTGCTGGCCAGAAGGTGTCATGGAGCACCTGTGGGTAACTGCCCAAATGCTTTAGGTGAGGTCAGTCAGCAGATGTTCTTTGGGCATCTACTATGTGCCAGGCACTATGTGTCAAGAAAAAAAATACTTTAAGCAACTGGAATTGAGGTTAAAGGCTGATGCACGTGAGCGGGGACCTGAAGACCAGGAGACTCCAGGACTGGCAGTTTAGGGTGAGGAGAAAAGGGGATGCTGGGCATTTTTCATCTCTAACTCCGGGATGCTTCCGTTAAAGGTCAGGCTGTTTTCTGGGTTTCTGTCCCTTTTGCAAGATTGCGCCAAGGGCAGAGATCTGCTTTTGTAAGCCTTGTGGTGGCTGGGGAAAGGGAGGGAGGAAGAAAAGGGGAAAGGAGTTGCCTCCTTCCCCTTTTTTTTTGAAGATTTTGAAGTTTCCCTCTTTTTGAAGGGTTGAGGCAAAAGAATGAGGGGTCCCTCTCCCGTCCTAAGCCTTGCACGTGCTGGGGCTGAGAGTACAGTAGTGATGGATGAACTGGCCTCAAAACAGGTGAGGCCCCTGTCTCCCAAGTGATCTTTGCACAAAGCCCCCAGAGATTTACTTAGGTGATTAAACTATGCCCGGGGCTATGGTGGAGACTCGGGGGCCTGAACTGGGGGAGGGGAGGGGAGGCTTCTCTGGGACCGTGACCTTGATTCTGAAACCTGGAGGCTGAGAAGGAGTGGGCTGGGACGTGACCAGGACAGCCAAGGGAGACCCAGCCACGAGCATGCCTGGAAGAAAACCAGCGCCTCCGCAGCCTGTGGACTGGGACTTGAAAAGAACAACCCCCAAATCTGTTCTCTCTGATTTCAGCCTGACCTGTGCGCAGTCCAAGCCCAACTTGTCCAGAGCCACCCTTGTCCTCTTCTTCCCAAGACACAGCCCTCCCTGAGCTCTTCCCATTTCTGTGATGAAAGCCCAGTTCTGCTGTGCACCGGAGCCCTGGCTCCCTCCTTCACCCCTGCCTCTGATTTGCTGTGAGTTCTTATCCCATTTCTGCAGGACCCCTCCCCAATCCTAGCACCACCACACCCATCCAGCCATTCCTGTGCAGGGTGACAATAAAAAGTGTCCTCAGACATTGCCGAATATTCCCTGGAGGACAAGAGCACCCCAGTTGAGAAAACACTGGTCTAGGCCTTCACTGCAACCAGCCTCTTTTTCCAAAACTGCTTTTCCACTGACTGCTCTACACTCCCACAACTTTACACGGACCTATTTTAGGTTCCAGTCAAAATAAACTGCTCCTGGCTTCTCCAGTGCACTCCTCGGCCTTGGCTCCTGATGATGGCTGAGCCCCAACACACCCACCTGTGAAATGCGAGGCTCCCAGACACCAGCCCCCCTTCCCCTTCTGTGTTGTTTAGTATTTACTTTCTCTCCTCCCCTCACCCAGCACCTGAGCTCTTTGAAGGATAGGACCCAGCCTTAAAATCTCTGCAGGCCCTAGCTCAGCACCTTGCACACAGTAGGTGTCCCATAAATGTACAGTAAACCGATGGGAGCTGGCTGGCTTCACAACCCTGATAAGCTGTGAGGTTTCCTTCTCCATGCCTTTTTTTTTTTTTTGAAACAGAGTCTCACTCTGTTGCCCAGGCTGGAGTGCGGTGGCACGATCTCAGCTCACTGCAATCTCTGCCTCCTGGGTTCAAATGATTCTCCTGCCTCAGCCTCCCAAGTAGCTGGGATTACAGGCACCCACCACCACGCCTGGCTAATTTTTGTATTTTTAATAGAGATAGGGTTTCACCATGTTAGTCAGGCTGGTCTCGAACTCCTGACCTCAGGTAATCCACCTGCCTTGGCCTCCCAAAGTGCTGGGATTACAGGCATGAGCCACCGTGCCCAGCCAGCCTCCCGTGCCCCTTTCTTTCTGTTTTTGGTTTTTTTTTTTTTTTGGCAACCCTATTTAACCCCCATGCCAAGAAAGGAAAACTTCTGATGCTTTCCTTTTACTTGACACCTCCCCTCCCATCTCATTTTGTTTGCAGTAAACAAAATCATCTTTTTTCCATTTGCTCAATATTTATCAGCACCAGGAAGGTCTGCGGTTATGTGTGTGTGAAGTTGTGCGTGGATGTGTGGTTTGACAGGCGGGCGCTGTGTGATGGCACGGTTCTTTGTGTGGGGTGTTAGTGTTTGAGTCAGAAATTATACTCTCCACACCAGGACTTGTATGGGGTCTTCTCTCCCATGAACTCCTCTACACTTCAAACTCCTCTCACACTGGGCTTATCCCATAAGCTCTGACCTTTCAGTCCACCATGCCTTTGCTGTTCCTGTCTCCTCTGCCTGGAGGACCCTACTTCACCAGCTGGCAAACTCCTACTCATCCTTCAAAGCCCAGTGAAATTTTACCTCCTGTGGGACACCTCTTGTTTCTCTAATTCTCCTCCCCACATTCATCATTTCTTCCTGTATCATCATGGCACTTTGTGAACAGTCCTACCGTAGCAGTGATCATGTCAGTGAATTTATCCTGTGTCCTTGATATCCTTCACATGCATACACACGCATGCAGGGCTGTGTGTGTGTGTGTGTTTATAGCCCTACTGGCAGGCACTTGGTAGGTTCTTAATACTTGTTTATTAAATAAATGAGAATAAATTGCTTGCTTGGTTTTCCAAAGCATTTTCTTTGTACGGTGTTAGAGGAATGTGTCTGTGCAATGACTCTGCCTGACCTTCCCGCACTGCTCCCGCGTGTTCCTGAGCATGTCGACCTGTGTGCATACCGCAGCGTTCAGCTGCACATGTGTGCTTGGGTGCGCGTGTGTGCGTGCATGTGGCTCTGTTTCAGCGCTTCTGTAAATGGAAAGCTGTGGCTGCCCCTCCCCAAGCTGACATTCCCTCAGCACCACGCCCCCACCTTTGAGGACTGAAGGGGTGACTGGGTGGTGACTTCCCCCAGGCAGCTTTCTCTACCCACCTGATGTCCCCCTCCAAGAACGGTGACCCAGGGTTTCCCGTCCATCCTGGGGGCTGAGCTCTCTGCGGCCTCGTCACATCACACTCCCTTCCCTATCCATCTCTGCCCTGTTTAATTGGAATTTGGCTAGTGGAGACCATCTGTTCTATTCCGGCCTGTTTCCATGACAACCAAGTGGCTTGAGACTGAGGTTTGTGGTGAGAGAAGTGGCCTGGGGGATGCTGGGAAAAACCAGCTAGGTCCTCCCCCTCAAACCCGCTCCGCCTCGTCCTGCCCTCTCTCCACAAACCCGGAGTTAAAATAAAGCTGTTCCCTGCCTGAGAGTTGGGGAGTCCCCGAGCATCACTCTCCTCTCCCAGCCCCCAGCCCCCAGCCCCAGTCTTTCCCAGGCTCCTTTCAGGCTTCCCACACGGGGCTCCCCTCCCTCCCTGCTTCCATTCAAGAGCACCTTCTGCCCTTACAGACTAGGGAGCTAGCCCTTCCCTTCCCCAACCCCTGAACCTCCACCCCTGGAAGTGAGTGCTTCCTCACAGCCTGGTTACAGACGCTCAGGGCCCCACAGAAAGGACTCTTTAGAGGGTAGTCTCGGCTTCCTCTGCGCCCCTGCCCCTGCAGGCTCTCCCCCGGCCCCAGGTAGCAGAGTGGCCCAGGCAAGTGCGTGGCAGACAGAGGCGCCCTGGGCCCGGATGTGGAGCTGGTGATCCCAGATTCTCAGGGGCTGAGACAGGCCCTGGTACACTGGGGATATGAGTGAGGGGGTCTCTTATTTCTGAACAGACAGTTCTGTTTTCACGGTGTTATTTTCTGCCCTAATTTCCCCATCTATGGCAAAGCCTCTTCGTGCCTGTTCTATTACCAAGGGACCCGCCTGTCTTCAAAAATAGGTGGTGTGGCTTGTCAGGTGACCGTCTGTCGCTCTGGTCCCAGGCATCTCATGCAGGATATGTGCGATATGTTGGCTATGTGGGCGGGCGTGGGGGGTAGAGTGTCTCAGGATCTCTCCGGTGCCCCCTCCCCCAGCAAAATCAGTCCTGGGCAGAATCAGTCCTGGGCAGTCCTGAGGAGGGAAGCTGAGTCTTGGACTTCAGAAGACCGGTGCTCTTAGCAGCTGCGCTGAGCCGTGGGACCCCAGGGCCCCCACGCTTGGGGGTGCTGCAGGCTTGCAGAGGTCTTCTGGTAGCCTGCTTGTCTCCAGCCTAGCCCTGCCATCATCCATCCTTCTTCATGTGCCTCTTTTCTTCTTTTGTCTTTGTTGAGATATAATTCGCAAACCACAAAATTCGCCCTCCTGAAGTATACGAGTCAGTGGCTTTAGTATATTCACAATAGGCCGTCACCACTGCCTAATCCACAGCATTTTCATCACCTCGGAAAGAACCTCGGTATTCATTAGCAGTCACTCCCCATTTTCCCTCCCCCGGCCCCTGACAACCACTCATCTACTTTCTGTGTCTATGGATCTGCCTATCCTGGACATTTCGTATAAATGGAATCATACAGTATGTGGCCTTTTGTGACTGACATCTTCTACTTAGCATTCCATGTGCCTCTTTCCAAAGCACAGATGTGACCATGTCACCACTTTGCTTAAAAGGCGTCAGTGGCTCCCAGTTGCCTACAAGGTGAAGTTCAGACCCTCATCTAATACAAAGCCCTTTTACAACTGGCTCCTACCTTGCTTTCCATTCACCCTGTATTCCCCTCTCCTCTGCCCCACATATCCAGTGCTTTCGCCACATCCAAGCTTTTAAAGACACTCTTTCCTCTTTTCCTCTTCCCCTCCTGTTCCCTTCCCTCTCTCTGTCTGTCTCTGTCTCTGTCTCTATCTCTGTCTGTCTCAAGGACTCCTGCTTATCCTGCAGGACCCAGCTAAAAAATCTCACATCTTCTGTGGCGCCTCCGTCACCTTCAGACAGAATCACTCCCCCTTCTGAGCTCCCATTGCTTTGGGTTTGTATTTTTCAGAAACAAACAAAAACTGCGTTTATCACTCAGTCATTATTTGTTTTCATGTCTGGGGCCCCTGCTAGACAGAGCTTTTAAGGTAAAAGAAAATGTCTTAGTCTTTCTTATTCCTCCACGCTCCTTCCTCTTGCCACTACCACTGTCACTTTCACCCAAAAGGTGCCAGCACCATGCTTGACACATTGTATAGGTGTAGTAATGCTTTGTGAATTAAAGCAGGGGTAGAAGAGTGTCGAGGTGATGGATAGCCCAGCCCTGATTTGATATTTTGATACCTGCCTACAATGTATAATTATCAAATCAGGGCTGGAAGCTCATGTACCCCCAAAATATGTACAACTATGATATATCAATTAAAAATCCAAAAAAATAAAAGCAAGGGGAAGAACCAGAGACAGTACATTAGTCTGAGAGAGGCAACCCTATAGAGGAACCTGGAGGAAGGAGAGGATTCTGCAACTTGGCATAGCAGGGACAAGGTGGGGTATGACTGGACCTAGGAACTGCCTACATGGGCAGTTGGAGTGGGGAGACGGTGGGGAGGTGTTGTTCACCCTGTTCGACAGCCTTGTGGAGTGTCATGGTGGTCACTAGCATGAGAGATGGGGTGGAAGGTTTGGCAGGGATGGGAGGGGAATGGGGAACGGCCATAAAAGAGAAGGTGGAGGTGACCTTTAGCAAGAAAAGGGGAGTGGTGGGTACAGGGTAGGGTGATCCCAGCAGACAGAACCGCTTGTGCAAAGGCCCCAAGGCAAGTGAGAGCCAGTGCCTAAAAGACCCAGGAGTGGAGCCCAGTGTGGGGTGGGGAGAGAGGTCAGTGGTGAGGTTGGGCTGGTGGAGTGAGCAGCAGCCTGGTCACACAGAGAGCTTTAGGACAAGGCGAGGGTGGTGGCCCTTACACCTGTGTCTGATGAAAACCTCCCTGTCCTTCAAGGGTCACTTAAGGATGAAACGGCCTTTCCCTGTCCACCCAAGCCAGCAGGGGCAGTAGTGGGCCTACTTCCCTTGCCAGATGGAAGCTACCAGAAGGCAAATGATAGATTCTAACCCCTCTCCTTCCTCACCCAGCTCCAGGGGGAGGGAGAATTGAGGGACAGGGGCAGATTTGGGTTCCCTGCCACATACTAGCTTTGTGCCCTTGGATGCCCTACACCAACACTCTGGTCCTCAGTTTCTTCCGTGAATACTGACCCACTGAGGACAAAAGTGGGATAATGATATAAACCCAGAGGGAGTTCACGAGGATTAAATAAGAGTATATACAAATGCTCCGAAAAGGCTGTTCCAGCATTTATTCTCCTGTGTGCTGTTAGGACAAGGTGACAAGGAAGGAAGCAGAGGCCCAGGGTCTCCAGTTTGAAGGAATCACCAAGGCCCCTGCCCTCTTTTGTGCTGTTGTCTTTGATGACATTTCCAAGCGATTAGAAGCCCTGGTGGGGGCAATATCATGCCGTTTATTTGAAATCGACTTGAAAGCAATCAATACTATATTTTCTAGGGGGAAACACAAATTTAGCTTCCACCCTTACTCCAAGGGTGCAATGCGTGCAGAGAGAAGATACAGTGGTGCCTGGCTAGAAGGTCCCTCCCTCTTCCTAGGCAACCAGCAGTTCTCAGAGCAAAGGAAAATGGGTCCTTCCTGGCGCTGGGGGGTGAGTTGGGGTGGGCCCAAAGCTTTCTCCACTGGGAGTCACAGGAGCCACTGGCCCTCCCCACTGTGGGATCCAGTTCCCAAGGAGGGTGCCAAACAGACCTTCTGCCCCTACAAAAACAAACCTGTCTAATTGCCTTTAATCTTGGGCTGTCGGTCCGCTGGTGTTGGTGCTGAATAGTAAAAGGAGATCATATCTTTCCCTTTGAGTGAGAAGTTATTTGATCTCTGTGTGTCAGAGGAAAGCCTGTGCCCAGGGAAGAGGTGGGGACGGAAGGGGAAGGTGGAAGAAGAGAGGAGCGAGGGCCTGGCTGGCGGCCGAGGGGAGGCTGCAGCTGAGGGCTTTATTTCTCCCAATAACAATCATAAATAAAGGGGAACAAGCATCTCTCTTGTCTTGGCTCAAGGCCATTGTTTTGTGCAGGGCTTCTTCTTCACCCCTGCCCCGCCCCTCCCCGCCTCCCTCTCAGGCCCAGGATGGGAAGACAGCTTGTCTGCAGGGAGAAGGAGTGGGCTGCCAGCTGTCTCACCTGGAGGGGTGGGAGAGGAGGGCTCCGTAGACCTTGATGCAGCCCCTGCCCCGCCTCTGGCCTTGGGGCTCCCTCCCCAGCTCTGCAGGGGCCGCCAAGATGCCCCAGATGATTGCAGTCGCCTCCACCAGTCTCCCGGCCTGCGCTCCCTCCTGTTCATTCTCAGCAGTTGTCAGTGGTCTTGTTGAAACAAAGCCGGGTCACAGATCTCATCCCTCTGCTCGTGGCCTCCAACAGCATGGTCCAGCTCAGGGGAGAGGCCTGGCCCCTGCATCAGTCTCCTCCGTCTAGCTACACCGGCCACAGTTACCAGACGCTCTCCCGCCACGGGGCCTTTGCACCTGCTGTCTGCTGCCTCTGCCTGGAATATCTCCTCCCAGGTGGCCACATGGTTGGCTTGCTCACCTTGTTTTTTTCTTTGCTCAAATGTCTCCTTTCTCAGTGAGATCTTCTCTGGGCATCTTTGATCTAAAATTAATTAATCCTACACACATTTTATCTTCTTTCTTGTCTGGTTGCCATTGCTAGAACATAAGTTCCATGAAGACAGAGAATGTTTTCTGCTTTGTCCAGTGCTGTATGCCTGGGACCTAATAGGTACTGAATGACAGCAGGAATATTTTAATAAATGAATACCCTAATGGACAGCTGCTGCCTC
The DNA here is from genome assembly GCF_000001405.40 of Homo sapiens. NCBI lineage: Eukaryota > Metazoa > Chordata > Mammalia > Primates > Hominidae > Homo > Homo sapiens. Next base: position 119,705,226 of record NC_000011.10, on the reverse strand, counting down.
CTCTGCCTGCACACCCTGTTTCTGCATGCAATCACATGAAGTCTCCCTGAAATTCCTGCTCATGAAGGCCTAATCTCGAGCCCTGCCTGGCCAGCACACACTGCATCTCCCTTATGGTTCCACCCTGGCCTGTGATGTGGGCTGGCCTCCCGTAGAGCCTTATCATCCTGCAGAGCTTTATGGCATCTACACAGTTCTCTCACCTTATCTTCTTAGCACTCTCTGAGGTCAGGACTATCACCCTGGTTTACATTTAAGAAAAGAAAGTTCAGAGGTTAATGACTAATTTACTTGAAAATAACACCACATGTAAGTGGCAGGGCCAGGACTCAAACCAGATCTTAGCTAGAGCTGTCCCCTTGCTGCCCAAGGTCCCAGGACACCTGGTCCCCCCTCCCTGGCGTGCGCAGTCATGGCTGAGCTCTCAGCCCTTTTTCTGCATCTGCTCACCTGCCCGGAGAGAGCCTCCCGGGGTGGAGTGGGGCATTCTCACCTCCACCAAGGCCTGCTTCATACCCCACGGAGGAGATGGAGACTCATTCTGAGCCCTGCCAACACTTAGAAAACCAAGTTACAGATGGGGCGGTAGAAGCTGGGAGCACCCAGTGGACCTCTTCCTACCCTCAGGCAAGGGGCTGAAATCCACAGCCTCTTTCTGGGAAGCCCTTCCCTCCAGCTCTGGGCTCTCCATTTCAAGAAACACGGGGGTGGACTGCGTGCAGTGGCTCATACCTGTAATCCCAGCACTTTGGGAGGCCGAGGCGGGTGGATCACTTGAGGTCAGGAGTTCTAGACCAGCCTGGCCAACATGAACCCTATTTCTACTAAAAATATAAAAATTAGCTGGGCGTGATGGTGGGTGCCTATAATCCCAGCTACTTGGGAGGCTGAGGCATGAGAATTGCCCGCCTGGGAGGTGGAGGTTGCAGTGAGCCGAGATTGCACCACTGCCCTCCAGCCTGGGCGACAGAGTGAGACTCCGTCTCAGATACAAAAAAAAAAGGAAACACTGGGGTGGTCCTGGATGTAGACCCAGAAGGAGGAAGCAGACAGCCCCTGCCCGCAGGTTCGTGTGCAGGAAAATGATGGTGGGGCGTGAGGGGTGCACCCAGCTGTGTGACCTTGGGTGAGCCTTTTGAGGCAGCTTCTTGCCCGGAGAACCGTGTTCCTGGGTAAAGCTGGGGAGATTTGCCAGGAGGAACCATTGTCTTGGAGAAGAGGTGGCAAAAAGGCACACTAACACGTACTCCGAGTGTGAAAGGATGGGCATGATAAAGGCCACTCTCTCCCTGTGAGCGCCATTCCTGAGCACCTGTGTGCCAGTTCCGAGCCCGGCATCCTGGATGCAGTGGAGGTGACAGGCTGAACAGGCTGAGCCGCGCATCTCATTACTCTAGCAATAAGCTACCTTGCATTTTCCATGATCAATCCTTTTGGGATCTCATGAAGAGTGTGGGTGGCAGAGGACTTTACCAATAATCCAGGTTGATGGAAATTCAGGGTACGAGGCAGACAGGAGGTTCTTTGCTAACATGGGCCAGGTGTGCTTTCATGAAAGAGCGTCAGCCTCGTTGTTGGGAGTCCTGCCTCAGCCACTTGTGGGTCGGGTCACCTCAGGCATTCCCTGGCCTCAATTTCCTTATCTGTACAGCAAGTAGGTTGGGCTTGTTGCTCCTGGGGAGCTCTTGGAGTCTCCTGGCCCATCCTGGGTACACAGGGGATCTGTGTGGGACCAGCTACTATAATCCTACCACTTGGACAAGTCCAAGGCAAACACCAAGAAGGGTACAAGACAGCGTGGTATTGTGACTTCTGAGGGCCAGCCAGCCTCTGAGCTCTGGAGATGCCTGACTGCCCCTTGCTGAAAGACATTTATCTGTCCCGTTGGTGCCAGCATGAAGGCCCTTCCTGACTACTTGGGCCTCCAGCACGTGGGACACAGAGTGGGGCCAGGCAGAAGAAACTCGTGGTCAGATCCTCTGCCAGGAGCATTTCTCAAACCCACGTGGGTCCCAACCCCTCCCACTGGAGCTGGGGAAGCTTTGAGGCACCTTGGTCTCCTGGTCATGCCGTGTGTCAGTTACCTCTTAATTGTTGATCACCTCCCATGTGCAGGCCCTGGGAAGTGCTGGGCATCAGCTTTGAGCAAAACAGGTGCCATGCATGTTCTCATGGAGCTCACAGGCTGGTGGGGGCCAGACACTGAATATGCTTTTTAAGTGTGGCAAAGGCCTGAGCCTGGTGGGAACATAGAGCAAGGGGGGTTTAACCCATACTGGGGGACAGGGCTGCCTCCCAGGGTAAGAGATGTTACTCAAGGCACGAAGAATGAATGGGCCATGGAGAAAGAGGAAAAAAAGAGGAAGAGACCCTGGGAAGGCCCTGCATCTGCCAAAGGTGTGGGGGCCACAGCGCCAAAAGCTACCATCTACTGAGCCATCATATGCCAGGGTCAGCTCTCAGGGCTTTGCTTATAGAGCTTTATTTAATCTTCCCTACAGCCTTTGAGGGAGTGATTATTCTCTCTCCATTTTTATAGACGAGAAAAAAAAGTCACAGAGCTTGCAAGTGGCAGAGCTGGGATTTGAACCCAGGAGCCTGGAGTCAGAGGCTTCTCTGCTGTATAACTGAGAGAACGGGGATCTTCAGCAAATGCCCCTGGTGAGGTAGGACTAGAAGGGGGCAAGTGGAAGGGCCAGGCTAGGCCCAACCAGAAGCAGAAGGAACAATCTGCTTCTTCCCAGCAGCAGAGTTAGCCTAGCAGTACACAGATGGCCTCAGCCACAGCCCTGGACTCGCCTTGATGGCATCTGGCGGTGGCTGACCCACTCCCAGGCTCTGTATCAAAAGGCTTAGGGAAATGGACTTGCTCTTCAGCAGAAGGGATTGAGATGAAACCACAGGACGAATTTCCCAGCTGTCATGACCATACGCTATTAAAACAGGCAGCCGAGGGAGGTGGAGGCCCTGGTGGGAAAGGTTAATGCCTTGGTTGCTCAGAGCTGCTGGAGAGGTGAGTGGGGCAGGGGGAGGTCCAGGATGACCCCTCCAGTGTCTAGAGATGAGATCACATCACACAGATCAAAAACACTGTCCCACAGGAAGAGGGCACTGTCAGCTGTCCCCAGGCTGGTGCCACCCTCTTCCTGGGACCCTGTCTGCCCCAGCCCTGCCATCGGACTTCATTAAATTGCATTTTCCCAGAGCAGGGCAGGCCGGTGACAGAATGAGTCAACGTCAGCTTGCTACAACTGTCGCCCCTGGAGCCGGCGGGCATAGAGGGAGATAATTGGGAGTGGTTTGACAGCTTAATGTCTGGGGCTGGCTTCCTGGAGCAGTGGAGGGACAGGGACGGGGCGGGAGCCAGTGAGGCGGAGGCAGGTGGATTTGGGCTGCCCCTGTCTTGAGAATGACCACCCCCCACCACCTTTCCCCTCCATTTCCCTAGCAGCAGCTTGTTGGGCAGGAAAATAAAGCACCGGGAAGGAAATGAGACCTGGAGAATAAATTAGGCTTTCTTTATTAATTTGTCAGAACTAATTAACATCTCCCCTAGGTTTGTCTCCTCTCCAGATGCCCCCTAGAGCCAGGAGGAAGGGAAGAGTCTGGGAGAGGCCAGGTTTGGGCTTTGGAATCCCAGCCCTGGCCTCTCCCCACAATACCAACCCCAGAGCAGAGAAGGACAGAAGAGGTGTCACTCAAAGGGGGTCTGTGGTCCCGTTCTAGGGACTGCAAGCTGAGAGGGCCCCCACAATGCATTTTGTCCACTTGCCTAGGGTTCTGAGCCCCAGACACCCCTTGGCATTTTACCTCTCTGTGTTTGTGTCACTTCAATGAAACAGAGTCAGTGCCCACCTCATTCAGAGTTGGTGGGAGGATGGCCTGCGACAAGCACTGCTCAGAGAAAAGTCAGCTCTCATTATTTTGAGAGACAGAACTTCAGTAAAGCTCTGGAAGGTTCTGAGTTCTTTCATACTCATGAGGTCACTTTGGTTTGACCCTAGCAATAATCCCAAGAGCTATAACAAGCAATAATTGGTGTTCCCATTTCACAGATGACACAGCTGAGGCACAGAGCAGTTACATACGTTACAAGGCCACACAGCGAATGGCTGGCAGTAGCAGGATCAGTGCTTAGCTGAGCAAGCACCCTGCTCCCCAGCCTCCCCTCCTGAGCACACACCCGTACCCCCACATCTGCCCCACTGCAGAGACCTGACTCACGGCTGGGAGTCTCACTTACTAACAGATGCCTCACTTCCTGGGTGTAAGTTCAAGGTCTCAGCCCAGGAGCCACCCCAAGCCACAGAAGCTCCAGTGCTACTGTGGGCTGCTCTTTGACTTGGGCAAGAGCCTGGATTTGTTTCGCAGAGTTGATGCCTTTTCTCATATACCCCCCATCCCAGAAAGGGGCCCAGCCCTGGTTTCAGAGAGTCACCAACTCTAAGAAGCACCTCTCAACAGGCGCAAGAGGCCCTTGACAGAGCCACGCCTTGCATACAACACCTTGAAGGGTTGCAAAATCCATTCTGTTTCATATCCCGCCATGCTGCGATCACATCCTAGAGGTTTCATTTCCGCTGAGCTACAGGACCCTGGGAATGTGGAAGTGAACACTCCCCACCCACCGTCCCACCCCCAGGCCTGAGAGCTTGTTGCCTTCCACACCGGCAGCCTGTTGGAGGGTGGCTGCAGAGCAGAGACCCCCAGACTGGCCAAGCCAGATGGAACCTGAAGGAAGGATCAACCGAGCAGCCTTCCTGTGTTTTAAATGAGGAAACTGAGGCTTGGAAAGAGAAAGCCACACAGTTCACTGGCTCTTGGCAGCAATGGTATTAGTACCTGGATCTCCTGACTCCCAAGCCAGGCCCCTTTCACGAACTAGGTGTCCGCACTTGACAAATGACATTGTAACTAAATGAATTTGTCCCATTAGGGACTCTCAGAGCCAAGAACGGGCAACCTTCCAGGGGAGGTGGGGTGTATGCCAATGGTGTCAGACCAAAGGTCAGCATCCAGTGCTAGGTCACACCACACCCCCTCCCTGCCTCAGTGACCACAAGGGCAGATTCTCCCCCAGGCCTCCTGGCAAAACCCTCAGGCGGGCCCTCACCCCAGCAGGAGACATAGAGTCCTGTTTCAGGGCCTCGAATCATGAACACGGTTGTCGCTACAGTGCCTTTTCTCCAGTAACACAGTTCCGGCTCCACAGTTTGTTTCATCTGATGGTCTCCCCACACCTCAGGGGCTGGGGTGGTGGTGGTTCCCACTTTAAGAGGGGGAACAGAGACCCAGAGAGGTTGTGATTTTTCCACAGAGCTAGACCTGGAAAGCAGCCCCATCTTCTGAGGCCTTGGAGAGAAAGGGTGAGCTGGTGGGGTACACACTACACTTGGAGTCAGGAGACCTGGCTTTGAATCCTGGCTCTGCCACTAACCGTGACCTTGGCAACCCCGAATGCCACTTAGTCTCGATGTCTTCAGCTGTCTCCTAACACCTGCCTTGGAAGGCTGAGGACTTCATGAGCACTCCAGGGAATGCACCTGAGCGTCTTTCAAAAGGCCCTACCCCAGACTCCTGCCACTCTCCCTTGCATGTTTGTGTGTGATGAGGGAGCAGGCATAGATGGAACGGGCCCTCCAGTCATCCTGTGACTCCAGCCAGGCCTCGAGGCCCAGCCGTGCCTGCCCGCCAGAGGGGCCAGAGTTGCAGGGGTGGGGCGGGCCGCTGGGGACAGGGGCCTCTGCTCTCCAGGACTCGGGGCTGGGCATTGACAGAGCTGGGTGTGGCCGGCCTGGGGAGAAGGACGCAGAGAGAGGGAGGAGCTGGGCTAGTTGGCGTCTGCTGGCCGGGGGCCGTGGGAAAGAGTCCCAGAGTTCCCTTGAGGACAGTCGGAACTCTTAGACTCCAGGAACTCAGGGAGGAGACTGGGAAAAGTCCCCTCAGCTCAGGTCAAAGCTCCAGCACTGGTCCTTGTTTTCCTGCATCCTTAGGGCTCATCACATGCCACAGTATAAACACAGGCCTGTGCTGGTACCTACCAGGGGGCCGGCTGGCAGAGACACATGGCACTTCCCCTTATCCTCTGCAGAGATGATGATCCTAGCTCTTTGCAGAGCTCTCCTGGGCCCCTACCTGAAAAACATAGGACTCCAGGACCAGGGCAGGCACCACAGGCCAGAGTGAGGATGCTGATTTTCGAGGAAACAATTGAGCTGTCTGACACCCATTGTGGAGCTTTGAGGCTGCCCATTTTTCTGCAGGCTGGCACAGGGCAGCTTAGAGAATCCACACAAATGGGAGCAGCTGTGGCCTTTGGGGAGGGCCTGGAGCCCACTTTGGGATGCTAGAAAGGGTCTTGCTCTGACCCTGAGGAATGGTCTCAGCTTGCAGCCCTGTCCATGATCCTAGGGTACCCACATATCAGTTTCGCCACCTCCAGAGCAATTATTCTGTGTCAGGCACTTGGCTAACCATGTACATACGTTATTTTACTGAATCCTTATAGCCATTTTGTGATAAAGTATTAGAAACTGGGGTTTCATGTTACAGATGAGGAAACTGAGGCTCACAGGGTAAGGCAACTTGCCAATGAGTGGAAGAGCCCAGCCCCAGGTCTGTCCACCATGCGAACTCCCTCTCTACTCTCCACTGCTCTCTCCTTATGGGGAGGAACTACCTGATCCCCAGCCCTGGTACCTGATCCCACATGCCCAAGCACACCATGGGACAGATTGTGCTTCCCTTATAATAAGAGGAATTGAGGGTAGATATCAGGAAGAACTTCTCCACTACTCAGGGGTATAGAACACTTTAGCAGTTTCCCAGGGGGAAATGGTAGAATCTCATATGCTGAAGACCGTGAAAGAAGGGGAAGAGACAATTTAATCACCTGGGTGGGGTTTTGTGGAGTAAAACCTTGCCAGTGTCGGGGGTAGTTATGACAGCACCCTTCAGCTGGGAAAGTCTAGAGGCTCAGGCCCCCAACTCTGGTGGGGTATGACCTCTGTCTGCTGCCACCTTGCCAAAAGGGTCCAGCATGGGAATTGCTTTTCCAAGAACTTTCTTGTCCAAGTCCACTTGGGAGCCTTTGCCAACTAGTGCCTGGGGCAGCATGTCAGGCAGGGCAGGGCCTGGGCCTGGGCAGGTGTGGTCCCCAGCTACCTGTCTGGGCACTAGTTGGATCCACATTGAGAGCTCTGCCATGCCAAAACCCCGGTTTTTGCTCTTTCTTTTCCCCTTCCCTGTCCCTGGTAAGGAGCTGGGAGAAGACTCAGGCTGGGCAGGACACCGAGGGCTTCAGCCTCTGCAGCCCATCCTGCCTGTCCTCTGGGGAAATCACTCTTCAGAATTTGTTGAGAACTTATAATGTGCACACCAGTGATTAGGCACTGCCTGCCTAGAAAGCTGGAATCTGGTCTTAAGAGAGGGTTCCAGTTGAGGAGACAGAAAACCAAGGGGCAGTGTCAGTCTGAAAGGGAGCACAGTGGACCACAACCAGAAGACTCAGGTTCGGGTTCTGGATCCACCACCCTTTAGCTACACAACTTGGCAAATTTCTCAACCACTGGGCCTCAGTTTCTCCCTCTGTAAAATGGGACTATCAGTCCTTGCTCCAGAAGATGGAAGTGAAAAATAGGAGATTCTGAGTGCCTGGTAGATAGAAGGTATTCAGCCAATAGTGGTGGAAATAAAATAACTTGCTGCCAGAATTCTGGGAAGCAGGAAGCACAGATACTGACCACCAGTATTTATTTTTAGGGTTGCGGGAGCCTACGAAGGAGAGGGGCTGAGCCTTATAAAAACTTGGGCACATAATCTGTCTAATCACTTTGAAGATGAAAAGTTGCTGTGAAATGCCAACCGTGCTGATGGGACCAGGGCTGGAGCAGAGATGAAGAGACACAGCAGGGCCAATTGTGCAAAAAATAAAATGCATATTTTTTTAATTGCTTGAGTTCACATCTCATAAAAGAAAAAATAATAAAGCGCAAGCCCTTGCATTTCCCTACCCCCCTCTCTCGGCTGTGAGTCAAGAACCAGTTCCCACCAGTCTTTCTGGGGTTCAAAGCGTCTCCCCGCCCTAATCCTCACCTCGACCTCCCCGCCCCCCACATCTATTGTGGGTGAGAGGGCCTTTCCCTGAGCTGCTCGCAGGCTGCCCCTCCCAGGCCCGGCCTCTGCCCGCTGCAGCGGGCAGCACACAGAGTGGGCAGGCCTCATAGGAGGCGGGGAGGGGGCTGGAGAGACAGGATGCCCTCCCTCCTCCCCTGCCAGGTCTCCTGTTGATCTTAGTGCATTGTGCAGGTGACATCGCGCGGCTATCTCACTATTCTCAGGCCTCAGCATTGGTTCTTCCCTAGACAATGTGGCAAGATGCCTTCCAGCCTCGCCCCATCCGCCCCTATGCCGCCTGCAGTCCTGCTTTCCGGGGCCTGCCTGAGCCTGTAACCCAGGAGAGGTGGAGGCCTTGGGCCAAAGACCCACTGAGCCAACCCTGTGCAATTCCCACCCTGGGGAACCCACCCTTTCCTGGTTCCTGCCAGCCCTGGTCCCTGTGTCCTCAGAAATGGGACAGACCTCCTGCCCCTTTCTCTTGCCCCCAACACCCAGCCCTGACTCACCTCCCTCATTTCCCACTCAAGCTGTGTCTCTGGGACATGTCAGGACAGGGCACCTGATTCTGGTCCTACAGGCTCAGGCTCTGCCCGCTCTCAGTGGGGGTGGGGCAGCTGGGGAGGATTTGCTTTGACCTGCTTCTTCAGCTTCCCTCCCTCCTCCAACCCCACCCCAGGGGGCGGGCGGGGTTGAACTCCAGAACACCTCCTGATTGCACTGACAAGAGGCCCACTCTGCTCTTCGATGCTGAAGTCTAGCTGGGGGTAGGGTGCTGCCCATCCTCACCTTACTCTAGGCAGCCTGAGTCGCTGAGCACTGTGCGGGGGACACCAACCTGCCCTCCAAAGACAGACTTTTACCTTTGGGCTGGGTTCAGTGGCTCACGCCTGTAATCCTAACACTTTGGGAAGCTGAGGCAGGTGGTAATCACTTTAGGCCAGGAGTTCAAGACCAACCTAGGCAAGACCCCCAACTCTACCAAAAATTTAAAAATTAAAATATATGTATAGACTTACCCAGACACCTTCACCCACCAGGACTGTAAGGCTGTGCCTTGTTGCCTCTTCCTCACCCCTTTGGCACCAAGAGTGTAGAAGAAGGGTCAAGAGACTTGGATTCTTTTTGGCTTTTCAATTAGTTTATTATATAACCTCATGTAAGACACCTCACTTTTCTGGGTCTTAATTTCAACATCTACAAAATAGGTAGCACCTTCCTCTTGATTATTCCAGGATCCAGGACCCTCCTGGTAAAGGGGGCTGGAGGAGCGTGATGGGATCAGCACTTGCAAACCAACCTGGGGAGCAAAGGGGGGTGCTCCCACTTCCCACTGGAGGCATGAATTGAATGCGGCCCCCACATATGCAGCCCATCAGCCTTTCTCTTACAGAGAATCTCATTTTGGTAAATAAGCATGGCCCTCACCAGGGATTCTGGTCCTTCTTTGATCACTCAGCTTCCTAAGAAGTCTTGATTAAAAGATCGCAGTGACCTGAGAAGCCACCAGGCACCCCCATCCCTGAGTTGGTTCTCTGGGATTTGACTCTGGCTCTCAGTTCATCCAGCAGACCTGGATCCAGGGCCTACTGCGTGCCGGGTGTCAGGCTGTGTGCTGGGACGTCGGGGGTGAGCACGTCTGTCTTCATGGCACAGCCAACACTGTGTGCCAGGGAGAGCTGTTTGAGCAAGGAGCCAGGTGCTGTGGGAACCTGAGGTCAGAGCTGATGCCAGTGTGGGACCTGAGTGTTGAAGGGTGGGTAGGAGTTTTCCACTGGCAGCGGGGACTGGTGGGGAGGGTGGGGACCTGGGAGGGGTGGGAGAGGGAGATGGGAATATGGGCAGGGACAGATTGTGAAGGCCTGATAAGTAGTTTAGATTTACCCCAAGGCAGTGGAGAGCGACCGGGGACTTGTGTAACAAGATCTGATTTGTATTTAAATCCACTTATTAGCAGTGTGGCTTGGACAGATCACTTCCCGAGCCTGAGCCTCAGTTTCTCAGCATACTGGGGAGACGGATTACCTAACGTAATACCCATTAGACAGTGGGTGCTCAGTAAAGGTGTGATATTTTCAGTACTGTGATTCCAGATAAGAGACAGTAGGAGCCTCACCTCCCTGTGGAGTTGCAGGGAGCCGAGGGAGCTGAATGGCTGTATTCTAGACCTTCAGAAGGAGAGTCAAGGGGCTATATTGATGCAACTGTGGTTGGGCCCTGGGAGGGGTAGGGCTGAAGGAGCAGCTGGAGAGAGGAGTTCAGTGCACATGGAGGGCAAGATGCCTGGGGGGGCAGCAGGACACCTGGGTTCAGGCCCTCAGCACAGGGGTATCATTGAGGGCCTGCCCTGGAGTGGACCATGGGCCAAATCAGCATCCCCATCCCCTTCTCTCCCCTATTTCTTCCTCCAGGGTTCCCCTCCCCAGAGTAATACAAAACTGGTGTGTCACCATCAAGTTCAAAGAGCAAACGTGTTGCCCACACTGCCCTCTTCAGCCCACATCACTTCAGGCCAAGGCAGGCGGCTGTGAGCCAAGCAGGAAATAGATAGAAGGTCAGGAACCTTCTGCAATGAGAGGTAGTGAGCTTCCAGGGGACCCAGGCCTCCCAACTGCCTGCCTACCACCAACTGCTCCTTCTCGCCACAACTGGCTGCCTCCTGGCTTGAGCTATTTGCTTATCTGGTGACCCAGAGGCAGGGTCTTTGTAACCACAAGAGAAACCACCACAGTACATTTCTATGGGCTAGTGTTCAGTTGATGATTCTTGCCCAGGTGCTCCTGGGCCATGATCACACTGCTGAGCCAGCCGAGCCACGGAGCCAAGCCATCCAGGCTCAGATCACTCCTTCCCACCCCTCTTCTCCCTGGGTCCGACCCTGCCAGCTCCTGCTTCCCCTGATTCCCACTAACTGCTTGGCAATCTTGGAAGAGCTCTCCTTCTCTGCCCCTCCATTTCCCCCTCTGTGAATGGGGAGTCAAGAGCAGACAGTCCCTGTCTCAGAGCTGCTAGCTGACCAATGCTCAGCCTGGTCTTTCCTTCTGCCCCAGACTGGTCTCAGCCTGAGTTCCCTGTCCCTTTGACTTTCCTGTTTATACACAAAATTCACCCACAATATTTTAGTTTTCCAATCAAATCATTAATTACCCCAGTAATTAAATCTAATTAGCAGTGGTAGGGGCCTTTCTGAGTGAGGAGTCATTAGCTAGGGTGAAAATGCACGGGGGAGAGAGAAAAAGAAAACCCACCCTTTCCCAGCATTAAAAATGAAAGCAGGAGTCAGCGCTGCAACATGGAGGGCCCCTACTAAAGCTGGGCCTCACTCATTAAGCTAATTTGGTGTGCTATCCCAGTAGCCTCTGCTGGGGAAGCCCGGCTTCACCGTCCAACATTAGAGGTGTGTTGGAGCCCCCTGCGTGTTTTGGAGGCTGAGCTGGGCCTCCCAGGACCCCAGTGCCCCAACTCAGGGAGGGGTGTGAGGAGCCTCTGCTGACTCTTCATGAGCACCTGCTGCCACTTCCTGGGCTTCATGGTGGTCATGGCCCAGAGTGGGAGGGGCTGAGTGAAAAACGAGGAAAAGAATAACAGCACCTTCCACTCCTGGGCCTTGGGAAAGGACAGAGCTTGGCAGTCACTCTCCTCTCTTGGCCCGAGGCTGAGGGGACTCCCCACTCGGGGTAGTTGTGAAGATTAAATGAGATTTTACATGTAAATGGATGACATCACAGGTGCTTGATGCGTGCAGCTGTCATTCACCCTTTAGTTTTCAGAGGTGCTCAGCATTCCTTTTTCACTTGGTCCTCACCACCCCACAGCTCCAGGAGGCAAAGGGTGCAGGTGCCACCTCCAGGTTTCACAGGTGGAGGAGCTGAGGGGCAGAGAGAGAGAGACACACACCCCGAGAGTGGCAGGGTTTGGACTGGAAGTCAAGTCTCTGAGCTCTGGGACGAGGAGGCAAGAGGAACAGGGGAAGAATGGGGGCTTTTCATGTCTGGAGTCTTCAGTCATATCCTTGTGCTGGGCTGCCGGGGTTGCTAGCCCCTGTAGTCCTGGGGGAGGTGGAGGTGTCAGCTCAGCCTCCCGCAGAACGAAGGAGGAGTGGCAGGGGTGGGAGGATGGTGCCTGCCCTCTCTACAAGGCACTCCCAGCAGCCCCATCGTCAGCCTCAGGCCAGCACTGCCAGCAGGCAGGGGCTGCTCACCCAGGTCTGGTTCAGAGGGTGCTGGCCGCTCTTTTCCCCAGGAAGGGGAGAGAGGGAGGCCGTGGAGCTATGAGTGTGGTGAAGAACGTCACCTGTGGAGACAGACTGCCCTGATCAGAATCAGTCTTGCAGACTGTGTGACCGTGGGCAGGTGACTTGACCTCCCTGAGTTTCCTCATCTCTAAGATGGGGACAATCTCGCTCCTGGAGTGTTGTAAGGATTAAGTGAATTAATGTATGTAAATATCCAGCCCCAGGCCTGGCACAGATCAGCAGTGCACATGTGTTAACTGTTCTTGCCATCCTTTGGGAGGGGCCTGGCAGGGAACCTGACCCTTTTGTACTTTCTCCCCCAGGGAGGGAAGGAGGGGAGCACTTGAGCCCCAGCTTCTGCTGCTGCTAAGGGCATGGGCCCAACCTTGGGGTGGCCGAAAGGAGGCAGGTGGCAAACATGGGGTCCACTTCCCACCCCCGCCACCCACACACACACACACACACATCACTGCCACAAGCCACTTCTCGGCTTTCAGGGGCCCCTCTGCACAGAGCCAAGAGAGCATGGGAATGGAAGGAGGGAAGGGAAGGGAAGCAGGTGGCCACCGAGGCTGAGCTGCATCCGCAGCTGGGCGCGAGCCCCGAGCCTACGTGCTGGTTCCTCCGTGAGGCAGTGTGCGGAGCAGGCCCTGGCACGCCAACCCCTACCCAGTGACTCCTGAAACCCCGACAAGTCTGAGCTGGAAGCGGGGCTGGGCGAGGCTCCTGATAGATTCGTGTTGGGCAGAGGGATGGTCGGGCGGGGAAGCATGGGAAAGACCCCACTCTCGAAACTCTGACACCACTGGGGATGCTGGGAGGGAGCAGGTGGGGCTGGGGACATGCGGCCAGGCTCAGGGCTTCTACCTTCTCCCTCTCAGGCCCCTCACCCCACATGCCCCTGCCCGGCGGGGCAGGAAGAAGACAGGCCGCGGCAGAGGAGGGATGTGCTCCCCTCAGCATTTTGCCAAGTGATGATTTCAGTGCTGCTGAGAAAGAGGGAGGAAGGGAGGATGACAGCCGGGAGCTGGGAGCAGGGCAGGCCAGGCAGGAGGGCTCCCAGAAAACTCCTGGGACTGGGGAGGTCATTTTATACAGGAGCTCTCCCTCCAACCAAATGAGGTGGATGTGCTCCGGCCCATTTACAGGTGAAAAGGCTGGGTTTCGGGAAAGTTATGAGACTTGTTCATAGGTCCTACTGCTAGTTAAGTGCCAAGGCTGACATTAGCACCAGGAAAAACAAGGAAGCCTCTGCCTTCCCACCGCCCCTTTCAGCCTTCTGGGCACTGGGGAAAGGGAAAGCCCAGGGACCTGGATGTGTCCACAGGCCCTGCTGTAGCGGGGCAAGAGCAAGGCAGAGAGTGGGCAGCACCGTGCCCCCTGCAGGCAGACCACCCGCAGAGCAGCCTTCAGCTCAGCTGGCCTCTCCCCAAAACCCCATGTCACAACCTTTTGAAGATCCCACTTTCCCCGCCCACCTCAGGATGGGGGACTCTCAGGTGGAAAGAAAACTGTGAACTGTGGCTGCCTGCCCTCCAGGGTGACCCCAAGCTGGGGCTGGGTTTAGACCTGGAGCTCCAGAGGAGCTGAGTTCAGGCCTGCTGCTGCACTGAGGGCCATGCGTGGAGTTTGCTTCGTTCTGTGGTTAAACCAGGAAGAGGTTAACACTAGAGTTGGGGTCATGACCCGGGTTTGTGTTGTGGTCTAGGTTGGCACTGATGTTGAGACCTGGGCGGGGGCTACTCTTGGGGTTTCTGTGAGTGGTTGGGGAGAATGCTTTTGGTGGTTAACACTGGGGCAAGCACATTGAGTTGGGGTATTCCAGCTCAGGCTGTGTCCTGAGAAAGGGTGGATGAGTTTGGGAGGCTCAGCACTAGTTGAACAAAAGGCCATTGCTTATGTTTGGAGGATAACTGCCCATTTTCACAGGACCATTGGCCAGGGGAGAGAATCGGGGTTGGGGTGGTAGTTGAGCCGGAAGGTAGGTTGAGGTGGGGGGCGGCGTGAAAAGTGAGTGGCTTCTGCAGTGATGGAAGGGCCACTCAGAGTCCCTGCCCCTGTCCCCGAGTTCCCCCACCTCTGTGGCATCCTGTGATGTGGGACCCTCCCCACCCCAGGCCCCACCCAGATGCTACTCAGACATAAGCCTGAACATCTGGGCACGGGCTGGTCTCCCCTCTGTGGGGTTTGGGTTCTCTCATCAGCCAAGGGAACACAGGGCCGGGGTTTTGCCTCTTACCCCAGCAGTCCTGAGGCCCTGATCTGCTGGTGCCTGGGGGACCTGCCCTCCTGGCCTACCTCCGGCAGCGCTGCTGGAGACCCTTTGGTGGGGGCTCCTGAGGCCACACTAGCTGAAGAAGTCAAGAGAAAACTCAACTTTAAGCCTTTGCTAGTTCCGTTTCCCATCCCCTTTTTTTTCTGGCCCCAGCCCCTGGTCATTGAAGCACATCGGATAAAGACTGCCACCCCCCAGCTCGGAGGTCTGTGATCCAGGAGCAGAGCTCATAGGGTGGCAAGGAAGCAAGGAAGCCTTTATTTTTTATTTATTTATTTTTTTTGTTGTTGTTGGATGGAGACAGCCCTGAGCCAGGAGACATGGAAAGAGAGGCTGGCCTGCTGGGGTCTCAGTCCATGGTTGTGCCACCTGAGACACTGCAGGGTGACGTTTCACCAAGGAGGGGCTGCGAGGAAAGGAGCTCCGGCTGTCTCCTCCAGCATCACAGCTCCCTTTCCTGGCACCGCCTAAGTCCAGGTACAGAAGAGGCCCTGAGCACCTTGTGCCAAGGCCTGGTGCAGTTCTTGTATCATCCATACAGGGAAGGGTTCAGCAGAAGGCCCAGCCCCACCTGGGAATGTTATGTCTAACCCAGACGTTACGTGCAATTTGAATGCAGTATCGCTCATTGGGTCCAGACCAGTGAGTTCTGCCCAGAAATGAAATAGCAGGTTTGGTGCCTATGCAGATACCTTCTTCTTCTCAAGCTGCTTTGGAAGCAGGTGGAGGGAAGAGATTGCTCTGGGGCCCTGGTCACTGATCCCCACTCGCTGTCCAAGAGTTCAAGGTCACCACTGTGCTGTGGCTACAAAGTATTATTTCAGGGGTCATTGCGGTGGGGATTGGTGAGACCAAGACCTTCTCGAGGGGATGGGGTCGAGAGCCCTCCATCCCAATGTTGCTCCAGTGGCCCCCACCTGCTGCTCTGGCAGTGCGCACGGAGCTCCTAGCCCTGCTGCCTGTTTGGAATGTGCGGGGCACATTCAGAACTTCTGAACAGTCAGGTTGCCTTCTCCTCATTGCCCCTTCAGCAGCAGGGCCCCACCCACACCCTGAAGCCTGAACCGATAGTCCCTCACTTTGCAGCTCCCTCCCACAGCAGAGTGCCTCTGGGCAGGCAGAATTCTGACTCCAAAGCCTTGCCTAGGAGCAGGAGGTGCCTGGGGCATGGATGGAAGTGCTGGGAGTGCCAGATGCCAGCCCTGGGTGGGACGGGCTCAAGGGCTGATGCTGTAGGGTCTGAATGCCACAGGGAAGGTGCGTGTGCACATGTGTGTGCTGCTCCTGAGGCTGCGAGGCTGGAACCACCTGCAAGTCTGCAATCAGGCCCTCCTATGTTCAAAGAAAAGCCAGGAGAACCAGGCCCAGGGTGAGGAGCGCAAACGGCAAAACTTAATGACTTTAATATGAAAGAATTTGCCACTAATTAAGCACAAACACTCCACTAATGCACAGAACACATGTTGTGGATTTCACTTAAGCAGAAACCAAATGAGGTGAAAATCCTTCCAAAATGATAGCAGTTTACCAGCCGAAGGAAGACGCTGCCTGACTTTGTTTCAGCTCTTAGAAACCTAGCGCAGCCCCTACCTTGGCAGCCTCCCTCCCCTCCCTGTCTAAAGGTGCTCACAACACCCCACCGCATGTCCCCTGTGTCCCTCCCCTCGCTGCCCCTACCCACCCTCTTGCATCCTCTGAGGACACACATGCCACTCTATAACCCATATTCTGACAGCCAGCTCCCCAGAGGACCCTGTTCTCTCTACCTGTCTCCCCCAAACACAACTCACTGCCCCTCCTACAGAGCCCAGACTCTCCAGCCCTGTTCCCAGCCACTTCTGGACCCTCTGTCCCTGGACAAACAAGGACAGTTCCCCACCAGAGTGCCCCCCAACTATGTTTCCCACTCCTCTCTGCACCAGCTTGCCACAGCCAGCCCTGCATGTCCCTCGTGAGCTCCACCATCCCTGCCTGAGCTTTACTCCCTTCCTCTAGGCCAGTGGTCTTACCCGGGGATGATTTTGCCTGCCATGGGAGATGCAGCAATGTCTGTGGTTATTTTGTCATCACAAATGGAGGGGGTGCACTTGGGTAGAGGCCAGGGATCTTGCTAAACTTCTGCAACACACAGGACAGCCCCCCACAACAGGACAGTCCCCCCCTCCAAAATGTCATTGGTGCGGAGTTCATTCGTGCCCTGGGGGAGTAGCCTCATCACTGCAGGGGTCTGCTCAGGATCACAGGGTGGGCTTAGAGCCGGGATGGGAATCAGGGAACCAGAGCACGTGATTTCTAGGTAGGTTCTTTCTCCTAGCAAATAATACAACTGCTTGTATAGCATAGCTATGGGCCAAGCACTACGCCAAGAGCAAAACTGAATTATTTCATTGGATCCTCAAATCAGCCCTAGGAGATAGTACTATTACTGGCCCCATTTTATACATGAGGAAACTGAGGCATGGAGAGATTAATGCACCTTTCTCGAAGTCAACCAGCTAAAAAGCAGCAGACACAAACCCAGGTCTATCTGAATTCAAAGTCAGCGCTCATAGATTACTTTCTACCCCTCCCCCCGCTGCCATGTTCCTCTTAATCTCTCATCTGTCAGGCCTTCTACACAACCCCTAGAACTCCCACCCCATCCCTATTAGAATGAGTGTTCCCTGCAGGTAGGCATTGTATACCTTCCCCCACTGCCTTCCACTCACCCCCCCGGCCATCCGAGCAGGCAGCTGCCCATAGCTGGACAGGGCATCGGGAGGGTTGGGCGCTGGGGTGGCCCCACAGGCCCCTCCTGGGATGAGGCAGATCGAGAACCCTCTGCTTCCAAACAGGTGTTGAACATCAGCCTGAAGCCTGCGGGGCTGAGACAATGCAGATGTCAATACTGAGCTTTTAAAAGATTCTCCGGGGAAGCCTGGGGAATTCTCCCTCTGCTTTCTCGGCAGCCCCCCGCCTCTCCCACCCCCACACTAGCCTTCCAAAGAGGCTGCTGCCTACACTCCCCAAAATGTGTCATTAAAAATGCACACTTGCCGAGGGAAATCCAGGCTGCCGTGTCTGCTACAAGACAGTGTTGTTTGCTGCAGCTGGGGTGGAGAGGGTTGGCATCAGCGGCAGACAATGGGACCTGCCTGAATCTTGGCCTCAGAGCCAGGGGGTTCCAGGTTGGCCAGACCATGAAAGGCTGGGACAGCAGAAGCCCCAGCGGTGGTGGGAGGGGCGATGAACCGGGGAGTGCAGACACAAACAAGGCTAAGATCTCCAGAGCAGGGCCTCAGGGATGGAGTTTGCTTGGGTGAGAAAAATGTTTGTCACCTTATGGTCTGGCGTGAGGAAGGAAGAGGGCCTAGGTGCTGGGAACTGGGGCAGAGGAGAGAGGAAAGCAATTGAGAAATGTCTCGGGGAAGCAAGCAGAAGTCGTGGGGTTGGAGGTGGGCGAGGGATCGGGCCAACCTTCCCCCTGTTGGGATGTGGCTTCCTGCTTTCAGTCAAGGAAGGAGAAGATTCGGACCCTGACCTGCTTCCCTTCCATGCAGGTGTGAGGCCTCACTTTCCATTTCTGCCTTTTGGATAATATGCAGTTTCCAGGAAGCTGCAGTCAGACCTGAGAAATGGCTAACCCTGGCTCAGGCCCCCAGCTGCTCACAGCCTTTTCCACCTGCCACTTGGGCCCCCTGTGTTTCCCATGTGCCAGGCACTGGGTTCATTCAAGTCCTGGCCTTTTCCAAACTCCGTATGAGAAACGCTAGGACAGGTGTGCGCCGAGATACTGGGACCCTGGGGGTGCAGGAACACGCAATCCATGAAGGTGGGAAGAGGAGGGCTCCGGGAAGCCTCCCCCTTGAAAGTCAACTCTAAGGTGATTCCGGGAAGAATGAAAAGGACTTGCGCAGGTAACGGGGGAGTGGTGCGGTTTTCGCCGAGGCAGCAACCTCAACCGACCGGATTGTTAAGTGTGGCAAGGAAGAGAGAGAAGAGTTGGGAGAGGAAGTGGCTGGAGGTTGGGGATGCCCAAGATAGGGTCTAGAGCCCGGAAAAACTTCATCCTGAGGGCTGCAGGATACCATGGGAGGGTCTGAAGTAGTAAGTGATTTGCATCTTACAGAGATCCCTCTGGCAGCTGAGTGAAGGAGTTTCAGGGTGGAGCTGGAGGCAGGAGACTGTAGACTTAGCGTGATGCAGCAGTGGACTAGGGAAGGGATGATGTTGGCCTGGACAAGGGGCAAGGCTTGGGGAAATGGAGGGAGGCAAGAGATGGCAGGTGCTAAGGTTCAAAGGAAAGAGCTAGTGCAAAGTCCCAGCCCGGGAATATTGAGAAAATAAGAAAGGGAGACTGCCGGAGGTGAGGTGGAGGGAGGTGTGCACTAGTGAGAGAGGGCTTAGGAAGTTTGAATCAGGACCAGCGGGGCTGGAAAATCAAGAGGAATTCAAAAGCTGTTTAGGAGCTGGCATCAGTAAGACTTGGTGATTACTTGACTGTAGGAGAGTCCCTGTGTGCTCCAGCTTTGCCATGCTGTGGCCTGGATTTTCCTGGCATCCCACTTAACCTGGGAGGTCTTCCTGGAAGAGCTGGGCAGTGTAGAGAGACAGAGCAGCCACTTGGTAGATAGGTCCCCAGAAGTTGATCCAAGGCAAAGGCACAGCTGGGTCAGAGTGAGCTGGACAGGTCATGTCCAAAGTGCAGTCCCCCAAGGTCATCAGAGCCAATATTCCCCATTTTACAGCAAAGGAAACCACCCTATCCAAGGCCATACAGAAAAACAATGAGCAAGTAGTGGGGACCAGAGCTCGCCTCTCTCAGTGTCCAGGTGAGCAGAGCAAAGGTGGCAGGTACAGGAGAGTGATCCAAGAGGTGATGTCTTGAAGGCTAGAGGCAGGCAGGGCCAAGAGAGAGGCTCTGTGTTCCTGGGGTGCCACGATGGAGTCAGAGGCTGGCTCAGGACTGGCCCCATGATGGGCCATGTGGATGGGGCAGCCAGCATGAAACAGGCCTGCAGGACAGAATCCAGGTGTCCTCAGCCACCTGGTGGGAGAAGGCAAAACTCAGCTCCCTGACTCATCTCTGACCCCAGCCTGTCCTGCTGGAGGGAGGTGGGACTTGCCAGAGCACCCCCATCACTGCTGCCACGCCGGGGCAGCAGAGCAGGGCCAGCCTGGCCTGTCTGGAAGATCCTGGGCTCCTGCGCTGCCTCCTTCTCGGGGCTTTTCCCAGGCCGCCGTGCCCCCTCCTCTCCCACGCACTGTGCTCACCCGCCCAAGGCGCCGGGCGCCAGCTCCACAGCCCATCATTAAACAGCTCCATGTGGGGAGTTGGGGGGTCATCAGGCAAGAGGAAAACATCAGCAGTTTTTGTGACCCCAAAGGAGGGGCGGAGGCACTGACTTGGATGGTAGCAATTAGCCCCTGACTGTGGGCTCATGGGATGTTATCAGCACCTCCCACCAGCCAAAGTCTCTGCACTGCAGGCAGCAGGGGAGACAGAGATGCCAGACTAACAGCAGTGCAAGGCCAGGCCGGACTCAAGTCCAGACTGTGCGCAGCCCCAGGGAAAGGTGGCTGGAGCACCAGGACAAGAACTGGGTCTGCTGGGTCTACTTCTGCTTCCTTGCTGAGCCCTCCTCCCCATCCTGAGTGTAGAGGGGAGTCTGGAGGCAGGAGGGGGCAGCCTGGGCACCCGTGAATCTCCTGGACTAATGGGGAAATGAGACAGGACAAGCTCAGTGAGAGCCCTGCCCCTCTGGGTTTTGCTGACAGAATGATCGGAGTCTAGGTGACACTGATTGGCAAAACCTGTGAAAGGAGGGGACCCCAGAAAGGAAGTGGGTGTCCTGATTGCACGCTCCTCCACACCGGCCTCTCTCCCAGGCGGAGCTGGCCTTGGCTTCAGAAGGTATGGAGTTGGCCAGCCCTGGGAGTTGACAATCAGGGAAGCGGCTGCACTGGGAGGAGGGGGCCTATAACCTTTAGGTCACTGTGCTGCCTCAGCAGGGTTTCAGATGGAGGCCCTGCCCCTCCCAGTGGGTGAGTCACTCCCACTTACCACTTAGCCGGTTTCTCACCGGACATCCTGTCCCCTTCTGCCAGTTCCTGGGGTGGGGGTGGGAGCATCCCTGGAAAGCCCTAGAAATGCATCCCGAAGGATATCGATTTCACAGAGGCCCTTATGGCGGAGCCCAGCACCCACCTCAGACACACACGTGCACACAGACCCACTCCCTCTCTGCAATGTGCCGCCACTTTACTCCAGGCCAAGTTGGCTGCCCCTGCCCAGCCACTTCAAGGCCCCCAGGCAGAGTCTCAGGAAAGGAGGGGCTGGGGTGGGCTGGCACAGCCAGGACAAAAGAAGTGGTTTATGCCAGGAAGCCCCAAATCCCCCTCGCCTCACCTAGGTACCCACTTTCACCTACCCCTGAGCCCAGTTCCAGCCTGCTTGGCTAGGAAGAGGGGTCTGGGGGTTAAAAGGGCAGGAAGAGAAACTGCTTTAAGTGGGTATGTGGGGAGCGAAGTGTGCCACACCCCGCTGCGTGGGAACCTGTGGCACTGGCTTGCGGATGAGCTCCATGGCAGGCAGGGCCTTGGGGAGCAGGTTTGTCCGCCACAACTGAGGAGTCTTTGTGTTTTGTTGCTGAGCTCAGGCGTTTGCAGGTCTGTGACGTCTCAGGGGGCCGGCCTGAGGCCCGTCATGCTGGCTCAGCACTTCTGGGAAGTGAGGCAGCCTGAACTGCCCAACCTGAGATCTAGTGGGGAAACTGAGGCACTTGAGAACAAGCCCCAGGGGCATGGGTCCCAGATCCTGGAGCTCATAGGGTGGTCAGGGAGAATATAGGCAGTGCTTGAGTTCAGGAAAAAAAAAAAGACTGATTCTTTTGATATCTGTGGGATGCAAGAGCCCCTCTGCTGAGGGCACAGGTTCTATGGATGCCTCTGCCCTTCACTCCCCACCTCTCTAGCTCTTATTGCTCAGCACATAGCAGCCTCCTGCAAGTGCCCACACACACACACACACACACACACACACACACACACCCGGGATCCCCAAAGCCCCTGTTTCTGACCTATCACCTGACACCCAGTCAGGTGACCTGCAGATGCAATGGCCACCCCAGTATTGTAGCTGGTGTTTGTGCCATTTCTCACAAGGGGCAATGGAGGCACTGAGGTTATATTCTAGGAGGGACACCACCCAGAAAGAGGCCCCAGGGAGTTAGGTTGAGCCAGAGTCTGTTTTTGTGGCAGGGTGGGAAAGCACTGGGCTGGGTGCTGCTGTTCTGTGTCCCTGAGCAGGTGACCTAATCCCTCCAGTCATTGTAAATGATGGATTGCATGGTCCATCAAGCTCCAATATGCTACCATTTTAGTGGTCCCAGTTCCCACATCTGGGCCAGCCTCTGCTTCTCATGTAAGAGGGAACCTGCGGGAAAGGAGACAGGATGTGTTCTGTGGACCAGCCCTGACTGCTTAGGGAATCAGAGAAAGTCAGCAGGGAACTCCCCAAGCCCTGGACCCTGCCAGTGGCAGGCGTGACATGGTCAACTCAACCCAAGGCCAGGCCTGCTCCTTTCATCTCCTGCAGGGGCTTACAATTGGTTGGGAGACAGGCTAGACACATATGCCAGGAAGTAGAAAATAAAGGGGTACAGGTCAGTGTTACATGTTATTGGGGTATTAATAGAACTGTCAGCTGAGTAGGAAGAGATGACAGTCACAAGGGCGTCCTGGAAGAGGGGCGCCTAGTAGCACTCCCTACAGTGTCCAGTATGGAGTAGGTGCTCAGCAAATATTTGTTGAATGAAGTTCCAGGGAGGGAGGCCTGTTGCTTCATAGATGAAAGATGATGGTGATGATGATGATGGAAGCTAGCATCTAATGAGCCTTTCATTTGTCCTAAGTGCTGCTTTCTGAGTTTCCCATGGACTCCCTCTTTTAATCCTTACGCAGTTTTATAGGGCAGGTATTAGCTATTATAATCCCCATCTTACAGATGTGCAACATTGGTGCAAACTGAGCTACAGAGAGGTGAAGTCATTTGGCCAAGGTTGCACAGCTCATCAATGGCAGAGGTGGAATGCAACCCCCTACTGCCTGGCTCCTAACAGCCCCGCCATGCTGCCTGAAAGGGTGGTGACGGAACAGCCCTTCAGAAGGTGGGAGACGCTAGCTCAGCTTTCAGGTTGTCAAGGCTGCAGTGTCTGGAGAAGCTTGGCAAGGAGAGGGGCTGTGCAGTCTTTAAGCCCCTGTTTCTGCTGCCTGTCCCTGGAGCAGGCTGCCTTTTATCAATCCTGGTCCCTTCTCGTGGCCCACCTGTTCCAGGATTCTTGCCCCCATCCAGCTCTTTCTTTCTTTCCGGTGGTGATCCCTGCTCCTCTGTTGACTCTAACATTCTAACCCGCCTGTTAGAGTCACCTGGACTCTGCTCCCGTCTGAAAACCTCCCAATCTAAAGAATGAGGGTCCTTCTCCCCAACCCTGAGTCCTTGGACCAAGGCAGGCAGCCCCTAATACGAGGCTTGGGTTCCCGGTCCCTAAGTCTGGAGTGGAGAAGTGGAGTTTTTAGGCCTTTCCAATCTTCCAGCACCTCCCAACTCCAGAACTCTGGGATCCAGTCCCCACCCTCAATGACCCTAAGCCCCTTGCTCCAAGAGCTCCCTTATGCTCACCCCATGGGTCACCTCCCCTGGCCCTGCTAGCAGTCAGATGTAGCAAAGAGGCAAATACCAAAGTGAGTCTGTACCTGCTCCTTAAAGATCCTCCCTGCCCTGCCCCACCCTGCCCATCACCAGGGCAAAAATGTCCAGGACGAGGGGCACCCACTTGGTGCCCAGTAAGAGAGAGGCTGGGAACGTCCTTCACTTCCCCACCATGTGGTTGCTTCTGGGAGTGCCACAGTGGACAGAAAAGAGCAACCTCCACCCCAACATAGACGTGGGCTGCCCCTGCCTGGTGAGGGATTGGTAGATGTAAGGGGGCCTCTGGGGTGCCCGGCCACCTTGCAGCACCCTCCCCACCCCATGCCTGGCCGCTATCAGCCGTCTCCCCTCCTGGCATTGACACAGCTCTGAGGGTGAGGTCACCACTGAAGACTCAGACAATGAATGTCAGCCTGTGCCCCAGGGACTGTGCCCTGCCTGCCTCCACACCTTCAGGGGATGAGAGGAGACAGGATTGCAGGGGCTCAGAGGGCCGTGTCCCGTTGCAGGTCCACCATGCATGGCACCAATCCATGCATGGCACCAATCCCAAAATGGCTCCTGGATCCCACACCCCTTCCCTGCGCTCTCACCTGGGGCCCAAGCCCTCCCAACTGGCTTTTCCTGTTCCTAGCTTTGTGTGGTGCAAGTTCCCCAATTATGCCCACATTATCTCAGCCACTGGGCAGCCTCCAGCAGCCTGGGGGAGGGGTGGGGAGCACCCAATTATCCTGCTGGAGAGGGCCTAGGGCTTAGCTGCTTGCCAACTAGCCCGTCAGCAAGAGTACTGGGCCGTCTGGCCCACTGACCTCACCATGGAACTGTATCTGGAGTGGGGCCACAGCTGCACTGGGCTGTCATGAGACAGTTAGGACCAGGAGGACCACTGGGACTCGGGAGGCCAGTCTGCTGCCTTACAGAGGAGGAAGCTAGGGCTCAGAAAGGGGAGGTGACTGGCCACGGTCCCACTGCCTGCTAAAGGCAGAGGCAGGCTACAGCCCAGCCTTCCCAACTCGTGGCTGGATACTTCTCCCATCGTATTCCCAACCCATGGGGCCTCTGCCCAGGGAGCATCAGCTCCGAAGCACCCCACAGGCTGGCAGAGGGAACAGCTGGAGGAGTGAGGGTGGGGATAGGCCTGATGGACCTTGAGGGCTGTGTGGATGTGAATCAGCACAGAGAAGGGGGAACCTCAGGGAAACTTTCAGAACACGGTAGGGCCTGGCTTGGTGAAGCCAAAGATAGACTTATTCAGCAAGCATTTCTTGAGTAGCTACTTTATGCTGAGCACCAGGGATACTGCAGTGACCTAGAGACCTGGCCTGTGGCCTCTCGAGCGGAAGAGAGGGGAGCAACTTACTGCACTGACCATGGGTTTTGGGGCCCTCAGAGGAGCCTGTGTTGCTACAATATCCCCGTCACGCTGAGGAGGTGAGTGAGCATAAGCCCCAAATTCCCACTCTTGGATCCCAGACTCCCTTGGGGGGTCATTTAGATCCTCCCCCTGCCTTGGGTCAGTACAGGTCCTGGTGTTATTAATGCTATTGATGACGCTCAATAAAGTGAGTGAAGTAAGGATACAAAGACATGAAGTATACAAATGACAGCAAGGACACGGCTTGTGGGGAGTTGCAGGACTCAGGAGAGAGCTGGAGTGTACAGCCTAGTGCTGAGGACAACCGCCCCACGTTAAGGGAGCTGAGCCAAGTTCAGGGGTAAGGAAGCCCAAAAAAAGGACATTCTAAAGGGGATAACACAACCCATGTGGAGACTGGAGGGAATTTCACTCCCTCCTTCTTGCAAATGTCTGCTCTCTTGACTTCCATTGCAATTTGTGTAGTAACAAATATTTACTAGCATCTGCTATGTGCCAGATGCTGCACTGGGCACTGGGGATACAGAGATGGAAAGGACAGACCCTGCCCTTGGAGGAGTTCACAGTCTGGTGGAGAAATCAGATGTGTAACCACCACCTTCCAAGGCAGGAAAGAACCAAGGTAGAGGTGGCCAGGTTAGCTCTGGTGGGGAAGATCAGGGAAGCTCCCAGGAGGAGGTGGCCTCAGGGGGCCATCCACAGGTGGAGAAGGGGAAGGGCCATCTAGGTGGAGGGAGCTGCCTGGGTAAGAGTCTAGGAGTGTTGGGTGGATAGGCTCTGTGCTCCATGGAGGCCGGGACTCAATTGCTCCTTGATATGACCCAAATGCTCACACTAGATCCTGGAATATGTCACTCGGCAAATCGTGGCTGAATAAATGGGAGGAAGAGGGAAGGAAACCGGGAATGTGGCATGTTCTGAGGATGGGCCCAGTCTGGTATGGTGGGAAAGTGTGGCTGATGGAGAGATGTGGACAAGAGGCAGGTGCAAGGAGGTCTTGCCAAGAGAAGGCATTTACATTTGGCTGTGAAGGCCATGGGGAGCCAGCGGAGGCCTGGCCTTATGCAGTGCCCACTTCCCTCTGCCTAGCTGGGTAAGAGGGGCCCAGCTAGTGCACCCCAGGGGATGGGGACTCAGCTGCGAGGGAGAAGACAGCAGGGGTGGCCATGATGACAGCCACCGTGGGCCTTCAAGCTCATCCAGAGCCTCCTGCCTCTGACGCACCTTCTCGTCCATCACGCCATTTGTTTCCCCCAGTAACCTCGTGAGGTAGAGAGGACTGGATTCTCCACCCCATATAACAGAGGAGGAAACCAAGGCCCAGGAAGACAAAGCAGCCAGTGCATGGCTCCTAGGCTGGGGCTCTGCTCGAAAAGCAACCAAAAATGAGGGTGCAGACGTATGTTTACTAACACAGAGTGATGTTTATAATCTATCCCTAAGTAAAAAAGCAGCTTATGGGATAATATGTACAGCATGATTCTGACTTTTTAAAATAGATAGATGGTTATGTGGATATACACAGATATAAAGTAAAAGGAGATAGATCCTTCAAGATTATCCTGAGCGGAAGGATCATGGGATGTTGTCACTTTCTTCTCATGATTTTTCAGTGTTGCCTAGAGTGTTTTTATAACAAGTAATTAATATTTTTACAATCGGAATAAAAACAATAATGACTGCTATAAAAGACAAGGCCAGAGCACAGGGAACTGTGTGGGTGGGGGGAGGCTGTGCCTGACACTGACCACTTGCTGCCATCCTCCTGGCCAGGCGTCCACTCCCAGGTGGTCCAGGTGAACGACTCCATGTATGGCTTCATCGGCACAGACGTGGTTCTGCACTGCAGCTTTGCCAACCCGCTTCCCAGCGTGAAGATCACCCAGGTCACATGGCAGAAGTCCACCAATGGCTCCAAGCAGAACGTGGCCATCTACAACCCATCCATGGGCGTGTCCGTGCTGGCTCCCTACCGCGAGCGTGTGGAATTCCTGCGGCCCTCCTTCACCGATGGCACTATCCGCCTCTCCCGCCTGGAGCTGGAGGATGAGGGTGTCTACATCTGCGAGTTTGCTACCTTCCCTACGGGCAATCGAGAAAGCCAGCTCAATCTCACGGTGATGGGTAAGCTGCCCTGGGCCCCCTCCCTGTTCATCCAGAGGCCTGTGACCTCGGGGCGTGGCCATCCTCAGGATGCCTCAATGACCCCAGACATCCCCCTTGGGTGGGCATGCTGCCATCATTCTAGGCATGAGGCTTCCAGTCCCTTCTAGCCAGGCCACCCCACAATTCACTAGGGATTAGGGGCAGGGGCTTATCTCTAGACAGTGGGGAACGTGATTCTTCAGGTTGAAGCCCACAAGGCACTGTGCTGGCAGCAGCATCAGACACCACGGTAAGGAAAGGAGCCACCTGCGCTGCTTGCCTTAGACATGCTGGGACTCCAGGAGGCCTAAGCTCGATGACAGGGATATGACTAGTAGGGCAGGGAGGACATAACGTTAGACATGATGAACTTCCTGCAAGAGGTTCTGGGACAGTCTTTGGTGCAGCACAGCTGAGAGGCAGGGATGGCCAAGGGGACCTGAAGACAAGGCCTGACGGATGCCACGCCCTTTTGGCCGGTGCATCTTGGACAAGTCAACAGGGCTAGTCCCATCACTCTCTCTGCTTCCTCGCAGCCAAACCCACCAATTGGATAGAGGGTACCCAGGCAGTGCTTCGAGCCAAGAAGGGGCAGGATGACAAGGTCCTGGTGGCCACCTGCACCTCAGCCAATGGGAAGCCTCCCAGTGTGGTATCCTGGGAAACTCGGTTAAAAGGTGAGGCAGAGTACCAGGAGATCCGGAACCCCAATGGCACAGTGACGGTCATCAGCCGCTACCGCCTGGTGCCCAGCAGGGAAGCCCACCAGCAGTCCTTGGCCTGCATCGTCAACTACCACATGGACCGCTTCAAGGAAAGCCTCACTCTCAACGTGCAGTGTGAGCAGGGCTGGCTGCCAGGGGCCTCCTGGGGTGGGCGCCACTGTCCCTCCTCCCTCCTCCTCTCCTTTCTCCTCCCTTTCTCTTTCTGGGGGTGCTTTCTTCTCCCCTCCTGTCTCCCCTATCTCCTCCCTTTGCTCGTTTTCTCTCCTCCTTCCCTGTCGCCCTCCTGTTTCCACTCCCGGGCTCTGTGATTGCCACCCTCCCACCCACACTTCCCTCTCTCCTGGCTGTTTCCATGCCACTGCTCCTTCCATCCCTTCCTGGCTGAAGTTCCCTTGTTCTAAGTCCCGCTCTCCTGACCTCACCCTCTTCAAACATCCCTTGCCCCACAGATGAGCCTGAGGTAACCATTGAGGGGTTTGATGGCAACTGGTACCTGCAGCGGATGGACGTGAAGCTCACCTGCAAAGCTGATGCTAACCCCCCAGCCACTGAGTACCACTGGACCACGTAAGTGCTGCAGGGCTGACCAGTCACCTTGGAAGACAGCTGACTGGACCACGGGTGATGAGGGGCAACCATCCTACCTCCAGGAGCCTTTAGGCAGGGAAGAAATTAGGGTCTGGGCTCAGTAAGAAGCGGGGCCATGAGAGAACAACCCCCACCCCCAACACACACATATACATTACGTCCATGTGTGACAGTGTCAAGGTCAATGGAACAAGCTATTCTGCCAGAGGGGTTTCCTTTGTGATCTGCTTCCCTCCCTCTTCCTAATAAAGAGTTTTGTCGTTTTCCTTTGGTGATTCAGTCTGAGTCACTCCCACCCCAACCCCCCAGTATTTATTTTTATCAAGGTGTCCCCAGGGAAGCCAGTGTTCTGGAGCATCTCAGCTCTTTCTTTGTCCCTATTCCTTCTCTCTGGCACCCCCAGATTCTTGGGGAGGAGGCAGCAGCCAGCCTAGAATGCCTGTGCTCATGGAGCACGTGCCCTGCGGCCCACCATCCCCTTCTTGGCCTCACGGTCTTCGCCTTGCCTTGCCTTCGCCTTCTCCCCTCCAGCCGGCTCTGACAGCTGGGGCCAAGGCTCTTCCCAGAGAAGAGCTGGATGGAACACACAGAAAGACAGGGACGTGGGGAACCAAGGAGAAGGTTGATATGGGTGGCCAGGAGACAGCTGCCCAGAAGGAGTCTGCCTTCTTTTTCTGGGGAGCAGAGGGCACTGGTATGCCCTACCTATGATCCTCCACTTCCTGGAATAAAAAGTGCTTCTGAAGGTGTGAGTGGGCAGAGCCTGCTGGCTGGTTTCAGCTCTGTGGACCCAGGAGCTGCTAGGTTCAACAGAATAGCTTTGTGGCCTTTGAGGGTCAGGAGGAAGGAAGAAGATCCTTTGTCCTTGGCAAATTTGCAAGTCACTTCCCACATGAAAAGGTCCTGTGACATTCCCAGCAAAAACACAAAGTAGTGGAATGGAACATACTTCCTATCTCGTTACCTGAGTGGCTTGTCAAATACAGATTCCCAGGTCTTTGCCCCAGTGGTTCTGCTTCAGGAGATCTGGGGTTAGAACCAAGGCATCTGTATTATTATTTTTTTTTTTTTCTTTGAGACGGATTTTCACTCTGTCACCCAGGCTGGAGTGCAATGGCGCAATCTTGGCTCACTGCAACCTCCGCCTCCCAGGTTCAAGCAGTTCTTCTGCCTCACCCTCCCGAGTAACTGGGACTACAGGCGTGCACCACCACACCCAGCTAATTTTTGTACTTTTAGTAGAGATGGGGTTTCACCATATTGGCCAAGCTGGTCTCAAACTCCTGACCATGTGATCTGCCTGCCTCGGCCTCCCAAAGTGCTGGGATTACAGGCGTGAGCCACCACACCTGGCTGGCATCTGTATTATTAACCAGCTGCCCAGGAGACCAAGGACCAACAACCATGAGACGTGAATGGAAAGTAGAAAGAGCACTTTACCAGGAGTCCCGAGAATTGGCTGGAGCTCCCATGCTGCTGCCTGCTAGCTGTGGTTCCCTGGCCTTGAACCTCAGGTTTCATCTGTTAAGGGGGACCGGCACCTACCTAGCCTGCCTATATTCCCATATTATGATCAAATATGAAAAGCTGAATAATATAAAACTACCAAGTGAAAGAGATTATTATTATTATTTTTCTTCCTTCAAAGACAGACTCTACCACACAAGCTCAGCAAAAGGCTAGGGGGCCTGGAGCCAAGTGGGTGACCCAGGAACAGCTTCTTGAGGCTGGAGAGTCATAACCCTACGCTGTGTCTCCCACTTCCCACAGGCTAAATGGCTCTCTCCCCAAGGGTGTGGAGGCCCAGAACAGAACCCTCTTCTTCAAGGGACCCATCAACTACAGCCTGGCAGGGACCTACATCTGTGAGGCCACCAACCCCATCGGTACACGCTCAGGCCAGGTGGAGGTCAATATCACAGGTAGGAAGCTGCATCCTCCCCAGCCTCTCCGCACCCACGGGTTCCTTCGCCACCTGCATCCCTCACCTTTGAGCAATGCCACTGCAGGAAGATTATCTCCTTTTCCTGCTTCTCTAGTTCTCCCTTGAGCTCTGGCCATTGGTTTTGCTTTGCTTTTCTCTTTCTTTCATTAAAGGGTGCAAATGAGACAGTCAGGGTGACCCCCAATCAGAGAGGGGCAGGAGGAAGGCTCTGAGAGGGAAGAAGGAAGTGCTGTTTACAGCAATGCTGTTTTGGGGGCCAATAGAACCTGCCCGTAGATCTGCCAGCAGAACACGCTGTGGGATGCTGGCATGGTGGGGATAGGTTTGCAGGTGGAGCTCATCTCCTCCAAGCTCTGCACCTGTGGTCAAGGACCTCTTCATGGGCCAGAAAGTGAGGCTTACCTCAAGCAGGGAGACTGGAGAGAAAGCGAAGATGTAGCCCAAAGCCATAGTGCTTTGTGTGCCCTGCAACTGAGCTTTCCCTGCAGCTTTCTGTCAACTTATCTATCCGGGCAAAGGGAGGACAAGAGCTAGGATGTTCTGAGGAGAGACTTCACCTGGGACGTGAAAGGAGCATGGGCTTGATGTCAGACAGCTGTGACCCTGGACAGGGCCCCCCCCACCATCTGTAAAACGGGGACAGTATGATGTACCTTGAAGGGCTGTTGTCAGAATTCTACGTGATGTAAGTCAAGCACCTAGCACAGATCAGTCTGTCAATAAATGGCCAATGTTCCGTGATTATTACCCTGACCTCCATCATCATCATTATTATTAATGGAAGCATCAAAACAAGTCCACACAGGGGTAAACTGCCATCACAACTTCACATGGGGAGCGTCTTTTACAGTGGACCTGAGCTATCTGCAGGGTGACAGGGTGACCGAGTGTCTTAAAAAAGGAAGTGGTGTCCCACTGTGACTGAGATATAGGAAGTAACATGCTCAGGGACACAGAAGACTGGTCGGCAGTTGCTGGGCTCCGGCCACAAAGCCACTGCACACCTGCAAGCCACGAGGATTCATGAGCTCTGAGCCAGTGTCTCGGGAGTGGGAGACCTCATTTGTGGGTATATTTAGGACACAGCTGCAGAAAGAGCCACGTGAAGTTGTCCAGGGTCTGCGCCTACCTGTCCTCAGAGCCGTTCTGTCACGTCTCTCACCCAGGGGCGGGAGTGTGGAGCCACCTGCTGTTGTCTGCAATCCCTGGCCTTGGCCCCGAGACTAGTCATAGGAGGAGGAGCATCAGGGTTGGAGCCTGGGGAAAGCTGGGGGGTTTCCACGGGTTGGCAGGTGGAAGGGGCCGGTGTCACACACTTCTCCCCAGCGGGGAAGGTCCAAGTACAGCTCAAAATGAGCCTCATGGTTACCCAAGCTCCAGCTCTGAGATACTGGGGGAGTCAAGGGGGAGGTGGGAAGGGCAGGGCCTGTGTTCCATGTGGAGTGGCCATAGGGAACATGACCACCCCTCAGGGAGGCACTGTCACATGGGAGACAGCACAGACCTGGCCTGAGTGTTCACACACTGGCTCTTCCTAGCTGTGTGGCCTTGAGCAAGTGCTTCACCTCTCTGAGCCTTGGCTTCCTAACCTCTGATATGGGGATACTCACACTTGTCTCAGGCTTCTTACGATCATGCAGTACTCCCTGCGTGGTGATACCTTCCCCTGATGGTGGGCTATCAACATGTGAGGGGTGTGGGCTGGGGGCAGGAGGGCCGGGCCACCTAGGGTCCCAGCTGGAAGAGGGACACAACATGGCTCTTGCTGGCAGCCCCGTTAGGCAGGAGCCAGGGACGCATGGCACTCACTGAATCATTGATAGGCCCAGGCGCTGAGCGGCTGGCCTCTCTCGGAAGGGACTCTCAGCCCCCTCCAGAGGACTCAGGGAGTTGGCCTGAGCCTTCTCAGGGCTGTTTGTTCTTGTGCTCTCAGGCAATTTCCAAGCAGCAGCTGACCTCACCACCCTCCATTCCACGTCGGCCCGTGCCTGCCACATTCTCTGGGGAGCCCACCCCGCAGGGCACAGCCATGCCCTTGCTCTAAGCCCCACTGGTCCAGAGGGAATGCATGAGCGAGAGGGATAAGTGGAAATTTAATTTTTCATTCTGGGCATTCGTTCGGGTAATAACTTTACCCTGGGCACATCTGGAAAGGGAAATGAGGAGTGACTGGGGCAGGGCAGAAGGTGGGCAGCAGGGGGTGTGCTGGAGGGACACGCATATGCAGAACACGTGTGTGCTGGGCCACTGCACACCTGCGCAGACTCGCTTTGGCATGGCTTCTTGGGGACCTGGGCCCCTGAGGAAGGAGCACTGAGTGGTTGCTGGGAGATGAGTGAGTAGGCAGGGCTGGAGGGCGGGATGCCCAGGCCAGGGAAGCATGGGAAGGAAAATGGCTGGAGCAGAGTGGGCAGGGAGGAAGGAGCAAGGCCTTCTCTCTGTTGGCCACAGGGAGTCTCTGAAGGGCTCTCAGCCAGGAAGCACCGTGGCGAGGTGTGTGGGTTAGACTGAGCATTCAGGGGGCTGTGTGGATGGCACCGGCACACCCGTTAGGAGCTGCCACCATGAGTGAGTCCCTAGTGGGAAACAACAGGCCCAGGCTGTGGCTGTGGCGATGGGGGCACCGAGGAGATGGACCGGACAGAATCTGTGTGTGCTTCCGTGGGCACAGGCCCCAGAGAACCCCTTTCAGAGGCCCTTACACAGAGGAGCAGTTTCATGGGGTGGGCCCAGTGGTCACAAAATGAAGCTCCCTCCCTTCTCCCTCTGGGGTAATGACAAGGTGGGGAGAGGCCCAGGGTGCAGCCTCCACCAGACTGAAAAAAAACAGATGAGGCAGCCTCTATCCCTGTGGGTGTCGGGAGGAGACAGGCCAGGCCTCTCCAGCTGGGACCCAGCCTCTCGCCACTCCCAAGAGCAGGACAGGGAGGCTGCCAGGGTGTAGGATGTCCATCCCAGGGTGCAGGGCGTCTGTCCCAACTCACATTTCCAGTGAAGCCCGGGCTCATCCCTTGCAGGTGAGGGTCACAGTCTGCCCATCAGTCCTGGAGTTCTTCAGACCCAGAATTGCGGGCCTTGAAGGCCAGTGTCCTGGAAGGGAGGCAGGTGTGAGCCTGCAAGTGTGCATGCCCAGCCATGGTATGGACATGTGTCTCTGGGCATGTAAATGTGAACCAGTGTGAACAGGCTCCGTCTGCATGCTGAGTGTGCATGTGGGAGCCCGTGGCTGTGCCGTGGCAACGTGCCATTCTCTGAGCCAGCGAATGGCAGTGTGTTGGGAGGTCTGAGAAGGCAGCTGCATCCGTGCCTCTGGGAGGATTCGGTTCTCCCCCAGCTTGCCGAGGCCCTGCCTGATGGTCTGACACGAGGCACAGCTGCTGCAGCTGCAGATGGACAGAAGGGCTTCCCAGAGGTGGACCCCAGGCCTCCCCACTCTCCCTGTGGCTGGCTGCACTGCATGCTGGGGGGTGTAGTTCTTGCAGCTTCCAGGCCTAATCTGATGCCGGAGCATTTCCTGCCTGAGGAAGCGCCAGGCATTGGTTTCGGAGGCAAACCCAAACATTCTCTTTGACCCCAAACCTCCAGATCCTAGATCCAGACTGTAAGCCCTAACACTTCACTCCACCTCAGATCTATCCAAAGCCCCCAGCACCAGCCCACCCACCTCAGTCAGAGAACCAGGACCCCAAAGGCATGCAGAGCCCCCACTTCCCCACTGTCTTGGCCAGCCAGGGACCCCAGAAGAGAGGTTACAACCCTTCAGGAATAGGGACAAGCTGCTCCCTTTGTAAGAGGATGTGAGGGAGGCTGGCTGGGCCCCTGCCAGCAAACACAAATGACCCTGCGGCCTGGCTCTTCTCTCTCCTCCCAGCTGCGGCCCTTGCAGCTCTGCTCCTGGCACAGAGACAGGAGCTACTGGCTGAGTGTAACAGCTGGAGGGATGGAGGGGGAGGGGAGGACGCTCCACTCCACGCCAGACAGCCCCTTCTGCTTGCAAATGAGTTAGATCCCCATGCTTCTCCTTTCTTCTCTCCCTCACTCAGTATCCTCACTCGAAAGTCTTTGATGCTGGAAGGTCATCCCAGCCATTCTGCTGCTGCTACACAGGCCCAGCCCTAAACAAAATAACCGGGGTTCTTTGGTCCCAAAAGATCCCCAGGAAAGAGTAAACCTCCTTAAGACTTAAGGAAAAAAGTTGGCTAGGCGTGGTGGCTCACACCTGTAATCCCAGCACTTTGGGAGGCCGAGGTGGGCAGACCACTTGAGATCAGGAGTTCGAGACCAGCCTGGCCAACGTTGTGAAACCCCGTCTCTACAAAATATTAGCCGGGTGTGGCAGTGCGTGCCTGTAGTCCCAACTACTCAGGAGGCTGAGGCACAAGAATTGCTTGAGCCTGGGAGGCGGAGGTTGCAGTGAGCCGAGATCGTGCCACTGCACTCCAGCCCAGGCGATGGAGCGAGACTCTGTCTCAAAAAAAAAAAAAAAAAAAAGGACTTAGGAAAAAGAATTAAATAGAAGGCCTGGAGGAGAAAAAAAGCCTAGTGTCATCTGGTCCCAAGCCACCACACCACTCCTCCTGTCACCCACTCCAGAGAAACAAGGTCCCAGTGGGCCCCATGCAGGTTTATTCGAGTCTCTCCTTACAATACTTGCTCTGCCTAGAACAAGGCTTATCTCTAAGACATAATCTTGCCATTGTAGAATTCATTCTGTCGTCCAACAGATACTTCTTGAACATTGACCACATGACAAGCGGTCTAGGTGCTTGGTATAAATCCATGAGCAAAACAGACAAAAAGTCCCTATCCTTGTGGAGCTTACGTTTTCGCATAGGAGGAAAGACAATAGATAAAATACATTTTTAAAAAATATGTAGGCTGGGCGTGGTGGCTCACACCTGTAATCCCAGCACTTTGGGAGGCTGAGGTGGGTGGATCATCTGAGGTCAGGAGTGTGAGATCAGCCTGGCCAACATGGTGAAATCCCCATCTCTACTGAAATTACAAAAATTAGCCGGGTGTGGTGGCACATGCCTGTAATCCCAGCTACTCAAGAGGCTGAGGCAGGAGAATCGCTTGAACCCGGGAGGCGGAGGTTGCATGAGCCAAGATTGAGCCACTGCACTCCAGCCTGGGCGACAGAGCAAGACTCCGTCTCAAAAAAAAAAAAAAAGTAGTAATTTTGAAGGTGATATTGAGGAGGAAAAAAAGAGAGTAAGGGGATCCCAAGTGCTAGGGACCACACAGGTGGAGTGGGCTTATGAGCTGCAGTTTTAAATAGGGTAGTTGGGGAAGGTCTTGATGAGAAGGGGCTATTTGAGCTGTGTCCCAAAGAGAGTAAAGGAGTGAACCTGGGGGCCCTGGGGAAGTGGCTTTCAGGGGGCAGGGCAGCCCGTGCAGTGTGTGCCAGGAGTGGGGCAAGCCTGCAGGAAAGCGGGAACAGATGACTTCAGAGGTGGGGCGGGGCGTAGGGCAAGCAGAGCACGTTAAGGCTCTAGGGAGAGTCATTGGAGGGCTCTGAGCAGATATGTTACACTTCAACAGGATTTGTCTGGCTGCTGTGTGGAAAACAGTCCACAGAGGGAAAGGATGGAATCAGGGGAGCAGTTAGGCAGCTATTGCAATCAATAATCCAGATGAAAGATGAGAGTATCTTGGATCAGGGTGGTAGTGATGGAGACGGTGAGAAGAGATCAGGTTCAAGGTGCATTTTTTTTTTTTTTTTGAGACGGAGTCTTGCACTGTTGCCCAGGCTGGAGTGCAATGGCACAAACTTGGCTCACTGCAACCTCCACCTCCCAGCTCAAGCAATTCTCCTGCCTCAGCCTCCCAAGTAGCTGGGATTACAGGCACCCATCACTACACCTGGCTAATTTTTGTATTTTTAGTAGAGACGAGGTTTCACCATGTTGGTCAGGCTGGTCTTGAACTCCTGACCTTAGGTGATCCGTCCGCCTCGGCCTCCCAAAGTGCTGGGATTACAGGCATGAGCCACTGTGCCCAGCCTGCATTTTCAATTATAACTTACAAACTAGTTGGGACACCAGTCATTCCTGTGAAACAGATAAGACCGTACACTCTACCATACTGCAATGATGTGGCTTGAGAGGTCCAGAAAATTCAACCTAGTTGAGGAAGATGTAGGAGAGCTTTATTTTTTATTGGGTCTCTGCTGTTGAAGAAAGCACAAATGTAACAATAGTGAGCTTATAGACTACTGCAACACACTGAAATGAGTCAATCCCAAATGATCATGAGGCTGCCACTTCCTCAAACCCTGTCCTCATTCCTGCAGAAGAGAAGAACTTTAGCCATTTGAAAACTGGCAGAAGGACCAGAGCCAGCCATGGTAACTTCTAATTTGCATTTATTTGCAATTTATACAGGCTTTACCATGCTATGTCAGTATGTGATTAATGGAATGACCTTAGCAATTGTCACAACCAGAATGAGAGGTGCAGACCATTAGTACATAAAAATTCGAAAGAGAAAAAGATCACGGTAAACTGGAGAAGAGAAGGCTCCTGAAGAAGGGGCTGGAGAAGTGCAATCGGTGGGGAGGGAGGATGAGGAAAGGCACTCCTGGCGGGGCAAACTGCATGTGTAAAGGCTTGCAGTAAGGAATCAACTTGGATAACAAGGACAGCAAGGAAGGTGAGTTGACCAAACCCAAGATACGGTTGCATGATGGAAGCTTTGAAGGCCAGACTGCACAGCCCAACAGGCAGTTGGGGAGCCATTGCTGGTCTTTGAGAAAGCGAGTGGTTGTGTCTACAGAGTGAAGATTAACCTGGTGACTGCGGGTGGGGTGATTCAAGGCAGGCAGAGGCAAAAGGAAAGTGGGAGATTTAGGAATCGACCACAGCAGTAAAACCTGGCATAAGTTCCATGGTGGTGACAGTGGCGACAGGAAGTTGTATCGAATGGAGAGGGTTTAGAAGGAAGATGGCAAACCAGGTTGGTACAGATGGGTTTTGAAGTGGTGGTGAGAATTCCAAATGAGGGTGTGCTAGAGGTCAGTTTTTCTAATGTGTCCACCTAGATATCAGTTATGTGAGACTGTCTTGGAGGCAGGAGGTATGGGGTTCATGTTCCAGTATGTTGGGAAACATGGCATTTGACGTGTCCCTCTAGTAGTTCACAGTGTGCACGAGAAGGTAACAGGCTCTGATGCTTTTGTCTAAGCCAACATCTCGACCCCCCTATTTTTGCTGACCCTTTGAGCCAATGGTTTGAGATTCCATGGGCCACAGTTTGGGAGATGCTGTGGAGATACAGTCCCAGAGTTGGGCGAGAACTATGTACCCTAAATAATTTGGACAGCCAGCAGGATAAGGGTGACTCCAGAAGTTGATACTAGTCTGTCACTAGGAAAGAAAGCAGAGGGTCAAGGCTGAGGGTCCCAGGACAAAGCGTCCAGCGAGACAGCTGGAACAGAGAAAAGGAGCAACACAGCTGGAGATAGCACTCAGAGAGGAAAGCCGAGAACCACGGAATCTTGTATGGGAAGGCAAGGGACATGTTTCAGAAAAATGGCAGCTCCCTCCATCTGGATGCTTCCTTATCCTCCTGGCCTCTCCAAGTCCGGCCTCCTCCAAGAAGCCTTCTCTAATGCCAAGACACACCACCCCGTTCCCCTGCACCCTGCACTTCCCTGCCTGTTCCCTTAACATCTGCATGTGCTGTCTCTGAGTGTCCTTTGCTTCCCTGGGGAGGCTGTGAGTTTCTCATATCCCGTGACTAGCAGGATAGATGCTCAGTATGTTTGCTGATGGGAGGGATGGATGAAGAGAGGAAGGCAGGTGTAGACAGGAGAGATCATTCAGATCTGGGTGAGAACCGAGGAGGGGGGCAGGCAGGCTGAGTACAGAGGAGGCTAGGTTCTTCCCAGCTGCCTCTGGGGAACCCCTGGTGGAGGCTGCTCCCATCTCGTGGGGAGCAGTTGCGGGGCCCTTTTGAGGGCGGTAAACAGATGGGACCTGGTGAGCCGGGAGATGCTTGAGGTTCCAGGGAGGCTGCTGCGGAGACAGGCGGTCAGGACAAAGATCCCATGGATATGTACTGGGCAGCTGCTGGCTGACCTGCACCGAGGATGGTGGTGGCAGGTGGGGAGCGGGGTCCTCCATGGCAGTGCTCCTCTGCCAGTGCCCACGTGTATAGGAGCCCCTGGGGGGTCCTGGCTCAGCCGCGTGACCTTGGATGAGTGAGTGGCCTCCCCTTCCTTGGGCCCTGTGTTTTCGTCAGCCCTTCCCGCCCAAATTCCTGGAAGGCCTTTCCTCTTTCCTAGAATCTCCACCCTGCTGCAGCCTGCCGAGTGGGATAGCACCCCACACACGCCCCAGGAGGAGGGAGTGGGCTCAGGGAGGAGCATGATTCCCATGGAGTGAGAGATACTGAATCAGAGAGTGAGCTGGCAGCAGTATACAGGCAAACAGTATACGGGCAAACTGGCCCTTTACGTGGGCCTGGAGCAAGGAGGGCCTGAGCGGCTGAGGTCAGCCTTCTGGGCTTGCCCTAGACCCGCAGCCTAGTGGCTCTGACCGAGGCCAGCTGTGGTCTCTGGTGCCACCCTGTGGTGGTGCCAGGAACCATTTCCCTTAGCCTCACCTTAGGGCCTCTTTGGCCCGTGGCATGGCCCTGGTTTCAGCCACCTTCCCAGGCCCTGTAAGGCAAGGGAAGGGGCAGTGTTGGCCAAAGAACAGTACTGTGGCCCGGCCCCACTGGCACAGAAAGCCACCCACCCAGCCTTCTCTCCTGTCCCACCTGCTTCCTTTCTCTTCTTTTCACCTTTCCTGCCTCCTCATTTTGGCTGTGTCCACGGGGCATACAGATTTGCACACTCATGTTCATCATGTCGGCACAGGCATGCAGGCCCTCCCAGCATGTGCTCTCTGGGTGGCAGGCTTGCTATGACGGCAAGCGTGTATGCCTGTGCATGTGCCCACTTGTGTGTACTCGACATTGCCACGCACGCACACACGCACATGCTTTCACCCCCATTTCTGCCGTCCTTGCCCTGTGCTTGTGCCCTGCCATGCTGGTGTCTTACACTTATAACCCAGGCTGGCAGCACTGCCAGGCCCCCACCTTGCCCTGCAGGCCCAGACCACAGCCAAGAACCACAGCCCTAGTTTCTGGCACCTTGGCAGCTGATTGGCACTCACGGGGCATCTCCTGAGCCAGTGCCTGGGAACCTGTTTTCCCTGTGCCCTGCAGGCAGACAAAATCAGGTGCAGAACACCTAGGTGGCTCCTGGTTCTGGGTCTTGGAAGCCAAGTTGATAGTGTTGGGGCAGAGTGACTGCCAGGTGTCTGGCAGAGGGGTATCAGTGACATTTGCACACGTTCTATGTGCAGGAGAAGCAACGATGCATCATTGCTGGGTGGCCTCAGGCAAGTTCTTTAACCTCTGCAAGCCTCAGCTCCTCAGATATCCAATGAGAATGAATGGCATACCTCCTCAGGGTTGTGGCTGTGAATGGCATGGAGTGGGCAGTGTGCTGCAGCTGGAACTGGCACACGTGTCTCACTGCACCATGAATAGGGATTGAGCTGGGCCAGCACCACACCAAGGACAGTGGGGATGGAAGACCCTGGTGCTGTGGGTACTGCCCTCTGCCTCTCCTCTTGCCTGTCTCTCACTCCAGCTACCAACGCTGCGGCATGTTAGGGCTCCAGGATGGGTGGAGTGCTGCGGGGCCTCGAACTGGAGCTGCTCAAACCTGGGGTGCAGACAGCCTGTCCTTCCTGGCCTCTCCTTTCCCTGCCTCCCTCCCACCCCCTCTACACCCCAGGAGCACACGCTGATGCTGTCCCCTCCATCTCTTTTCCTCACCCAGAATTCCCCTACACCCCGTCTCCTCCCGAACATGGGCGGCGCGCCGGGCCGGTGCCCACGGCCATCATTGGGGGCGTGGCGGGGAGCATCCTGCTGGTGTTGATTGTGGTCGGCGGGATCGTGGTCGCCCTGCGTCGGCGCCGGCACACCTTCAAGGGTGACTACAGCACCAAGAAGCACGTGTATGGCAACGGCTACAGCAAGGCAGGCATCCCCCAGCACCACCCACCAATGGCACAGAACCTGCAGTACCCCGACGACTCAGACGACGAGAAGAAGGCCGGCCCACTGGGTGGAAGCAGCTATGAGGAGGAGGAGGAGGAGGAGGAGGGCGGTGGAGGGGGCGAGCGCAAGGTGGGCGGCCCCCACCCCAAATATGACGAGGACGCCAAGCGGCCCTACTTCACCGTGGATGAGGCCGAGGCCCGTCAGGACGGCTACGGGGACCGGACTCTGGGCTACCAGTACGACCCTGAGCAGCTGGACTTGGCTGAGAACATGGTTTCTCAGAACGACGGGTCTTTCATTTCCAAGAAGGAGTGGTACGTGTAGCCCCCCTTCCAGAGCCTCTGTCTGTGACCGCTCCTCCCCAGCCCCTCCCCGCACGCCCCCTGCCCACCCCCCACCTCCCACTCCAGGAGCTGAACAGAGACTTGCCCAGCTGCCCAAAGCCAGCCCCGAACTCCTGGGGGGCCAGGGGAGCCCAGGGCAGCCACGACTTGGCTTTGTGTTTTATTTCCTCCCTCTCCTCCGCCCTTCCCCATGGTGTTGTGTTCGACTGTGGCTTTAGTGTTACTGTATCTTCCCTTTACGGGCCCCACCTGCCTGCCCTCTGTGTAGGGAGCCCTGTTCTCGTCTTGTGTACCTGGGCATCCCTCCAGGGTTTGGGGAGCCAGCCTCCCCCGCCCCCCTACACTGGAATTTGTTTGTGTTTCTTCACTGGGGGTGGAGGGCTCAAGGGGCTCTAAGAGGGAAAAGCTCCCCACACCCCCAGATGCTGCTCCTCCTCCCGGCTAGAGGGAACCCAACACCCACCAGTGAAATCTGATGCAGCTGGGAGTTTGGACCTTGGGTCTAGACAGCTGGTGCGCCCAAGAGGTAGGGGGAGGGGTGCGGCTTCTCCCCAGTTCCCAGGGAGTCTTGTTTGTTAAGCGGGGCCTTGGGCAGTGTTTTCCTGCTGAGGGTGGTTTTACATTTTTTTTCCTCATTGGCCCACAGAGAGTGGAGTTGGCCTAGCTCTGACGCGTCCCCTCTTTATCCCCAATGTGCCCCCTCCATTAGGGGCTCCAGGTGGGCTCCAGCCCACACTTGCTCTCTGCCTCTGCTGACACGTGCACACACACACACATGCACACACTGCTCCTCTCTGCCTGCTTTCCCCTGGAGTCCCATGCCCTGCCCCATCCAGACACTGCCCAAGGCCCACCCGTCTATTTCCACCTCATTCCCCCTTTAAGCTGAGAATGGGGTCTGCCTATAGAAGCTTCCAGAGACAGCTGAGACTGGGTCCCCGGTGCCTCCACCCTAGGATCTCAGGCCTGCCCCAAACTGCTTCTTACAGCGTGGAGGTTTCTCTGATTTCTCCCTTATCTAGCAACACTTGGTTCTTTTGGCTAGTCAGGGCTGGGATCCCAGGGGGATCCACCTGCAGGAGTCAGAGGTAAAGAAGCATCCACACGGAGGGTAGTGGGGAAGGAAGCCCACATGGCAGAAGCTCTGCAAACACAGTCCGAGGGACTGAGGAGTCCATACAATGCCTCACACACAAAGGCCATTGTCAAAGCCTCGGGCCTGGCAGAAAGTGAGGGGGGTGGGGCCGCTAGGCCACCTCCTGCTCAGCCACCCCTGGTCCTCATTCTGGGATGAGGGGAGGGCCTAGGAGAAGCCCTCCCTTTCAGTGCAGATTCCCTTCTTGAATGGGACATTGAGTTCCTATCAGCCACCCCAGACTGGGTCTTCCCATGTATATAATGGAGGAAGACCCCTCCCAGCCCTCTCAGTCCCCCAGCTCAAAGTGCCTCAGTTCCTCCATCTGCTCCCAGATCCCCTGGCACTCTAGACAGGCATGCCCATGGGAAGGACCCTGGGATGGAGAGGCAGGCTTCGCGGCCCTTCATGCCTGCCCACTGGGATTCCAGTTAACTCACCCCAGGGTGTCAGGGGCTCTGCAGGATGGCAAGTGTTGGGGAGGAGGGAGGCAGACCACTCTGTGCCCCACGGGCACTGACCCACCCTGCCATAGGCTTCCTAAGGGAGCCCCCCAACCCCTCCCCTCCCCTCCCTGGTGCTGCTATTGAACCCCCTGCCAGCTCCATTTCTGCCCTGGCAACCCTGGGCCCAGCAGGTGGGTCGTCGTTGTCTGGCCCTCACTGCCCTGGCCCCAGCCCAGGCTGCCCAGTAGCCACGTAGCAGAAGTCTGAAGCCATGCCAGCCCTGGTGCGGCTCTCCCCTCTACACATTTGGGGTACTGGATAGGGTGAAGTTAGGGGAGAAAATTGTGGAGTCTTTCCAGCCACAGGGCAGAGGGAGGTGGAGGAGCTGGGCTGCTTTTCCCAGCAGTATTAGTGTCCCCCAGGACAGGGGACCTTTTCCACATTACATCACTGCCCCATCCCACCTTACAACACTCTGGCCCCTCTGCTTGGTCCCCTTTTCCCCCAGGCAGGAGGCAATCCCAGGGGCCTGCCTGATAGAGGCATTTCCTGTCCCTGTCTCCTCCTGCATCTCCTTTATCCTGCACTGCCACCCTCTATTCCCCATTCTGTGTTGGACTTTGAAGGCCCCAAGCCCAGCCAAAGCACTGAGTTCCCCCTTAAGACACCTCCACACCCTCCCCACAAGCAAAGCACAAATTTTGGGGTCCATGTAGCATGGGCCACGTAGGAGGCTCCTGACTTGCCAGGGGCCCAGCCTCAGCATACCCACCGAGCAGCTGCCAGCCTGGGCTGAGGGTGGGCATGAGGCAGGAGTCAGCACTTGGACCTAGGGATGTGAGGTTTTCTGTGCCCCAAGTTTGTGGGAAGGTGGGCACTACTGCTGGGCCCACAGACACAGCCAGCTGGCAAAAGGGAGGTCTAGCCCAGCAGAGAGATGAGGACATTTTGCTTCTCCTTCATGCCCACAGCATGAGCTGAGCTTCTGCTTTGCTGGAAATGAAATAAACTTGGTATGAATTGTGCCAAGGCCTCCCCAGTTGTCATCCTGCCTCTTGTTGCCCTCCCTGTCCTTGCCCCCCACCCCACACCCATGCCCCTGTTTCCTTACAGATTTTGATATTGTTCTAATGTGTAATAGAACCAGCCGAGTCCCCTTTTATCAGAAGGGTCTGAAAAGCAGCAGCACAGAGTAGGTGAACACAGGCCTGCAAGTGCGACCACCTCAGACCCAGTACGTGTGCCCACAGTGGACACACTCACACCTCCAACACACCCACGCGCAGGCATGTGTACACGCATGTACACACGCATGCATGCACAGCCAGATGGCCACTCAGCACAGATGTGGCAGAGGGAATGGTCTGATCCTGCTGAAAGCCATTAAGGAGAAACGAATTTCCCAGTGCCCGGGCTGCAAGAGAGCCTTATAGGGGCCCTGTTTCCTGGGCATGCGCTTCCTCTGCCAGCCAACCCCCACTTGCCCAAGTCACTGGTGCAATAACTTTTCTGCCTTCCTCAGAGCAGAGAAATTGGGAATTGTGTTAGGTGGGTGTGGGCAGCTCTGCTGAGCCAAGCAGACACGGATGTCCCCTCTTCTGGGAGGAGGGTAGTGCTCCCAGGCCTCAGGAGTCCAGACAGAGA
Organism: Homo sapiens; assembly: GCF_000001405.40. Taxonomy (NCBI): domain Eukaryota; kingdom Metazoa; phylum Chordata; class Mammalia; order Primates; family Hominidae; genus Homo; species Homo sapiens. The sequence continues at coordinate 119,661,501 of NC_000011.10, read as the reverse complement.
CCCCCAAAGCCTGACTGCCAACAGAAACCCTCTCCTAGTGAGGGGCAGGTGGGTGTGCCCCAGGTCCCCACACCCACAGGGAGGCTTCACACACTGCCCAGTACCGGGGATGCCAGGAGGCAGGCCCCTCTGCTGCTGCCACTGCTGCCAACACTGCCCAGCTTGTGAGGCCAGGAGGAGCCCCTGTCCCACTCGGTGCTGCTGCTCTTCTGACCCCTGCTGTGAGGAATGGGATTCTTGGTCGAAAAAATTGGTTTTCCTTTTTTGTATAAATGAAAAGAATCCAGGAGAAGCTGCCACCCTCCCCTCCCAGCGTGATGCGCTACCTTGCTTCGGCGTCTTGTCGCCCTTTCCGCCTTTGGTCCAGGGACAGCCCAGCAGATCCTCCTGGTTCTGACCTGGGGGGTGTTTGCATCACCCCCTTTTACTTGTATTAAAAAAAAATGATGGGTTGAAAATGTACTGAGGATTAAAAATGTACTTTTTTATAAATAAAGTGTTTAAAACAAACTGGTTTGCATCCCATCACTGCCCTGCTCCATGGCAGTGGGGGCGGGGAAGGCGTGGAGCTGGAGGGGATGGCACAGAGGGATAGTGAGGGGAAGGGACCCCCCACCCCATGTCCAGGTTCCAGGGTTCCAGAGGAGCAGGAGCCCTGAGGGAGACTGCTCACAGGCTGCCCCGGAACCATCTTCCATGCAAGTGAGAAGACCATGGACTTTGACGACAGCATCGCAGAGGGAGGGGTGGGCGTCCACAGACACAGGAGGGAGGCCTTTAAGAAAGTAAGGCCTGAGAGGGCTGGGGGTGCACACAGCAGAGAGGGAAAGCCCTGTGCCGGCTGGTGCCCTCCTAGGGGTACGGGTGCCTCCTGCCCCAGATTCCAGTTCCCCTATCACCCACTCCTGCTGTCCTGTTCCTGCCACGTCCCCTCCTGTGGCTGTTTGGAGAAGAAAACCAGCAGTGTCACGCCTGCCGTGTTAGGTCCCTGGGGACGGAGAAGAGCTGAGAGCTTTATCCTTTCATCTTCTATTTCGAAGCTACTGCCCCGCCCCATCCCCTGCAAGCTCTCCCTGTGACCCACCCCTCCTGTACCCCCCCATTTTTCTCCAGGGGGCTGGTTGTTTGGAGAGAAGGTCTTCTTGTTCCTCGGTTACCTCCCCGCTCTCCCCACCAGCACCATCTGCTTCCCATCTCCTGGGCTGGAATGCAGGACAAATCGATCCTGGGGGTGGGAGTGGCAGGGGCTTCAGAGACTGCCCCATCCCAGCCATCCCTCCGTCACCCCCCGCACCCAGTAGCATCTCCTTTCACTGAAATCCACACCAACGACCCCTGGGAAAGGGAGGGGGTAAAATGATAGAGCCAAGATGGCTGCTTAGCAGAAAACCCTCCTGCCCATTGTGGGCAAGGCCACATCCTCCACACCCAGGATTGGGGCTGGACGGGCAGAAGTAGGCGTGCAGAAGGAGAAGCCAGCAGCTGTTGGCAGCTGGCTGAGCCCCCGCTGGAAGGCCAAACCCAGCATCCTAGAAGGGGCTGTGTTTAGATGTTGATATTCGAATGAGATGCAAATTGGTTGTTTAAGCGGTCACTTCCTCAGTTTTCCAGGCTGTCCGTTTAAGTTAATTTTTAATTTGTGCAGGCAATAAATGCGTAATTACATTATTAATACATTGGAAGAGAGCAGTGGACAGAACGTCCTAATTGGCATTTAACTAGAGCGTTCCGGCAAATTAGCCAAGACTTTCTCCAGCAGCGGAAGGAGGGCAAGCCAATTAGTCTCAGGCACAACCCCTCTGGACAGAGCTTTGGGCTGGAGAAGCCAGACTCAGTCCTTTCCCCAGGCCTTGGTGCCAGGATGTCCCCTTACAGACATCCCGGCCCAAAGGATACTGGGAGTCCAAGGGCATACTCTTAGTCTTCTAGTCCAGTTGGGCCTTGGAAGAACTATCTGCCAGGCTGTGGCTCCTTCTGCCCAAACCACAACCCTTGCCTCCATCCCTCCAGCACCACCCTCAGCAGAGCAGAGGACCAAAGGCCTGGAAGCAGCACCTGTCTGAGTGTCTAAGTTCCCCCCTGGGATGTGCCCACCATATCCCTATCTTGGCTGGTGGGCCCAGGACTAAGCTCCTCTCTGGAGACCGTGGAGGCCTTTCTCTCCGTTCCCAATCCTACCCACTCCTGGTTGCAGATGGTTAAGGAGATAAACTTGATGAATTGAGGAATTCATTTATTCACTTACAACACATTTTTGGCCACTCTGGCACTGCAATGCTGTGACAGCCACACCCAGCATCCCAGCTCTAAGGAATTCCGAACGCTGGGTATCCCCAATTCCAAAATGGCCACAGGCTGTCGCAGAGCTGTGTGTAAAGCGCTGGGGTAGCACAGGACGGGAGTGGGTCATTGTGTTTGGGAGGATCTGAAGCGACATTTCACCTGGGCCTTGAAGGATGTGCAGGAGTTCTCCAGACAGAGATCTGTTAAGAGTATTTCGGGCAGCCTTGAGAATTTACCATCTTACAGTCGTTGTTCTAAAAGAGATCATCCTACCCCAACACACTCATTCTGCACATGGAGAACGAAAATCTAGAGAGGAAACTATGATTTGGCCCACGAATGCGCCAATCACGCTCAAGAGCACAGCCACATCCTGAGAGCAGCAGGAGGGGAGGAACCCAGGGAAAGGGGTGGCACCGGCCTGACTCCTGGGGGGATGCTAGATCTGGTACAAACTTCTGTTCCCTTACAAAGTAGCAAGAACCCCCAGTGGGATATAAACTGAGTTTGCAGGATCCATATTTGGTGTTAAGTGGAGTTGTCGGAGTCAGATGGGGCTCATCGGGGAAGACTTCCTGGAAAAGGTGCTATCTGACGTGGTTTGAAGAATGAGAAGGACATGGATTGGGTGGGAAAGTTGGAGGAGGAAAGCCCTCTGAATGCTTGAGGGGAGTGCCAGCTAGACCTGCTTCTGAAACCACCTCTGTACCGGTGCCCACAGCTGGAGGCTCTGCCCCCACATCCTCTAGACACTATGCCGAGCAGCACGATGCAGAGCAGTCCTTGGGTTCTACCTAGTTGTTGGCTTCTTGGACCCCAGACTCTATTCTCTCCCCGGGTTTACCGGCTTGATGGCAGAGCCAGGCCAAGTCCTGCTCTATGGGGGACTGCGGTTCCACTCCCCATCCCCAGAACTACTCCCAGATGAGGCGCTGCAGTCAATGTCCTCACCCCAGCCTCCCTTCTGCCAAGCATACCTCCCACAGCACACACACAGCACATACACACTCCAGGAGCTGGGGCCTCATCTATGCTGGCCCCTCTGGCAACTCTGCATCCAAGCTCATCTTGAGCTCCATGGAGAAAAGCACATGGCTGGCCGCTCGGCTTGAGAACCAGCCGCAGGGCATCATCAACATACATCACAGGCCCCATTGAGCGCAGAGAACTTAACCCAGGCTACACTCCAGAATCATCTGGGGATTTTTAAAAATCAGGCCCTGCCCCACGCCAATAGGTTCAGAGCCACTGGGATTGGGATTGGGGCCTAGACAGACTTTTTTTTTTTTTTTTTTTTTGAGACGGGGTCTTGGTTTGTCACCCAGGCTGGAGTGCAGTGGCACAATCACAGCTCACTGCAGCCTCGACCTCCTGGGCTCAAGCAATCTTCTTGCCTCAGCCTCCCAAGTAGGCTATGGGTACCTGCCACCATGCCCAGCTAGTATTATTATTATTATTATTATTATTATTATTATTATTTTATAGAGACAGGGGTCTCCCTATGTTACCCAGGCTAGTCTCAAACTTCTGGCCTCAAGCAATCCTCCCAAAGTGCTAGGATTATAGGTGTGAGCCCCGTAACAGGCTTTTTTTTTTTTTTTTTTAAAGACAAAGTCTCACTCTATCACCAGGCTAGAGTGCAGTGGTGCAATTTCGGCTCACTGCAACCTCTGACTCTCTGGTTCAAGTGATTCTCCTACCTCAGGCTCCCCAATAGCTGGGACTACAGGCACGTGCCACCACGCCCAGCTAATTTTTTGTATTTTTAGTAAAGACAGGGTTTCACCATGTTGGCCAGGATGATCTCGACCTCCTGAACTTGTGATCCACCCACCTCGGCCTTCCAAAGTGCTGGGATTATAGGCATAAGTCACCGCACCTGGCCCTAACAGGCGTATTTTTAATAAGCTACCCAGGAGATTCCAATAGACAGCCAGCGTGGAGGAAGAGGCCGCCCCAGGTGTCAGTCATGAGGAAGAGGTGGGTCTTGAGACAGGAAAATAGGACTGAAGGGGTGGGAAGTTGGGTTATTCCATGAGTTAACACACATAGGGTTTGAGTGCCGAACAATGCTATTTATTGTTGTCATCCATCACTTTCATATTCATCATCATCGTCACCTGTGAGACTTGGGATCCCGGATGACAGTGACTGCAATGGAGGTCACCACCTGAGGCAAGTAGGGGGCAGGATGGAGCCACACCCGTAATCCTCGTGAAGCAGGTTTTTGGGGTTTAGACCACCTATAGGCGCTTGTTCCCTGGGCACCTGTCAGAAGGGGAAGAGGGATTATGAAAGAGCCCAGGCTGGAGGTCCCATAGCCCTCTCTGAGTGGAGCTCCTGGCTCCATGTTGCTGTCAACCTAGGAGAAGTGAATGTGCTTCATGAAGGAAGGTGGCAGTTCCCCTATATCCCCGTTAGGCAGATGAGGGAGGACCCTCGGGGAGAGGCGGAAGGGGAGGGTGGCAGGGCCTGTGCTCTTTGAGTCCTCCGCTCTCTGCCTGAGTACGGGCCTGAAGATCCCTAACGAAGGCCTCTTCCATTCCACAGTGAGTAAAGACCTCCTTGGGGATGACTGACCCAGAGACTAGCTGGCCAGGGTCCCCCAGCCTGACCTCCTGCTCACACCCACCATCCCCTCAGTAGCCAGCTTCTTTTCATTTTGCAACACTCCTGGGACCCTCATCCCTGAAAGCCCCCACGGCATCCAGGGCAAAAAGGGACAGCAAGTAACAGAACGGCACAAGCTGCCTTCCAACCTAGGCTGGCAGCCCCTTGAGGACTGGGATCTTGTCTTTTTCTTTTTTAATGTGATGCTTCACAAATTTGCATGTCATCTTTGCACAGGGCCATGCTAATCGTCTCTGTATCGTTGCAATTTTAGTACATGTGCTGCCGAAGCAAGCACTGGGATCGTGTGTTACTCATCCCCAGTACCCAGCCCAGAGCTAGCACAGAGTGGGTGCTCAACAGAGGCTGAACCAAATTGAACTGATCAAAATGAGAGTCAAAAGAGGCCTTTTAGCTGGGCGTGGTGGCTCCTGCCTGTAATCCCAACACTTTGGGGACCTGAGGTGGGAGGATCGCTTGAGACCGGGAGTTTGAAACTAGCCTGAGTGACATAGCGAGACTTGCATCTCTACAAAGAATGAAAAAATTATCCAGGTGTGGTGAACACCTGTGGTCCCAGCTACTTGGGAGGCTGAGGTGGGAGGATCGCTTGAGCCCAGGAGTTGGAGGCTGCAGTGAGTTCTAATTGTACCATTGCACCCCAGGATAAGCGACAGAGTGAGATCTTGTGTCTTAAAATAAATAAATCAAAATAAAAGAGACCTTTCAGGTGGTGAAGCCCAACCTTCCCCAAGACAGGGGTTTTCCTTCAAATGTGCCCAGCCTCTGGTGCTGGGCAATTCATTACCTCTCAAAGTAAGCCCTGATGCCACAGGGCTACCCTTCTATGCGGACAAAATTTCCCTCCCCTACGCTTCACCCACTGGTCTAGGTATTTCCCTGGGAAGCTACACAGAATAACTCCATCTAGCCTTCTTGGGATAGTCCTTCAAATATTGGAAGATGGCTACTCCTCACCAAACCACTTTTTCAGATATTTAAACCTATGCTATCGTCATCAGGCCACTTAGCAACACAGCTGTTAGGAGCCTGGGCTTCAGAGTCGGGCAAACCTGGTTTCAAGTCTTGACTCCATTGATCAGTAGCTGTGGGAAAGCATTGTCACAATGGCCAGCTCAGAGCAAGCCCTCACACCAACATCAAACAACCCCACTTACCTACAGACCAGTCGCAGTGTGTCAGTGTGTGTTCACCAACTACCACAAATGGACGCCTCTGGTGTAGAATGTTTTTTATTTTTAGTACGGGATTTTTAATAGTGGGAGAGGCCATACCTATGTGGAGGTAGGGAGTCTATTTCCCATAGACTGTCTGTACCTTCCACTCAATCTGATTGTGAGCCTAAAATTGCTCTTTTAAAAAAAAAAAAAGTCTGTTACCCAGTCAGGGTGGCTCACGCCTGTAATCCCAGCACTTTGGGAGGCCGAGGTGGGTGGATCACCTGAGGTCAGGAGTTCAAGACCAGCCTGGCCAACATGGTGAAACCCCATCTCCACTAAAAATACAAAAAATTAGCCAGGCGTGGTGGTGGGTGCCTGTAATCCCAGCTACTCAGGAGGCTGAGGCCGGAGAATCGCTAGATCCCAGGAGGCAGAGGTTGCAGTGGACCGAGGTCGCACCATTGCACTCCAGCCTTGGCAACAAGAGTAAAACTTCATCTCAAAAATAAAATAAAAAATAAAAAATAAATGTAAGTCTATTTTTAAAGAAAAGTCCCTGGGCCGGGCACAGTGGCTCACACCTGTAATCCCAGCACTTTCGGAGGCCAAGGTGGGCAGATCACAAGGTCAGGAGTTTGAGACCAGCCTGGCCAATATGGGAAACCCCATCTCTACTAAAAATACACAAATTAGCTGGGCATGGTGGTGGGCACCTGTAGTCCCAGCTACTCAGGAGGCTGAGGCAGGAGAATTGCTTGAACTGGGGAGGCGGAGGTTGCAGCGATCTGAGATTGTGCCACTGCACTCCAGCATGGGCGACTGAGCGAGATTCCATCTCAAAAAAAAAAAAAGGTGTTCCTGAAGAAACACACACACACGCACACACACATTGCCATCTCCCTCCCATTCTGAGGGCCAGGTATTAAATACTGATCCCTGGAACTGGTCTGACCAGCAGGGAATGGGGGTGGAGGGGTGAGGAATTGTCTGTGTGTCCTCCCTGAACCTGGCCTACCCCCTCTTACACAGTGGGCACAGCCAACCCATCTGACCTTAGGAGGTTGGCATGGGACACAGAGGGGCTCAATCCTGGTGGTTAAACTTCTGAGGGCAAGAGGGGGTTGGATGGTTGGATGGATGGATGGATGGATGGATGGATGGATGGATGGATGGATGGATGAATATTCAGATGGGCAAGTAAACCTTTGAGTTGTTTTCATGTGTGCCACCTCTAAGCAGGTCTTCTTCACTCTGTACTTGGGCTGCCTATTTACTCCCCAAATGTAATTTTCATGCATCCCTGCAATGTTTTATCTTGGTGATGAGGGTCAGCATTTCAGCCGGTGGCATTCCTTTTGGATGCTTATTCCATCAGTTCAGTCCACAGCAGACATTTATAGAAAACCTGGTGAAAGGAAAGAGACAGGGCTTTAGAGTCAAACTGACCTTGATCAATCCCTTGTTCCACCACCTATCAGCTCTGCAGACCTTCAGCAAGGTGCCTGCCTTCCCTGAATTTTATTTCTCAATCTACGTGAGTAGACTGCTGGGATGAATAAAGATAGTTCATATATGGAGTATTTGTAAAACAGGTAATAGGGATACTTGCCACCGACGGCTGTAAGGATTAAAGGAGAATTGACTCCTTGTAAAGCACTCAACAGAACACCTAGAACAGACTGAGCGCTCAGCTGCGTTGAACTAGGATAGTATTCTTACTTATTGTTATTTTCACCACTGGGTATCTGCCCTAAGCAGGGAAACAGAACTCGTCATGGAAACAACATCAAGAAGTAAGACACTTGCCAAGTTCCAGGTAGGATCCCAGCTCTGTGCCTTCCTGGCTACGTGGTGCGCACCACTCCTTTATTTTCTCTCTGATTGACGTCGTCTCGCACCACGACCCACCAGCCTGTTGGAGGGGCGCGGGTCTGGAGGAACGGGGATGTGTCCCTCAGGGCAGGGCTGGGTTGGGATCCCCGCGCCGGGCCACCCTCCTGCAGGGGACACTGAGGCCAGCTGCAGGAATGTGAGGCCACATTCACCCCGGAGCAAAGGCTTCCAGTGCCTTCTACAGTTTAATCCACAGAAATGCCCCGGGAGCCACCTGACATAGGAAGCGAGAGGATAGGTCTCAACCGTGATCATTTTTACTTGCCGGGATCCTGTGTAAGGTTTTGGTACTTTGTTATTTTTCATTTTCAAGCTTTTTTATTGAGGAATACGGTAACAACTGTGAAGTGCGTAGATCTTAGGGCTTCAGTTCCATTTGTACACACCCATGTCACCACCCCCGGATCAAGACTGTGAGTCATTCATGTGCCCTCCCAGGCATGACCCCCATTCTGGAACTTCACAGAAATGGAGTCATACCTAGTCTATTCTATTCATAGAATACAATCGAGTATACTATTTTTGCAGCTCTTTCAGTCAACATGATGTCTGTGAGCCTCACCCATGAGGTCTGTTGTCCATTGCTGTGTATTATTATCCCAAAGTGTGAAAAGGCCACAGTGTGCCTCTCTCTTGTACCATCAGTGGGGATGTGAGCAGTCTCCAGGCTGGGACAATTAAAGTTGCTACAAACATTCTTGTATGTAACTTTGGGGTCCATCACCCTCATTTCTGCTGGGAGTGGAACTAGGGTTAGTAGATACAATCAGTGTTCCAGAGTGGTTGTGCCAATGTCGCTCCCACCAACAGCGTATGAGAGTTCCCATGGCTCTGCTTCTCGCCCACTCTTGGTGCCATCCGTCCTTTTATCTTTTAGTCTTTCTGGCAAGGGCATAGTGGTATGTTATTATGATTCAGTTTGCATTTCCCCATGACTAAGGATGTTGAGCACTTTTTCATATGACTATCAGAGATGTAGGATTTTGAAAGTTTCCAAGGCTTTTAAAAAAGAATGTTTGAAGGCCTATTGTCATACATTCCCTGGAGCTCAAGAGGAAGGGTTAGTGTGTATCTGGTCTGCCAGGTGGGGGCCCTCCTAGAAGAAATCCCTGTTCCGGTGGCCTGGGAGGCACTGGAGAGGCTGGGACAGGATGGGTGGAGTCAGAGGAGGAGGGGGAGGAGATGTGCTCTGGGGGATTCCCAGAAGAATAGGAAGGACAAGCCAGCCATCAGGAAACAGGAGTCGTGGGGCACAACAGAGTGATTGGCATGAGGCCTCGAGGTGTCATGGTGACCACACCGGGTGGGGTTCGCTGGAAAACCTTCCTCTGGTCCCCACAATTGACCCGAAGCAATGGAAATTTCCTGGGGCGTTAATGACAAGAAGGACAGGGGACAGCAAGGCACACCAAATGGGATTTTCCCTGTTGACTATAATGGGTTGGAAGAGAAGGGCAGGCAGTCAGGGCTGGATGGCAGCCGGCGGGAGGGAGGTAATATGCTGGCGAGAGGCCTGGACTAGGAGGCAGGGGGCTGGGCTCTGCAACCAGCTCTGCCACTTCTCACCAGGTGACCTTGAGCAAGGCCCTTTGCCTCTCTGATTCCATGACCCCTCTCTGCATGTGGAACAAAGGGCCTGGCAAATGGAAGATGGGCGCCTAGTGGCCTCTCCCAAGTTGCTCCTGAAGACAAAGCAGCAGGGCCAGGTAGCAGGTCCGCCCCAGAGCTCTTAGACAGCCCTGACAGTGATGAATCACCGCACCCCACTCCATCTCCATGATCTACTGCAATTGATCCTGAGCCCAGGTGCCTGGGGTGATAGTGGCCAAGGGCAGCTTCCAGAGAAGCGTGGTGTGTGGCAGCTGCAGTGGGAGTGGGGGGATTGGGGTGGGCATGGTCTCATCCCTCACTGTGAGAGTGACCCACTCTGCCCTCCCTGCAGAGAAGCGAAGGAGCTCCCCTGCTAATGAAATAAACAATCCAAGCCCCCACGAGAGGGGAGCAGAGAAGGGGCTCCAGGGAAAACCACGGTAGGAGCAGGCTCCCCATGTCTCCTCCGACAGCCCACTTAAGGAGTATGGGGTGGCGAGGACAGACCCCCCCCAAGAAAGACTGGGGCTGTCCGTCTCCAGGATTTCCTCCACAGAAGTATCTGTTCACCCTAGGAAGATCTGGGGGCTTGATCAATGAAAACCATAGGTCTCTCACATGATACTCTTTCTGAAGACACACCCAAGCCCCAATGGGAATTGGAGCCCCCAGCTGGCTGGTGTTGGCCTTCCTGCAGGCTCTGGGATAAGGACAGTACCCAAAGTTCCCTGACTGGGAAGGCTCTCCCTCTGAAACACTCTGCCTCCTCTTGTTTTCTGCTGTTACCTCCCAGAGGTCAAATTCTCCCTTCCAAAGCCTGGGCTCATGGGTGTCCTATTCCACGCCCTATTCTTTTGTCCCTGTAGTTCAACTCATGCAAACCCCAAGCAAGAGGTCTAACTACCTATCCAAGAATTACAGACCTTTGGAACCTGATGGAACCTCAAAGATCATTCTCCCCAACTCTCAAATGGGGAAATTGAGTCCCAGGAGCCTAACAACAGTAAGAATTCTTTACATTTATATGATGTTTGGAAATTACAAAGTGACTCAGGAGATTTTAAAAACAGCTAAGACTAACAATATCACTCCCTAAGTGCCAGGCAGTGTTCAACATACTTTATAACATTGAATCCTCACCTCCAGCCCTGGAGGTAGGTATTATTACTCTTACTATCATTCCCAACACAGGGACATGAAGACATGAAGAGAGTTTCCCAAAGTCCCGCAGTTAGCCACTGAGGAGCTGGGCTTTAAACCTAGGCAGTCTGGCCCCAGAATCCGTGTCTCTAACCACTCTGCAACCCTACCCTCTGCCTGCTGCCGTAGAAACTGTGAAGGGCAGAGCCATATATGCCCTGGCATCAGGGAAGGAGGAAGGAGACTGCACCAGCCTAACTCCACAGGGGATCCCAGGCCCCATACAAGTTTTTGTACACCCATGTATCAGCAAATGCCCCAGGTAGGGTGAAACCTGAGCTCGTGGGAACGGTGTTTGGTATCAAATGGCGTCATCAGAGGCAGGCCGGGCTCATGAGGAAAGACTTCCTGGAAAAGATGCTATGGAAGATGATTTTGTAGAACAGAAGTGATCTGGAGAAGTTGTAGAATACACAGCACTGGGAAGGAGCACAGACCTCTGTCAAGCCTCTGAGCCCAGGCTAAGCCATCATATCCCCTGTGACCTGCACGTACACATCCAGATGGCCGGTTCCTGCCTTAACTGATGACATTCCACCACAAAAGAAGTGAAAATGGCCCGTTCCTGCCTTAACTGATGACATTGTCTTGTGAAATTCCTTCTCCTGGCTCATCCTGGCTCAAAAGCTCCCCCACTGAGTACCTTGTGACCCCCACTCTTGCCCGCCAGATAACAACCCCCCTTTGACTGTAATTTTCCTTTATCTACCCAAATCTTATAAAATGGCCCCACCCCTATCTCCCTTCGCTGACTCTCTTTTTGGACTCAGCCCTCCTGCACCCAGGTGAAATAAAAAGCCTTGTTGCTCACACAAAGCCTGTTTGGTGGTCTCTTCACACGGACACACATGAAACCCTCAGTGGCCAGAACTTCATTTCCTCCTGAGTAGCCCAACTCTGCTGGTGGGGCTGACCTTGACAGATTTCTAGTGAGTCTGCAGCTGGATGATCAATTATATCAGGAGAAGAAATAGGTGCTCCAGAAACTCTGCCATTCCCGTGTTTTTATATTTCCTGTTTTTCTTATTTTCCTGGTAACATTCCTCTTTTTTTTGGAGACGGAGTCTCACCCTGTCACCCAGGCTGGAGTGCGGTGGTGCGATCTTGGCTCACTGCAACCTCCGCCTCCAGGGTTCAAGCAATTCTCCTGTCTCGGCCTCCCAAGTAGCTGGGACTACAGGCCCACACTGCCATGCCTGGCTAATTTTTTTGTATTTTTAGTAGAGACGGGGTTTCACCATGTTGCCCAGGCTTGTTTTGAACTCCTGAGCTCATGCAATCCACCCGCCTTGACCTCCCAAAGTGCTAGGATTACAGGCGTGAGCCACTGCACCCAGCCTTTTTTTCTTTTTCTTTTTTTTTTTTGAGATGGAGTCTCACTCTGTTGTCAGGCTGGAGTGCAGTGGCACAATCTTGGCTCACTGCAACCTCTGCCTCCTGGGTTCAAGTGATTTTCCCGCCTCAGCATCCCAAGTAGCTGGGACGACAGGCGCACGCCACCATGCCCAGCTAATTTTTTTGTGTGTTTAGTTGAGACGGGGTTTCACCATGTTGGCCAGGATAGTCTCGATCTCTTGACCTCGTGATCTGTCCGCCTCTGCCTCCCAAAGTGTTGGGATTACAGGCATGAGCCACCGTGCCCGGCCTGGAGCCTGCTTTTGAATCCAGCACTGTGGCCCAGCTCCCAGATGCCCAGGGATTGTCTCCATTGGCCTTGAACTCACATCTTTCTGACTCTGCACACAGTGCCAGTGAGGCAGGAGTCCCACTCGTCTACTCTAGTGCTGTTGCCACCCATGCCCTCCTGCCCCAGCCTCAGACCCAAGCCCCAGGAAGGGAGGCCAGGAGTGTCGGAGCCCTGCCAGCCTAGATGAGAGGAGGCTCCCTCAGGGCCACCTAGACCCACTGGAATTCCCACCCTCAGGGAAAATGGAAGCCTCCTGGGTGTGGGGAGTCCCTGTGCAGTGGCCAGCAACTGAGGGAGGGAAGGGGGCTGGAGAGACCTGACAAAGACCCCAGACACTCCCACAGCCCTCCCTAAACAGGCAGCTTCCTGGGCTCTGCCCCAGGGGTTTCATTGGCTGGGACCCTGGAACATAGCTGTTTTTAGAGCTCTTCAGGGCACAATAACCCCAAACCAGTGATGTTTCGTTTCTACAGAAACAGTCTCAGGCCCGTTGCTCTGCCCAGCTGTCCTGCTGGGTGCTGGACAGTGGCTCCAGGAGGTCTCAGCCATGGTGGGTGATGAAGTATCCTGCTGGTGCTGGAAGAGTCTGGTGCTCATCTTCATGCAGCTGGCCCAGCACCACCACCATCACCACCATCACCACCACCATCACCATCACCACCATCACCACCACCACCACCATCACCACCATCACCAGCATCACCACCACCAGCATCACCACCACCATCACCACCATCACCATCACCACCATCACCACCACCACCACCATCACCACCACCATCACCACCACCACTATTACCACCTCTATCACCACCACTATCACCACCATCATCACTGCCACCACCACTGCACCAGTACCATCACACCACCACCATCACCCCACCCTGACCCTATTCCTATTATTTCTGGGCGCCGCTCAGTGCCAGGCTCTCACGTGCTTACCTCATTTATTTCTACCCGTCCTCCCTTTTTTTTTTTTTTTTTTTTTTTTTTTGAGACGGTGTCTCACTCTGTCACCCAGGCTAGAAGGCAGTGGCACGATCTCAGCTCACTGCAGCCTCCGCCTCCCAGGTTCAAGTGATTCTCTTGTCTCGGCCTCCTGAGTAGCTGGGATTACAGGCACCCACCACCATGCCTGGCTAATTTTTTGTATTTTTAGTAGAGTTGGGGTTTCTCCATGTTGGCCAGGCTGGTCTCAGACTCCTGATCTCAGGTGATCCACCCACCTCGGCCTCTCAAAGTGCTGGGATTACAGGCGTGAGCCACCGCGCCCAGTCCCTTTTCTCCCTTTTACAGAAAACTAAGGTTCAGCACAGTTAAGGTCACACTGCTAGTGAGGGGAGAATCCAGTCATGACTTTCCCACTACACTTTGTGCTTTTGCAGATTTGGTGCTTCCCCCCGCCACCCCCTCCATTAAGGAAGATCTTTGTGAGAAGCAGATAGGGAGGAAAGAGTTAGGAGCTAGGAGAGGGAAGAGGGCACCCAGAGGAGGTGGGCAGGCTGGGTGTGTGACAGATCAGCCACCCCCTCCAAGAGGACTGGGGGTCAGGTCCCTGCGCAGCAGGGTCCCTAACAGGGAGATAGTCCCTCTCCCCTCAGGAATGTGCGTGAAATCCCAGTAACTCTCTCCAGCTGGGCCTGAGCTTGGAGGGGGTTCAGAGTCGGCCTTGCTCAGGTTCCTTCTTACTCCTAATGACAACTCAAGGTGTGGAGGGCAGGGAGTGGTGGGGCAGGGGTGCTGGTGACATTGGAGACAGCATTCCAGATAGAGGGAACATCCTAGGTGAAGTGGGAAGTGACAATCCTCAACCCTTTCCAAAGGGGGTCACAGTCACACACACACACACACACACACACACACACACACACACACACACACACACACACACACACATGCGCCGCAAGCTCTGGCCCCTCATCTTGAGGCCTGCACAGGCCTAGACCAGTTGGGGGTGTGTGGCCCATGGATGGTGATGGTGAAGGGACTAAGGAAAGCTGAGAGCCAGCACGAGAAAGGCCAACAGGCAGGATGAGATCAGGGATGCGAGCCTCAGCTGCTTGGCAGGTCTGCCACAGGAGCAGGCATGTCCCTGCCCTCAGGAACCAACCCTCACTAGGCACCGACTGTCCACAGCCACTATGCTTTAACATGCAGTATTACCTCACTCATGGCCGACAACAGTCCTGCTCTTATTTCATTTCACAGACGAAAACGTTGAGGCTCAAAGGGTTTGAGTGACTTGCCCAAGATTAGACAGCTAAGAAGGTGGCCAGCTCAACCTTGAGCTATCTTCCTCTGCAGATAAACTGAGAGATGGAGGCAGTGGGGGGCATGAAAATGGCCCCAGGCACTGCACTGAGAACCAGGTTGCCTGGGTTCCTCCCTCACCTCCCTCATCAGTGAGCTGTGTGACCCTGAGCATTTCACCAACCTTCTCTGAGCTCCAGTTACCATCTGTCAACAGACTCAAAGGGGTGGGGGCATCAAATAAAATAATTTAAGTAAAAGCACATGAAACCTATAATTGATATTATGATAATGTGACCACGGGTTTAACTTGGCCCAGAGAGCCAGCACAGGTGAAGCAGCCGAGATTCTACGGAGGGGGGATGGGCCAACATCATCCCCGTTACCGTCAGCAGCAACTTCATCCATTTCTGTTTATTGAACAGCTAATAACAAAAATAGCAACCACGTATTACATATTGACTATGTGCCACGCACTGTACTAAGCACTTTACATCAGCTCCAGGGAGATGGACTGGAAGTCGGGCAAGGGAGGAAAGAGGGCAGGACTGCAGAGCTCAGGGCCTCCAGCCTCCATCCAGGAGGTCTGAAGAATGGGACTTCAAGATGACCTCCACCTGAGTTCAGAACCAGAGCAAATTCTGTGTGGCCAAGGAGAAAAGGCTTTTTGCACTGAGGGGCCCACCAGAACAGACACAAGGCTGAAATGCAAGCCAGTCCAGGCTAGAGGAAGAGACCGGGAGCCCAACTCAAGGAAAAGGCCAGGAGGCAGGGGACTCCCAGCAGCTCCAGCGCAGAGCCCACCGAAGGCCACCTCAGGCTGTAGACAAGAGGGTTGAGCCTCCTAGCCCTATAGCCTAAGAGAAGGGGAGGACAGAGGCCTGGCTGAGTCTGAGCCAAGGAAAGAACTCTGTGACTTCTTCGGTTTTGAGTCTCTAGGTGGGTTCCCTCACCACCCTGGCTCAGAGGAAAGCAGTTGAAAGAGTTCCCTCCTGTATGAGCTAAACTGAGGAGGAGAGGGGTATGTCCCCTCCTGAGCAAGGGAAGGGGAGAGTCCCACAACCCCCACGTGTGACGGTGCGGCAGCCAGCCCAGCTTGCAGTTCTGGGACGATGGAATGGAAATGAGATGTTGAGACGGAGACAGAGAAAGCTGGAAACACCCAGCAAGGCATGTGTGGGACAAAACATGGGCCTGACTGGACCTTGGGGGACAGGCTGAGGAGCTTAGCCTGGATGCTGACGCTACAGGAGTGCAGGGATGGCCACTGTTGGTCCCTGAGCATGAAGGGTGTGCCAGAAGTCCTGCCAGCCTGCAAGGTCCCCTGGCTCCAGCCTATGAAGTCAGAAGCTTCCTGTCCCTGTGGATGGGGTCCTGGGTTCTCACAGTTGGGTTTCAACGTAACAATGACATTCAGATAAGACTTGGGAGCCCTCCCAGCAGTGAGACCGCTGGAGTCTGCCCCAGACCTTCCGAACACAGGAGGGTTGGCCAGGAAGACTTGCCTCCAGCCCTTGCCTCTCTGGTCATTGGGGGAAAGGTCAGTCCAGCACACGTGGGCTGGAGACATGGCCAGGCAGACTCAGCCACTGGATGGGCCCTGGGTGGTAAAATCAGCCCTTCCTCCAGCCAATTTGACCTCCAGGCACCAAGTCCAAACACCCAGCCTGCTCTGAGCTCCTGGCTCCCCGCAAACACCTGTGGCCTGCATCAGAGGAGACAAGCAGAGGGCAGACCAACCCAGGACAGCTTCAGGGGCAGAAGTGCCAAGTGGCTGCCCTGGGGAGCTCTGGAGGAGGTGACTCCAGGACAGCCCTTATCAATCCAGCTCATGAGAAAGGTAGTGTCTGTGTCCCCAGGGAGAGGCGGCAGGAGAGAGGGCATTACTATTACCTAATATCACCTATTAGAAATCTAAACCTCTGAGCATGCTCTGCCCCCTCCTCCCAGCCCCCTGATTCCTTGTCTTTCTCCCTTTGCAGCCCATTTCCCAGCCATATCCAATACTTGGAATTTCCCTCATATACCCCACATTTCACACACGTGCCCCGGTAGCCCTCCTCACTCTGCCTACAATGTTCTTCTCGCGGTGAACTCCTACTATGCTATCAAAACCCTGTTCAGAAGGCCCCCTGCTCTGTGGGAAGAGACCTCTCTTGCAGCATGAATCACAAAATAGCATACTTATTTGCATACGTGTATGACTCCTCCATTAGCCAGGGGGCAAGCCCCTCACACCGGGCACAATGCCTGGCACATAGAAGTGTGAGGCACACGTTTGTCTAACTGAAGGAGGAACAACAGGTAGGGCAAGGGAGCACGCCGTGAAGCTGGATGTCTGGGCTCGCTTCCCACCCTGAGGGAAGCCTGGGGTGCAGGAACACTGACATCTGGCTGAGAGGGGGGTGGTCGGGAGAAGCAGGTGAAGATTGCTGGCTACTTGGGTGTGACCCAAAGCTCCTCGGGCTCCCAAACCACGAGGCCTCAGTGAATCCAGTAGAGCTGTTCCTGGAAGAGCAGAGAAGCCCCAGTAGCACGCGGCCTGCAGCCCCCAGAATGAACCCATCTGTGTTTACCCCCTAACCATGGATTTCACTATCTCAGTCTGAGGGACAGGAAAACCAGATGCACTGTCACCATGTGACAGGTGAGAGAACTGAGGCCCAGGGAGTGTCACTGGTGTGACCCCCAGAGGCCATCCTTGCGGCGTGAGCCAGGACCGAGTGCGGGCTCTCCCAGGGAAGCCATTGAGAGGAGCCCAGGCCCTGATGACTAACAGGACAGAGACTTCAGTGGTCAACTGGACCCAAGTCCAGCTGTGGCGGCCCTAGCTGTGGGACCTGGACTGCTGACTTGACTGCTCTGCCCTTTTGCAGTACAGCAAGAGGCACATAGCCAACCTCCCAGGATCATTGCAAGGACAGGGTCCAGCCCGGAGCCTGGTGGGCAATAAGTGCTCCCTGGAGGCCCCACCCCCACCCCCCGACACTGATTCCAGCTCTCCCGGCTCACAGCCAGACCCAGCTGCCTGCAGGTGACTGGGCCTGCCCTCAAGCCTGCGGAGCTGGGAGCGGGGGAACCAATTTGTCACGGTGTAACCAGAGAGTGTCTGGGGGCTCAATGCCAGGGTTCTGGCTGGGGCCAGCACCAGGCCCCTTCCTCACAGCTGTCAAGGGGAGGCTCAGAGACAAAGCAACCAGGGCCCCCCTATTCAGGGAGGGGGTAGGCAGGGCTATGTCTGATAAGGGATGAAAAGGGGGATGGCAGGCCCATGCCAAGTGAGGGATGAGAAATACTAAGACCCCACAGCCTGAGGCAGGGAGAACAGCACACAGGCGCAGATCCCAGTGCCCTCAGCCACTGACTATCTGGACGATCCTGAACGAATTACTTAACCTCTCTGAGCTTTATCTTGCTCATCAGGGATAACATTATCTCATTTTGCAGGCTCAATACGAGGATCAAATATGCCCCAAATCAGCAAAGGCACCTGGCACAGTGCCTTGCATGCCAGAGACTTGAGGCCAATTTCTCCTCCTTGGATTTCCCTTTTCTTGTCCCCACATCTCATTTTCTCTCCACTAGTATTTCTTCCACCAGGGTGCGACCCTCCAGGTGCATCAGGCAAGGCCCATGGTGACAATGGAAGTTGCACTCAGATATTGAGAGGGTGGGACAGGGAGTGAGGGCAATTTGGAGGGAACAAAATCAGAGTTATCCACTGTGGCCCTGGCACGTGTGAGGCCTTGCCCACCACATCCCACCCTGTTTAGCCTTTGGTTTTCCTAATGCCCACACGAGTGCATTCACAGACTCACTTCTTATACAGTCAACCCTCTGTATCCATCCATGGGTTCTGCATCCGTGGAGTCAACCAACTGCAGATCAAAAATACTCAGAAAAAAAGAAAATGGAGAGTAGTGTCAGCACTGAACATGTACACCTTTTTCTTGTTATTCCTAAATAATGCAGTATTACAACCATTTACACAGCATTTACATTGTACCAGGTATTATGAGTAATCTAGAGCTGATTTAAAGTATATGGGAGGATGTGTATAGGTTATAGGCAAATACTACACCATTTTATATAAGGGACTTTTGAGCATGCTTGGATTTTGCTATTCGCTAGGGGTCCTGGATCCAATCCCCCAGAGATGCCGAGGGATGGCTGTGTTTTTGTTTGCACTGTAAGGATGATGAAAGGGCCCTTATAGAGACAGCTGCCACCCTCTCTTGGCAAAGTGGCTGCAGAGTCCATGAGGGGATGATGGGTGAAAGCCTCTGAGAGAAGTTTCCTGGAGGCAGGGAGTAAGGGCTGAAATCCCAGCCTTTTGTCCTGAACCTGTCTCTTCCTCCTGTTCGGATTCCATGTGGGGCCAACCGTGGTAGAAGAGAAACCTGAACTCTGTGAGCCGGACAGGGTATGTGTTCATTTCCCTACTGCTCCCCCTCCCACCCTAGCCCTCTGGAAATGCCAGCCTGCCTCAGCTGTGCTGAGAAGAAAAGGGGATATAGGTTTGAGTTGTGTCCAGGGAAACTGAATTCGTAGCATCCAGCGTGGTGGTGGCTGGACTCAAGGTGAGAGCTCCCCCTAGTGGAAGGTGAGATTCCAGAGGCCCGCCCGGTGGACCCTCTCCCAGAACTGCCCACTACACATTCAGGCAAGCCTTCATTCATTCACCACACTTACTGAGCACTTCTGCATGCCAGGCACTGTGCAGGGCTGGGGAGACAAGTCAGACGTGCAATCACAGTCTGTAGAAAAGAGACTGAAAGAAGCCAGGCACGGTGACTCACGCCTGTAATCCCAGCACTTTGGGAGGCCAAGGCAGGCGGATCACGAGGTCAGGAGATCGAGATCATCCTGGCTAACATGGTGAAACCCCATCTCTACTAAAAATACAAAAAAAAAAAAATTAGCCGGGCCTGGTGGCGGGTCCCTGTAGTCCCAGCTACTCGGGAGGCTGAGGCAGGAGAATGGCATGAACCCGGGAGGCAGAGCTTGCAGTGAGCCGAGATCGCGCCACTGCACTCCAGCCTGGGCGACAGAGTGAGACTCCGTCTAAAAAAAAAAAAGAAAAAGAAAAGAAAAGAGACTGAAAGAGAGTGCAGGGGAAGTCCAGAGGAGGAACCCCATTCCAGTGGAGGAGGCAGGGAGGGCTCTCTGGAGGAAGCACGTCCAGCTTAAACCTGCAGGCTGGATTGGCCTGGCAAAGAAGGGGAAGAAAGAGAGACCCTGGCAGACAGAGTGGCTCCTACTAGCTACCTGAGGATGAGAGGAAGCAGGGGCTCCCTGTCTGGGAGCTGCAAGTGGTCCAGGCTGGGGGCGGCATGGCGTTTCCTCCAGGAACCAGGTCGTGAAAGGCCTCAGCCCTTAACGCTTTGATAAAGGCCACAAACTGTTGGAGGAACTCTTGGAGGAACTTAAGTAGGGAGGTGGCCTGATCTGATTTGTAGTTTAGAACGATCACTCTGGAGCTAGGCACGGTGGCTCATGCTTGTAATCCTAGCACTTTGGGAAGCTGAGGCGGGAGGATCACTTGAGCTCAGGAGTTTGAGACCAGCCTGGACAACACGGGAAACTGCCTTCCAAAGGCGGCCACAGCCACCAGCTGTGGATGGATGGATGCTGGGGCCAGAGCCTTTGCAGACAGGCCAGAGAGGGGTTGCAAATTTACTGGGAGCAAGATACCCCCTCCTTCCGGGCACTGGAATGGAGCAGAGAGAAGGGGAGAGAGACAGAAAGTGAGTGAGTGAATGAGGAGGGAGTGAGTGAGTAAGTGAGTGAGTGAGTGGAAGGGACTTGTCAATTCCACTTTAGGAAAATTGGCTCCATGATGTTTACTGCAAACTGCAATTTGGCATCTCTATTCAGGTGCTCTCCGTGTTTAATTATATGTAATATGGTAGTGGAGAGGAAGGAGTACATAAGTGTGTGATTTTCTCCTTAGTCCCTACCCCCCACTCCACGCTGGGGTCGTAAAGGTCAGAGGTGAGAAATCGAGCCCAGCAGAAGGAGGAACTGGAAGGGCCAGCTGTGGCTTCACAGCCAAGCCTGGATCGCTGAGAAGCAGCATGTGCCCCTGGCCACAGGGTCAGTCTCTGCAGCCTCCTGGGCTTCAGGGACAGACCAGTGTCTCCAGCTCAGACTGTGAAATACCTCGACAAGCCCAGCAATCTTCTGGGTCCATGACCAGGTGGGTCCAGAAGGTGGGCTCAGCCCCCTCACCTTAGACCACAGCCCTCTGGGCTTTTCACCTATCTGTACTGAAGAGGCTTGGTTTCCCGGGAGGCACCCCCAGGTGCCCCTTCTTCATCGACCCTCCCAGCTCCTGCCTTTCCCTCCTGATCCTCACCCTCTGTCCCAAGCTGGGAGGGTGAAGCACCCATTAGTTCATTTGCTTGTTTAATTGCACAGGGAGGGGAAAGAAGTTAAACTCCTCAACAGGAATCTTCCCTGCAGGGCCAGAAATGGAATGACGGGGTGGGGACCCCATCTCAGCACCTGCTGCCTGTCCAGGAGATACCCTCACCCTTGTTCTACCTCCATGCCCCAGATCCCAGGATCAGAGCAGGGTGTGGGGTTACAGGGTCATAGGGAACTAGAGGAGGAGCCTCCATCCCACACCGGCTGGGAGCCCCTCCTAGAACTGGAGCACCATGGGGAGGGGAGCTGGGGGTGCAATGTCAAAGGCAGAGTACTGCCTCAGGGTCTGACTCTCTCACATCTCTGACTCTCTTTGGGTCACTTGAGTTTCTCTCTCTAATCCTCTTCCCTGTCTTTTGTTTCCAGAAAAGCCCCGCCCCCAGAGGGGTCTGGGAAGTGCAGCCAGGCTCCTGGCGGGCACCGTGGCCGTGTTCCTCATCCTAGTTGCTGTGCTCACTGTCTTCTTCCTGTACAACCGGCAGCAGAAGAGCCCACCGGAGACGGATGGGGCCGGGTGAGCCAGGCAGGACTCTGCCCACTAAACTCCCACTGGTCTGCTCCCCAGCACCCTGGGAGCCCCAGACTTAAAGCACCTAAACTTGTGAAAGCTCAGGGCCTTTCTAGGGCCTCCCCACCCTGGGGGACCAGGAACTAACCCTTTGGCAGGAAGAGCTGACCCTCCTGAGTGGTGATTGCTACGTGCCAGGCACCGCCCCAGTTCAAAAGGGCTTCATAAAGATGCATTTTATCCTCACAGCAGCTCAGAGGAGCAGGTGCATGATTACCATCCACGATTTATAGTGAGGAAACTGAGGCACAGAGAGGTTAAATAATTTGCAAGAGTTTACGTGCTCCCAGCCGTTGACAAGGGGTGAGGGCAGACCTAGGACCAGAGAGGAGAGAGAGGCACAAAGTATATGGGGGGAGCCAAAACCCTCAACCATCAGGATAAATCATATTTTAATGTGATATTTTAAAAAAATCAAAATGAAAGCAAAAACCCATGATGAACAAAACGTCCACATTGTAAATAAAGACAGGATTAGAATAACTGACTTTTCCTTTCGCATCAGACACCCAGCACACCACTGTGATGGATCCTGTCTTTACTTACAATGTGGACGTTTTGTTCATCACGGATTTTTACGTTGATTTTCATCTTTAAAATCTTGCATCATGTGTTATTTCCCGTGCTGGCTAAGGCTGTCGGTGCCGCATACCGTGCACCTGAGGCCTCATGCCCGCCCTGGGTGAGGGCCCACAGTGCTGCTGCTGGTTCCTCCCTGTCCTTTGAGCTAGGAAACCTGAGACTCACATGGTTCCCATCCCAAGCTGGGCTGGGGTCCGGGGCAGACACACCTGGGAAAGGTGGCCGGGCACTCTCAGCCTGTAACCCATGACCCCTGAGGAGCCCCAGCCCAAGCTCTGGCCTCTCAGGAGGCTGCCTGGGAAGCAGAGCTCCCGGGCCTGCTCTTGTGAGTGGGGCTCAGGGACCGGTAGCTGTCTGGTGGCCTGATGGGGAGAGCCCCCATGTGTGCTCCTGTGCTGAGCTTACCCTCATTCTGTCTCCAGGACCGACCAGCCCCTCTCCCAGAAGCCGGAGCCTTCTCCCAGCAGGCAAAGCTCCCTTGTGCCTGAGGATATCCAGGTGGGCCTGAGGCAGCAGAGGACAAGGTCCCTGGACTGCGGGGAGGGAGAAAAATGGGAGATGGCCCCAAGGAGAGAGCCCAAGCTGAAGACAGAGCCGCCACGCCTTCATGGTCCAGTTCCCACAAGGCCAGGTCCATGCTAGAGGGATCCATCTGCCTCACCCTAAGAGATGACAACCTAGGACTCTCCCTACCCAGGGCCCCCAGGGGACCTCTTCCTCTACCTCACAGTCCTTTCATTCATTTAAAAAATGCATTGAGCACCTCTCAGGTGCCTGGCCCCAAGCTGGGTCCCTGCTAGAGCCAGCAAAGCTAAAGGCTCAGGGTGCACTTGTGCCCTCCAAGACAGTCACCAGTGTGGGGGATGCCAGAATGGGGGTGCATGGGAACTGAGGAGTCCCAATCCAACTGGGAGTCCATGAGGGCCACCTGGAGCAGGGGCATGGAAAGGTCTGTGCAGCACTCACCGCCTTCTCTTCCAGGTTGTCCACCTGGACCCAGGGAGGCAGCAGCAGCAAGAAGAGGAGGACTTGCAGAAGCTGTCCCTGCAGCCCCCCTACTATGATCTGGGGGTCTCCCCCTCCTACCACCCCTCGGTAAGGACAACCGAACCTCGAGGAGAGTGCCCCTAGCCCAGGACCACCCAGCCTGGCCATGAGCCCAGCTGCCTTAGAGGGAAACCAGACAGATGAGGTGGAGGAGGTGAGGGCAGGGGGGCACAGGGAGGCCCACCCAAGCACTGCAGGCACCCTGGGCAAAGGGTGACTGGATGCTGGACAGACCATTCTGGAAGACTGGCATTTCCAATGAGTCTGGCCCCCCAGCTTGGTGCCCACCTCTCCCTCCCCCAAGCCCCACCTCCAGCTCTGTACCCTGCACCTTAGTTCCCAGTGCTGCCAACGGGGCTGCCAGCGGGAGGTGCTGCCTCTTCCTGGCCTCACTCCCAGCCACTCAGAGGGCCAGCATCCACTTGAATGGCTGCCACCTTTGCCCATATCTGGCTCCTTTCAGCAGACTTGGGGGCAAGGGGTGTTACCCATACAGTGCAGCCCAGAGACCCAGGCCAGACCGCCTGGACCCAAAGATAACACACACTCTCCTGGCACTGGCAGGAGAGCCAGGCCTTTGTCTCCGTGGTACAGCCATCCTCACTCTTGGCAGGAAGTACCAACATGAACCCATCTGGAGGTGCCAAATCCTGCCCCCAGGGAGGTAGCATTCCCTTCCCAGGGTACTGAGCCCAGAGAGCCAGCCCAGCGTCCACCTTCTGATACTACCCAGGGTACAAAGGACCACCAGCTATGTGCTATTCCTCAACCAACCTAGAGACATGGAAATGAGCTAGAACTCACTGTGGACACAACATCCATTCCTCAAACAGCAGCTGGGTAGCTCCTGTACCACTCTCCTTCTCATCTGAGGTGCACCCCCACATCCCAGTCTGCACAGCATGGGCCTGCCGGTTCCAACAGAAGGGATCATAATGACAGTGTGGAACACTTGCTGGCTAGTCACTTTTCAAACATTGTTCTTATCACATGGATTGTTCAACAATCTATATGATAAGTCCTTCCGTTGCCCCATTTTATAGATAAGGAAACGGAGGCTCAGTGAACTTGAAGTGTCTTAGTCTGTTTTGTGATGCTATAAAAAAATACCTGAGACTGGGCAATATATAAAGAAGAGAGATTTATTTCTTACAGTTCTGGGGGCTGGGAAGTCCAAGGTCGAGGGGTCTGCCTCTGGCAAGAGCCTTCTTGCTGCTTCATCCCATGGTGGAAGGCCGGCAGGCGAGAAAGCATGCCCTGAGAGTCAGAGAGCAGGAAGGGGCCAGACTCAGTTTCATAACATGCCCACTGCCTCCATAACTAACCTGCTCCCTTGATAGAGACAATGCATCCGTGAAGGCCTAATCTATGACCTAATCACCTCTCATTAGGCCCCACCTCCCACACCCTTACACTGAAGATAAACTTTCCAACACACGAATTTGGGGGGACACATTCAAACCATAACAAAAGTCTTGCCCAAGATCACCCAGAGACATTGGGGAAGGCTTCACACCCTGGGACCCTGGCTCTCAAGTCCAGGCCCTAAGCAGGCAGCAGCCAGCATGATGAGCAGATGCTGGGCAGTTCACCTGAACACAGGGAAGCCTGGGCAGGGCTTGAGAGCCTCAGGGTCACCTGGTACCGCTAATGCCAAGGCTGCTGCAGCCCCGGGATTACTGTCAGCAGGAGGGCCCAGCTCTGCTGCCTGGTGGCCCCTCAGCTCCAGGGACCCAGACAGTGAACACACAGGCCAGAGAACTTGGGTTCAGAGTCCTGCGTCGGGGGCCAGGGCATTCTAAGCACCAAGCAGGGCGAGAATCTCCCACCTGCAGACACCAGCTCACGCCTGCCTCAGGAGAGAGAGAGCACATCATCCCAGGCCCGAAAGCAAGGGAGGTAGGGGAGCGGGGAGACCACTATTTCCAGAAAGAGAAAGCCATGCCTCATTCGGCGTTCTCCAAATGGGCCTTTTCCCTTAGCCTCCAGTCAAGAGTCACTAACCTCACTTGTCAGAGCCATGGTGAAAGAAGGGGAGGAGAAAGAGGGAGCGATGGGGGCCTGGGGCTGGAGGGAGAAGGAAGATGATGGAAGGGAGCAATTTGGAAAATCATGGAAACTCCAGTGGGATCCCCCATAGAGTGGGCCCAGGCTCGGCATAAAAATCTCTGTGACGGAATGGAACAGCTGCAGCTGGCCCTAATCCCCACTGACGCTTCTCGGTCTTGCTCTCTGACTGCTGCCCCCACACCTGGCATGCCCAGCCCTCCCTGGGGGCACAAGGAGCAGCTTCAGGACAGTGCCCACTGCCTTCACCCGTCCCTCTGCACACTCATCCTTTCGCTCCCCTCCTCTCTCATCCAAGCCCAGACCCTAGCTCATGGCCCTGACTCTTCCTCGTCCCTCACCGCCTTCCCTCCCCGGGCTCTGCTTATGTTGGGTTGGTGGAATCCCCTGATGACTGTATCCATTCAAGAGCCACTTGGGACAAAGAGCACAGTGAGCCCACCTCCACCCACCAGCCACGGGCAGGAGCGGCAGGTTGAGGGGGCGAAGAGAGCACCTACACCCTATGTCCTGAGCCCAGGGGCCGTGGTTAGGGCGTCTGGATGGACAGAGGCTTGTGAACGGCCTGCGG
Source organism: Homo sapiens (assembly GCF_000001405.40). Lineage (NCBI taxonomy): Eukaryota > Metazoa > Chordata > Mammalia > Primates > Hominidae > Homo > Homo sapiens. The sequence continues at coordinate 119,635,543 of NC_000011.10, read as the reverse complement.
GGTGGTGTGTGGAAGTCACCAGCGGAAGGGAAGCTCTGGCGTCCTGGGGAGGCTCTGTTGTGGTTGCCAAAAAGTGTAATTCCTTTTGGCTTACAGAGCAATTACCGGGCGAGAAAAGGATTTATCCCCAGAACTCGGATTCGTTGGCGATGCAGCTTGTCTACAAGTCACATCATTGATATTATCAATTCTCCTTCCCAAAAAGTCACGAGAAGGAGCCAGGCAGAGAGCAGGCGCTGTTCACCATGGGGCTTCAAGGGAGGTGGGAAGGCTGCAGGGAGCCTGGGGGCCAAGCTCAGCGGCCCCAGACCGGGTGGGCCAAGGCCCCTCTGTGTGGGCCAGGTCCATGATGCACACACACCCAAGGGTGCTCACTAAGGCCGTGGTACTCCACTCAACACCCGCCATGATTTCTGGACTAGGGACCGCTCAAGTGGCAGGAACCATTTAGAGAGCTGGGAGGCTCTAAACTGGGTCTGAGGAAGGACTTCCAGAGGACTCAAAGCCAATGTCTCAACAAGGAGGGAGGAGGAGACATCCCCTGTCCTAAGGAGAGGGGCTTCCATCTCCCCGGTGTTGTGAGCACGGACAGCCCAGGCTAGAAGCAGAAAACTGGACCCAATGACCTTTGGATGGATGGAGTCTGAAGTTCAGGTACTCCAAGGAGCAGATGCCAAGCTGAGATTAGACATGCAAGAGTCACTGGGGGACACCTGTGAAGGACACACGAGGGAGCAGCAGGTGGCAGGGAGAGCCTCAGAGCAGGATGCTGATCCACCTCCCATGAAAGGGGATGGGGAAAGAAGGAGGGCTGAAAAGAAAGTCTCAGGATGGCAGCGCAGTGTAGCCAAGCACTGTGCCATCCTTGGGCCATCGCTGCTATTAGAGGACTCCTGCGTCCCACAGGAAAGGGCCTGCGCTGGATTCCCAGCCTGTCTAGTTGTTGGCTGAGAGCGGTCTAGGGGAATTGCGGTCTCAGCACAAATGCTGGGTGGATCCAGCGGGGTGGCAGCTGGGGCTGCAGCCAGCCACGCTCCGCAGCTGTCCGGGTCCACACTGCCACGGTCTGCCGCGTGCTGAGATCTGCTCTTCCATCCAGGGGCAGGGAGCAGCTCCTCTTCGATTCAGTGTGCCTTCCTTCCTGGGGATGTGGCCCCTGTTGCTGCAGCAGATCTTAGGGCCACACTGGTACCCATCCTCTCCTGTCCATATCCCTTCTCAATTCCCCTCGCTCGGCTGTCTCCACAGCAGGTCCTGGTGTGAACAAAAGTTTTATTCCTGAGGACGCTGAGGCCTTGATGAGCACACCTTCCTCAGGCCAGGGTTGTTGGAAGTGTCCATTCCTTCAAAAGAGAAGAGGCCCCTAAGTAGGCCAAGCGTGGGTTCCACACATTCCTCCCTAGCCCCATTGCACAGAAGCAGCCTGGCCTCCTCCTGCTGATGGGTCAGTTACCCCTGCCACCACCCAACTCCTTTTCTTCCCTGCTGGCCCCAAACACATGCAGTCCAAGGGCCCAGGCAGCAGTCCTAGCTTATAGTCTGTGGGCCCCTCCCTCCCGCAGAGCTCAGAGTTGTGGGAATAAAAGCACAAAATTCCCCCATTGGGTCACTGGGTGTGATGGTAACCGTGAGCCACTCCTGCTTTCTTCTTTGTTTTTCTCTTTTTCATTTTGTTGTTGGTTTTGTTTTTATTTTTCTGTTTTTGTTTTTATTTTGAGATGGAGTCTCACTCTGTTGCCCAGGCTGGAGTGCAGTGGTGCAATCATGGCCCACCACAGCCTCTGCCTCCCAGGTCCAAATGACTCTCGTGCCTCAGCCTCCTGAGTAGCTGGAACTATAGGCACGTGCCACCACACCTGGCTAATTTTTTTGTATTTTTAGTAGAGAGGGGGTTTCACCGTGTTGGCCAGGCTGGTCTCAAACTCCTGACCTCAAGTGACCCACCCACCTTGGCCTCCCAAAGTGCTGGGATTACAGGCGTGAGCCACCATGCCTGGCCTATCCTTTTCTTTTTACTTTTTTTAAAAATCCACTCCTGCTTTCATCCCTTGGTTCCCAGGCCCATGTACTCTTCCTAGTGGGGACATAGCATCCTATAGAGGCCTTTCGGAGTATTGCCGCCAAACTGGCACTGCAGCTGTCATTTAGAAGACCATTCCAGCAGCTGCCATCGGGGTGACCACTTGATTGAGGCTATGCTAGCTGTCTTTTCCCATTCAGGCTGCTATAAAAACATACCATGAACCGGGTGGCTTATAAACAATGGAAACGTGTTTCTCACAGTTCTGGAGGCTGGGAAGTCCAAAGCATCAAGCTATTCAGTGTCTAGTGAGGGCAATACTTTCTGGTTCACAGATGGTGACTTCACTTTGCGTTCTCAAACGGTGGAAGAGGATAGAAGCCCTCTGGGCCTCTTTTATAAGGGCACTAATCCCATTCACCTCCCAAAGGCCTCACTTCCTAATGTCATCCCCTCGGAGGTTAGGATTTCAGAATATGAATTTGGGGGAATACCAACATTAAGACCATAGCATTGGCCGTAATTCTCCAGGATCTGTCTGGTTTCTGTAGGGGTCAGACTGATTAGTTAAATGAAGATTAGAGAGGGCCCTGCACCCTTGCATCCTTTAGGTCTTTAGTGATGACAATGATCTCTGCCATCTTCCCCGTCCTGAGTACAATATCCTTTTTGATTTACTCTCTTGGGTGATGAGGTAGTTTCAGAGTTTCCAGTTGGCCTTCACCCCCACAGACCTCATGTGGGTTTAGTATGTCAATCCCAATTCTGCACTTGTGCACTGTGCAAACACCATGCCTCAGCAGTAAATTTGCCCAATCCTTTGGGGTCCTTGAAGGGTGTTGAATCCCATGTCCTGAGAAAGTGCGCTCCCAAATCAATGAATTCTTGTTTATTCAGTCTATATTCTGGCTCACTTGGTCAAGAACCCTCAAAATCCAACCCAGGGGTGCTCCCCAGACTTCTGCTGGTCAACGCTAGCTTGCTGTTGCTCTCCTGGCTCTGCAGGCCTGTCATCTTCCTTCTTGATCAGGTCCAGCATGGACCCAGCTGGGTTGTGCTGGGCTTTAACCCCAGCATCAGCCTACAGCCAGGAACAGAGGAGGGGGCATCCGTTGCCTCGCAGGGGAAAGGCCTCCACAGCATCTTCCAGCATGCGGTGCTGTTAGCTCTTTAACTAGAGAAGAGTGGGCCACCCACTCAAGGTTCTCCACTCACTCATCCTCCCATCGGTTTCAGAGACCCAGGTTTTCCCCAGCAGGGCCCTTACCAAGCACAACAGGCCTGCCTTGGCTGAGCTGCCCTGGAGCCCTCTGATTCCTACTCTCACATCCTGGGTCTGTTCCTCAGCTGTGTCCACTCCTCCACGGTAGGATATGGGTCTCTTTGGAAGCAACCAAAGAGGGTCTCCAGCTCTGAGGTTGAGCCTCTAACTGCTGATGGCCCTCAGTTTCTCCTTCTCCAACATGACTTAACAATAACCAGCCAGCTCTGCTGCCCTTGCAGCCCTGTTCCCTGCACATCTTTCAAATGCGTGAAGCACTGGACCTGAAACTCCCCTCCACCACGATGTTCTCCCAGGTCCCTGCTGATGAAAGATTTGGCAACTGGGCTACCACTTTGTGCCAGGAACTCTCCAGGGCCTGCCTTCCACTTTGGGTGAGGTCTTCCTTGCCAGCAGGTGCTGGCCCAATTCTCTATTTTACCTTTCGCCACCTGTTTTCTTGGGACCCTCCTGGTATCACCCAGCAGGAGTCACATGTCATTGCTTTCTGTCATCTTTGAGACAGATTCTACGAAGGCTAAAGGCAAAGTGCCCAGTGCTCCCTGGGCAGCCCCACATCCTGGATAAGGTGGTCCCAAACCATGTAGTTGAGCTCCTCTCCACTTACCTGGGTGAGATATTCCCAAACGACCTTTGGCCATCACCCTCTAAACTCCCAGGCTTCCCTGGGGCTCAGAGTCAGGTTGCTCCTGTCCAGTGGCACACAGCTAGGGAAGGTCTGCATAAAGAAGCTGTCTGGAAGACCTCCCCAGTGGAAATCTATAGAGTCTGCACAACCCCAGGACACACCTGGCCTCGCATTTACCTGAAGAACCAGTCCCCAGGCATCCTCAGGATGATGGGAGGGACAAGAGGTAGGATCCATTTAGTCATGGGGACACCACCAATGTACCCCTCTGCCTCTGCAGGATGGCCTTCACACCATCCCAGAGCAGCAGCCACTCTTCCCATCTTTATGGGACTTCCTCCAGCGAAGCCAAAGTCTCGGCAGCTCCTGGGGATAAGAACTTTTGTGGCCAGGTGCAGTGGCTCATGCCTGTAATCCCAGCACTTTGGGAGGCTGAGGCGGGCGGATCACTTGAGGTCAGAAGTTCGAGACCAGCCTGACCAACACGGAGAAACCCCGTCTCTACTAAAAATACAAAATTAGCCAGATGTGGTGGCACACGCCTGTAATCCCAGTTACTCAGGAGGCTAAGGCACGAGAATCGCTTGAACCCAGGAGGCAGAGACTGTGGTGAGCCAAGATCATGCCATTGTACTCCAGCCTGGGCAACAAGAGCAAAACTCCGTCAAAAAAAAAAAAAAGAAAAGAAAAAAACACTTTTGCTCCCAGCATCTCCTACTCACACTGTGCTGCTTGCCCAGACCCCACCTCCCCGCCCCTCAGCCACACTTATAGGTCCCCCCAACTTGTGGGTTGGGACCCAGACTTCCTGTCTGTCTAGCCTCCTTCCCCTTCCTTCTGCCCCTGGTCTCCTGTACCCCCAACCTCCAACCCAGGCTGCTTCCTTCTGGAAAAGAGGTGTCTCCTCCCAGCCCCTGACCCCACCTCCAACTCCAGGCAGGCTGTGGAAGCACAGGGCCAAAGGGAGGAGCAGGTGTCAGAGTGTGACTTTCCCTTGTGAGGAATCAGGAGCTCATTGCATTCATCTTAGCTCTGCCATGTGTCCCTGCCCATGCCATGTGTCATTGATGGACACGAGATGGGCGTTGATGGAGGGCAACTGAAATCAGCACACCTAGCTTTCCCTGCTGCCCAGGCGGCCCAGCCAAGGAAAAGAGTGAGCAGCAGCCCAGGTCACAGAGCTCCCTGCAATAGCACACAGCCTTCTTCCTGTACCAGCCCCTGCCCTCCCGGCGTGCGGGAGCCCTCCTCTCCCTCAGCCCCTGCTCTGTGGACAGATGATCTATCTGCCTGCACACTGGCACTGAGCATTGAGCTGAGGAGGAGGAGCTTGTGAGGATAGATCTAGAGAGAAGAGCTGGAAGGACCTCAGGGATCATCAAGCCACCCTCCTATTTTGCTGAAGGGGAAACTGAGGCCCTGGGAGGGAAAGGAGCTTGGCACAGCCACAGGGTGAGTTGTCAGTAGCTACCCACCCTTGCTTCTGGACCACAGCATTTTCTCTACCCCAGTTCTTCCCACCAGCCACTCCCATTCCCTCTCCCAGCTCCCTGTCTCCTGGGTCCCCATTCGCACATCTGCAACTCCCAGCAGAGGGAGGGAGAGCCTCTGCTACTCAACTTCATGTCAGCCCCTGTCCTTGGAGCACTCTTATTCTAATAATTTGCAAATCACACTAAGAGTCAAAGAACTGCAGTGCCGCTGAATAGCTAGAGGTGGGAGTTGGAGCCCTGGGTTCTAACCATAGTGATATGCTTATAAGTTCTATTTTCCCATTTCACAAAAGAAAAACTCAGCTCAGATGGGTTGAGCCATCTGCCTGTCAAGCCACAGCAGGGGGGTCCGGCAAAACTTTAAAGCCAGGCCCTTTGACTCCAAGTTCTGTTTTATGCCCCAGGAGCCTCCCCATGCCCCCCTGCACAGCATGTCCCCTCTCCAGGCATCTCTCTTCCCTCTGCAAAATGAAAGGGTTAGCACAAATAACGTCTCGGAGGCAAATACAGGGGGTTCAGGAGTAGGACCCACCCTGCCTCTGTCCACCCATGCCCATGGCCTAAGAGGACACAGCTTAGCACAGCAGGTAAATGTTTTGTGACTAATTTTTGTAAACACCTTTTCTAAACCTGTTTCCTCTGTTGTCACTGAGTAATTGGTGTTCTGCGTCTCTCTCTCCCCCCATCCGCCTGACCACTCCATGGTTCCCTTCTCTCTCATATGCTTCCCTGCACACCCACACCTCCCATCTCCCCCGACGCCTGGCCCTGGGGTGCCTCGTCTGGTCCTGACCACACCCCCACCGACCCCTCCTGCCACCTGTCCCTTCTGCCTCATTCCTAGGGCTCTGGCCTAAAGGACACTCACAGCCACTATGCAGAGCTGGACACCTCTGCCCTGGAACTCGTGCCAGGGCTGCGGACCCCCGTGCCAGGGCCTGCAGAGGCTGTGGAATATGCCACCATCCAGTTGAGCCCACCCTAGCTCATAACCCCTAGCCACCCACCCCTGCTTCTGGACCACAGGTAAACCCACCCACCTCCCTCCTGCTCTGAGAGCCCCTTCTTGCCCTTCCTGGAAGGGCCTGCACCCTACCTGCTGGGCTTGGCAATGAAAGGGTGGGGGAGGTGGGCAGGGGCCTGGTGAGAACAGGAGAAGAAATGTGGACCAGGAGCCAGAGGGCAGGAATGTTGTTCCATTTCTGCCATACACTGTTTCCCCTCTCTGAGCCTCAGTTTTCCCACCGGTGAAACCTAAATCAAGTCTAGGGCCCCTTCCTGTTCCAACAGTCCTCCTTATCCCTCTGTGGGCCCCAGAAGTGGCCTCACTCCCTGCATCCCAGCCGGCCCCTTAGGCTGGTGTCAAACTCCTGAACTCAGGTGATCCACCCGCTTTGGCCTCCCAATGTGTTGGGATTATAGGTGTGAGCCACCACGCTGGCCTCCACTTCATTTTCTTACCAAGGAGCCCCCAGGGTCAAGGCTGCACACCCACATTTCCTCTTGACCCCCCGGGCCAGCTGGACAGTTGAATTCAACCAACCTTTATTGAGTGCCTGCTCATTCCAGGCCCTGCCCAGAGGGCCCAGGGTCCAGGGGAGTTCCTAGCCTTGAGGCACTCTCAGTAGAGTGGCCAGCTCGGGACTTCTAAGTCCTGGGCTGAAGGGGAGCCCACAGGCTCTGCAGGGATGGGTGGTGAGCAGGGCTGTCTCTACCGTGGGCCCTGGAAGATACTGCGAGGTACACAGAGGCCACAGTGCAAAGACCCCAGGCAGTGTCTGCGGGACGTGGTAAGATCAGAGGAGTTTCAGCAAACAGGTGACCTCCCTGAGAGCCAAAGGAAGGTGAAGGTGTCTCAGACTGAGAAACTGGAATTTGAGCGCTGGGGACTCAGGCCAAGGGGCCACATACGGTGAGGAAGCCTGGCCTCGGCCCTTGTGCTGAGTGGTTTGGGATGAGCAGGGTGGGAGGGGAGAGAGACGGGGACAGAGACAAGGACAGGTGGAGGAGACAGGACTGCTGGGAGGGACATGATGGCGCTGAGTATAAGAGGGGTCCCATGGGTCCAGGAGCCAGCAGGTCCCGAGACGGCTGGCACAGGGGGATGGGCCCAGGAGGGGCTTCTCTGGTGGCCCCTACAGAACCTTTCCCACCCACCAGGAGAGCCCGCTGGGTCCCAGGACCCACAAACAACAGAAATCTGCTCCCCACTTTCCAGTGTTCCCCACCCCTACTACATCTCAACCACCTCCTGTCCTCCTGTGACACGCCATCCTCTGCCACCTCAACAGAAATGTGCTTAGCCTCAGTTCCCCGCTTAGGTATGGAGGAGTGAAGAGCAAGGGGCCCGAGGCTGTCTGTGCAGCATCCTTGGAGAACCTGGTGTGAGAACCAGGATGTGTCCCTGCTCCAGCCTGTCCTCTCCCTCGCCAAAGAAGGGGTGCTGTGGGCATGAGGAAGGGGCCGGGTGCCAGATGCGGTTCCTCCCCTCCCCAGCCCCTGTGAAAGGAGGCATGCTTGGCTACTGCAGCTCCTTGTAAGGTCTGGGTCCCGGGAGAGGCCAACGGGAGGAAAGCGTGAGGCTTGGAGTTGGGGAGAGAGTCTGGGGGGCCAGAAGAAAAGTCATTAATCCCATAAACCCTAATTTGGACCTCCTCCCAGCCTCTCTGAAGTACGTGGAGTTGGAGTGGGTGTAATCCCAGGTGCCCCTGAAGGAAACTCAAAAAAGGAGGGGTCTACTGCTGCCCCCTCATTGGCTTTCACTTGCTGCCCTGAACCCCAGAGAGGCCCTCTGTTTGGGTGCAGGGTCTGAAGGGCACTGGAACAGGGTGCCAGGACAGGGGAGGCGTTGCGGGGAGCTGAAGGGGACCTGAGAGTGTGGGGGATGGGAGAGCAGTGCAAGGCACTGGGTGGGGTAGGCTTGGGGGATTAGCTGGGAATTAGCCCTTCCTGCCAGGCAGCCCGCCCCACCACGCACTCTCACTTCCCTGCTTGGCAGCCCCACAGGAGGAACCAGGATGTCAGATAGGAACAGGTGCACCGCCATGCGGCAGACACCCTCCCCCATCCGTCATACCAGCCCCCTCGCCTGGGGTGCAAGCCTGGGTGATAGATCCCAGAAAAGTCCTGGATGTGAGCTCCTCACCTCCCCCTGGCCCCATCCCCAGGCCATTGGATAAGGCCTCAGCCAGGACCTCACTGGAACTTCTGGACCATTGGACACTGAGAGTCAGCCCATGGCAGAGCCAGAAGGGCCTCCCTGGGAACAGAAAGGGGATTTGAAGCTGGGGATGGTGGGTGAGGAGCTGCTGGGCCCAGCCTGTCTCTCATGTCTCCCCTGCCCCGCAGTGGCACACTCAGCCCTTCCCCCTCCTGGCCTTCCCTGTCTGCCCACAGCATTTCCTTTCCCTCAGTTCTTCCCACCAGCCGCTCCCACTCCCTCTCCCAGATCCCTGTCTCCCGGGTCCTCATGCACACATCTGTTTCCCTCCTTGTGGCTGCCCCCCTCTCTCTCCAAATCTGGCTTCCCCTGCCCTTTCATCTCCCCCTTCCCCTGCACTCTCCCCACTGAAGCTGCTGGTTCCAGAGGCCGGGACTTCAAAAGGAGATCAAAGCTGGGCTCCCCCATCAAAGACCGGGCTCTGCCAGGAGCAGCCCCCTCCCATCAGACTGTAACTCTCCCTGACAGGCCAGAGTCCTGCATTCCAGCCCCCTGGGAAGCACATCATCAGCCAGCACCCGGTGCTGGACAGACCACTGTGCCCGGGGGAAAGCTCCTGGCATGTGTGATTCAGGGAACCAGCTGGAAAGCTGACACAGCCAGCCCCTTTTAGGCTGTGTGACCTTGGGCAAGTCATTGACCCTCTCTGACTCACAGTTACATTAGGTTTTAAATAGGGCTATTATGGAGTTGATTGTGTTGCTGAGTGAATTAAAGGAGAGAAAGCAGGTAAAATATCTAGTGATCCGCCTGTTTTATAGCAGGTGCTCAATGAATTGCTGCTGTTAACACTACTGCCGTTACAAAGCCCTCTGCATGAGCGCATGTGGAGATGAGAGCAGAGGTGCTGGGAGGAAGGCTTGCTGCTGCCCTGAAGGGCAGGGGGACCCTGACATCCCCAGTCGGGGCCCCTCTCCACACAGAGGCTCCACATAAACCCCATTCTCTAGGCCTGGGCTTTGCAGGATGTAGTGGCCACTTCAAAGTCCCCATTATCCCCATTACCCTCCCCTGCCAGGCACTGGGCTCTCTCCCCATACTGGATTCCTCTGCCCAGGCCACCGCCTCACCCTCAATCTCTGGCCCCAGTCCTCCTCCTCGAGCTCAGCCCAGCCCCACATCCCTTAAGGGAATAAAGGCGTCTGGATGGGGTGGGAGGTGGGGCTGAGAGGCCGAGGCTGCATTTATGAAACTTTTCTTGGCTCTGAACATCAGGGAACTTCAGAGACGACGTGACTTGAGTAAGTCCCTAAACCTCCCAAAGCTTGTTTTCTCATTTGTAAAATAAGGGGTTAGCTGCCTCAAATCCTCCTTAGGAAGCAGACTGTCTACATGGTAATTTTAAAAAACCAAGGAGCTAGAACTCAAAGATCTCTGAGCTCCCTCAGGACAGCAGGAGACGAGGAGGTGCCGATCTCCAGTCTGCCCCGCTTCCCACAGGCGGAACACACCCTGTGTCTCCCTGGGCCCCACGCAGCCCTGGGACACAGACCTTGTGGGTCCTGTGTCACCGAGCAAGGGACTGAGACTCGGGAGGGGAAGGAGCCTGCCCAAGTCACAGCAAGCAGAGGCAGCGTGACAAAGCGGACCTAAGCCTCTCTCGGGCTCTCTCTGCCCCGCCACCTGACTGTGACAGTCCTCCGAGGTTGTAAATGGGCACATGGAAGCTCAGAGCTAAGATACGCAGACAAGGCTCCAACCTGCACCCCCGCTCATGTCCCCAGGCCCTTCCTGGGCTCCTTGGATGTCTGCCCTCTTCCTCTGATGCCCCTCCCTCCTCCCGTCCCAGGGCACCCCATGGTAGCACCCCACACATACACTGGCTCCCACCCAGCTTCCAGCTCCTTGACCCCAACCCCCCACACCAGGGCCTCCCCCTCCCCCAGCTTAGGGGCTGAACCAGTGTCATCCAGGAGAACAGCCTGATGGAATGTTCCACCTCTGTGCTCCCCATACATAGCCACTAGCCACAGGAGCCTATGGAACACTGGAAATGCAGCCAGTGCCACCGAGTAACCGGTGTTGTCGTTATGTTAATGCTAATGTTCTTTAATTTTCATTTCATTTAAACATGGCTACAGGCTGCCATACTGCACAGCGCAGATAGAGGCATCACCCGAATGTCTGGTCTCTGCCCTTCTCCTCTGCAGACACCTGCAGCAGTGGAACATATTGGGTGGGCAAGAGCAATTCCTTGCTCCTGAATTCCCCAGCCCAGGACAGTGTCCTCAGCTGAGCGAGTGGAGTGGGAGCACACCCTGAGAAGAGAGGTGCCGCAGCGCCCAGTAGGCTCCTGAGTCTGGGTGTGCAGCCGGGGAGCCCTGGAAGCCTGAGCACCCTCCCAGGCCTTTGATGAGGAGGCAGGAGGGCCCAGGCTCACCCATGGAGGGGGCTTGGGAGCCTGGTGGCCACAGTCTTCTGTCAACCTCATGGGAGGCCAGGCAGGCCAGGGTCAGACAGGGCCAGAGGCCTTCCCCAGAGCCAGCCACTCTTGTCCAGTCCTTAGGCCTTGGAGCCCTGGCCCCAGCTGTGTTTAGAGGGCAGAGCAGAGGCCGGCTGCCTGGGCCCTCCTGTCCTGTCGGACCCGGGATAACCGAGGCGGGGGGTGGGGGGGTGGGGCTCCCCCTGCTGGACAGCCTGGGAAACGTGCCCCCATGCCATACGCAGGGCTGGGAGCCCCTCTCCAAGCTAAGCTCCCCCAGGGAAGCTGCCTGGGACTTCAGGTCCAGCGTGGGTGACAGGATGGAGTGACCAGGACCCAAGACATCCCCTCCAGGGCCTAGGGTGGTGGGAAGCCAAGTGGAGGTCAGTACAGGACCCCAAGTGAACACACCACCCCATGCCACCCACACCCTGCCCAGACAGAGTGCCCTTCTTTTCCCTCCCTGCCTTCCTCTGTCCCCGGCTCCTGGTGCAGGGGAGGGATCAGTCACGGGCTTTAGAGTTAGGCAGACCTGATTTCAAACCCTGCTATGCCACTTACTTGTGTATGACCTTGGGCAAAGGGGTGGAGCTTCCTGGGCCCACTGGGAGGGGGGGATGGACAGGGTGAGGGGATTTCAGGATGCGCTGCTTGCAGGCCTGGCGGGTGGTGGGCAACCATAATCCCCAGCTGTCTTCCCCACTCTCCCCTCTTCCTCTCTCTTTCCCTAGAACTCCAGGGTGAGAACAGCCACCCCCAGGACCTCCAGAGCTACCCTGACATCTGGGAAGACCACGACCTGGGGCCAGCTGCCCACCTGCCACCCCAGGACCATTTCCTCCAGCCTCTTTTCACTGGCCTCCCTGGGCTCTGCTCCTTCCTGTAAGGGCACTTGTGGACAAGACTGTCCCTCTCACACACACACCCTGCCCTTACCTGCTGCCTCCAGGCCAGCCTGGGACAGAAGCCCCATCCTATATCTCGGTTCCCTCCTCCCAGACCTCCAGAGCCCCCAGGCTCCACCTCCCTCCACCCCGATCACGGGGATAAACCTGTGGGGTGAACACCTGAGCGTGACTCCCGCGGGTGAACATGAATTCTGAATGGGAAAGGACAGGTGTGCCTGAGGGTGCATAGGTGGGCACCCCGCCACTGCCACACACTCTCATCCTCTCACAGAGGCTACCAGACTCCTCCTCCATCTCCCAGGCTCAGCACCAGCCTAGGCTGCCAGGCCTGAGCCTCCTGCCCTTCCTCTCCTGCTGGGAAGCTGAGCCATTAGCAAGAGGCAGTAGAACCCAAGAGGCAGCTCCCCCCCCCTTCCAGCCACCCCCAAATCACCTCCAAACTCTAAACCAACATCCGTCTTCCTACGCCCTATTATCTCAGGATCATGCCTTTAGAGGCAGATTATCTAAAGGGGCCAAGGAACTCAGACCAGAACGTAACCTCTTCTGGGCACTCAGAGCTTCGGACGTCTCCGCTGGGCCGAGTCCCTTCGCCGACCATCAGGGCCGAGGAAGTCCAGGAGGCTTGGAGGCTCCTGGATTGTGAGGGGGCTCCTCCTGCTGGGGGTTACGAAGCTTCCAGGCCAGTGCTGTTCTAGCCTGACTCTCCTCCAGCTGGGGGAGAGCAAACCCAGGAAGCCATAGAGAGAGATTCCCATCTTCCAAACCCTCAGGCCTGGCACAGGTGCATCTCCAGAGTGAGCCCAGTGCATCCTACAGTCCTATAAGGCCACCATTGCCCTCACTACCTCACCCCTGCTCGCAGGCTAGCAGCCCCCGTGTGAGCTGGGAGGGAGTGGCCAGAGCACTGGGAGTCCAGCCATCCCCTCTCTCTTGTGCCAACAAAAGATGCAGGGAAGAGACCGGATCTCCAATGGTGGGGACAGGAGCCGGCACCCTCAGGACAGCTCAGGAAAATTTCAGTCCCAGGTAGAATAAATCTCCTGTCAGGCCAGACACGGTGGCTCCCGCCTATAATCCCAGCACTTTGGGAGGCTGAGGCAGATGGATCACCTGAGGTCAGGAGTTCGAGACCAACCTGGGCAATGCGGCGAAACCCAATCTCCACTAAAAATACAAAAATTAGCTGGGCGTGGTGGCACGCACCTGTAGTCCCAGCTACTCAGGAGGCCGAGCCATAAGAATTGCTCAAACCCGGGAGGTGGAGGTTGCAGTGAGCCAAGATTGCACCATTGCACTCCAGCCTGGGCAACAGGGCGAGACTCCGTCTCAAAAAAGAAAAAAAAAGTATCTTGTCCCCCATTCTGAGTTTCATCTGGGCCCCCAGAGGCTGAGGAGGATTTGGGGGCCTCCACTCCTCCCATACACACTTCTCTTCTCAAGAGTCCCCTCAAGATCTATTTTCAGGATCAATGGGAGATGGAGCCCTACCCTAACAGAGAGCCAGAAAGCTCTGAAGGAGGAAGGCCCAGGGCAAGGCCGGGGTAATAGAAGTAAGTGGAGGGGAGGGGAGGGGACTCAGAAGGCTCTCAGTCTGGGCTGATATAACCTGTCTGGCCTTGGACAAAAAAGGCTTATCTGTCATCAATATTTCCAGCCATCTTCCCAGCGTCTAGCCCTAGCCAGTGCCAACCAGAGCTCAGTCCTAACCCCCAAAACTGAACTATGGGTCCAGATATGAAACGCGTAGAAAAGGCCACAAACTCACCGTCCCTGCCCACATGCAAACAGACTTGTACAGAGAAGGTCACAGCCCTGGCAAGGCAGACCCAGCATAGTTCTGCTGACGGTGGTTCCATTTTTTATAAGGAAGAATGGGTCAGTGTATCATAGTCACTAAATCCTGCTTTCAGCAAGGCATTTGTTCAAATGCAGACAAGATAGAGAAATGTGGGCTGTGTGATACATCTAGGTGACCCCAAAGTATCTGGCCCCCAGTGCTGTGTGCGGTGTTGCCAGGCTCTCTCTTTGGCCTGGCTCTTTTCAACTCATCATTTCCTTGAATGAAGAAATTATGCTCACGGAAGCTCTAAAACTGAAAGAGAGATAGTTGAGGCTGGGCACGGTGGCTCACGCCTGTAATCTCAGCGCTTTGGAAGGCTGAAGCGGGAGGATCACCTGAGGTCAAGAGTTTGAGACCAGCCTGGCCAACATGGTGAAATCCCCATCTCTACTAAAAATACAAAAATTAGCCGGGCATGGTGGCATGTGCCTGTAATCCCAGCTACTAGGGAGGCTCAGGCAGGAGAATCGCTTGAACCCGGGAGGCGGAGGTTGCAGTGAGCTGAGAGACGAGATCACACCAGTGCACTCCAGCCTGGGCAACAGAGTGAGACCCTGTCTCAAAAAAAAAAAAAAAAGAGAGAGAGTTGAGAGGGACTAGGAATGTTCTGTAGAGTTAAAACAGAAATCCAAAAAGTCTGTAAAAGGTGGAAGATTAGATCAAAACCAAAAAATAAAGTGTAACACAGATGGATATAAAGTTCATTATTTAGGCTCAAAACTCGGCCACTGACATTTAGAATTAGAGATTTCCTGTTTGGTTCCAGTTCATATAAACTATTTCATTGACCTCATGTTAAAAATGAGTGAACAGCTTTTCAGGTTTGCTTTAAATAGTAGGTGCACCCCCAGCTAATCACTGAATTAGCTGTTCAGTGATTACATCAATGACCCCAGTTTGTTTTCCTGCTTGCTTGCATGTTTATTTTGTTTTGTTTTTTAACACATTTCTGTTCTGTTAGCCTTAATTTGTCCTCTTGGCTTTCAGGTTAGTTCCCCTCATGGTCATAAGATAGCTGCCACAGTTCCAGACATCACATATCTGCTCAAATTTCTAATAGAAGAACAGGCCAGCCCTTTTTGTATCTCTTTTTAAAAGAGAGGAAACCTTTCCCAGAAGCCCCTACTGGGCTTCCTCTCTACCTCGTTAGCTAGAATTGTGTCGCATGCTCATACACTCGCCTAAATTATCCACGGGGAAGAGAAATGGGCTCACTATAACTCTTTGGATCAGTTATGAAGGAGGGTGAGTACTTAATTAAAATCAAGTTCTCTAGCCTGGGCAACAGAGTGAGACCCTGTCTCTACCAAAAAAAAGTAATTAGCCAGGTGTGGTGGCACCTGTCTGTAATCCCAACTACACAGAAGGCTGAGGCAGGAGGATCGCATGAGCCTGGGAGTTCGAGGCTGCAGTGAGCTATCACCACACCACTGCATTCATGCCTGGGTGAGAGTGAGACCCGTCTCTAAAAAGGAAAAATAAATAAAAATAAAAATAATTAGGTAATCAAAAATTCCTTCCCTAAAGGTAATGAACTCTCCATCATTTGAAGCATTCAAGTAAAGACTGAATAAAACCTGTCAGAGGTATAAAAGGAGATTCTTACAATGGATCAGAGTTGGATGTGACAACCCTGAGGTCCTTTTCCATGTAGTTCACATGTACACACATTTCCTCAACAAGGGACCATGGCTCAAGATCTCATGAAAGGGCTTAGTGACTAATTAAATACAACCCCCACACCCTGTGACCACCCACTTAGTTTCACACTGCTAGTCCTTCTCTTCTCAAAGACCCCATCTCTGTTTCCTCTCCACCACCACATCTCAGCAGCTCAGGCTGTCCCAAGAGACTTGAGTGAAGACACAGGCAAAGACAGAGCAGGGGCTTCCGGGCTGAGCCTCCTGCCCAGGTGTGGACTCTCTGGACCCATCCAGGGATGAAATTAACACCCACAGCAACAGACATCGGTGCAGCCGTTGCTGTGCATGAGGCACAAGGGACCTAAGGAGAACTGGCCATTTGAGTTCCAACTCAGAGCTTGCAGTGAAATTGGAGGGAGGAAGACAGGATACATGATGGAACCAAAAAAATCATTCTATTTCTATAAACCACATGTGAAAATCAGCCAGATTTCTTACATCTAAGTAGAAAAGTAGTAATCCAAGATCCACACTCAACAACAGATGAGTGGGGACAGGCAGAGGCACTCTGGGGACACTGAGGAAGGACAGTGATGTTAAAAATAATAGAGCTTGGCGCTGCGGCTCAGACTGCGGCTCAGTCCCAGCACTTTGGGAGGCCGAGGCGGGAGGATTGCTTAAGTCCAGGAGTTCGAGACCAGCCTGGGCAACATAGTGAGACCCTGTCCTATTAAAAATGATAATAGTAGCTGACAATAAAAACAAAAGTGGACATTTCCAGATATGGTCAGATTGTCCTTGTTTGGCCAGTGTCACCAGCAGCTGTGTCCCCATTAGGGGGCCTGGGTGCCCAGGGAAGTTAAGAGGAGATAAGCTCCCTCTGTTCCTGTAGATCTCTGCCCACCTCACCTCTGATGAGATTGTTATATCCTTGCTATCTATAAAATAGGACATTATAATGTTTGTTAAAAAAAAAAAAAAAAGTAACTCCCAAATTTCTGAGTTTCCTGTGTGTTGGGGCTGGGGCTAAGAACTCTATGTACATCATCTAATTTAATTCTCAGTAACACAGATGATCTCTTGATGTCCCTTTAAAGCTTTGGGGTCACTTTCAGTATTCAGATAAAAACAGTTCCATGCCGTACAGTCTCCAAGATGCCTAAGAATTGCCAGGACCTGGCATTTTCATGATTTCCTCTCATTCTGATTTCCTCTTCTCTCTCAATCCTGTTCTGACTCTTGAGTTTATGCAATTTTTTGGGTTGTTTTTTGTTTTTGTTTGTTTTTTTCTTCTTGTTGACCTACAGAAGAGGAGATACCAAAACCAGACTTGGGAGACAGGGGGAGTCCAGGAAGGCTTCCTGGAAGAAGTGGCAGATGGGATCTGTCTCGTCCTGAATTTTCTCCCAAAATGTTACTAACCTATGGCAGAACTTGTAAGATAATTTTCCTAGAAGTTGGGGAATAGGAGGGACCTTCTTGAAGCCTAACAAGTGACTCGAAATTTAAAAATCAGACCTCTTGCTCTTGCCAGTTCCTCCTGAACCAGTCACATCTTCTGGGTTCTGTCTTCAGCCTCTGCACTCCAATCCCGTGGCTGACCCCCCTCTGCCATTTCCGGGTTCTCATTGCTTCCTGCTGAAATGGCTTTTGTCTTTGGAGAAGTTCAGCCCCATTCTTTGGCCTTCCCAGTTTCACTCTGGTGGGTAGAGAGCTTTATCTGACACAATCAATGGGTCATTTTCCGGAACAAAGATCCCTGTCTCCCTGGCAGCAATGAACGCCTTTCTCTAGAATACAAAAGCAGCTAGAGACACACACTTGACTCACAGCAATCGATGAGAAGCAGGGATCGCCATTTACATAAGAGGAGACTGAGGCATAGAGCAGGTAAGAAGTTTGCTGAGGCTGAGATCACAAAGCTGCTAAGTGCTGACATCTAGATTTGAAATAGGTCTGTGGGCTCCAGACTATCCCTCTTAACTGTGACACGAGCTTTCAAAGAGGTGAGGCTTGAGGAAAGCTTGGAGGGAGGGAACAGACAGACAGAGAAGCCCAAGGCATGAGGCAGAGCCCAAGACCTGCTGAGCCCATGGGAGTGAGCCGGGGCAACTGAGGCAGGGAGCCTGGGAGGAAGCCATCACTGAGGCGGGCAGGAGATCAGCGGGTGGACTGGAAAGCAAATTAGGAGGAAAACCTAAGGGGCGATTGGGTCAAATCAAACAGAAGGACTGAGTGTGGGGGCTGACAGAGAAGGAGGAATCAGGAGTCCTGTCCAGGTTTCTGACCAGCAACTGGAGAGATGCTTACTGAGACAGTGGCCATGCGGGAAGGCGGGAGGGGTGTTCAGAACGTGCTCAAGTTCACACATGTGGGGATGGAGATGCTCTTAAGCTGCTGGGCTGTTTCTCCTGAGACAAGCCCACACTGGAGCGGCCAGCAGCCTACAGATGGTAATTAAAGCCACAGGGAGGATGAGCTCACGCAGGGAGAACGCGTGGAGGGAGGAGGTGAGGACTGGGATCCACTCGAGAAGCACCCACAGCAAAGGGGGCGGGCGACCAGCGAAGGAAAGCAAGAAGCCAGCCAAGGCCAAAGCCACAGGCACCGGCGGGGTTCCGCCTGGGACCTGAGGCTGGACTTCCAAGCAGGCAGCGGCCCACATGGCCAAATGCCATGGGAGGCAGAAACGTCCTGAGAACAGCAGTTGGATTTAGAAGTGGTAAGGGGGTGGATTGGAGAGGGGACTTGGTGACTTTGTAGACCACTGGTGATGCCACTCAGAGGAAAAACACCTGGAAGACCACTTGCTTAAAAAAAAAAAAAAAAGTGAATGAGAGAGAACATCAGACAGCAAGGAACGCTAATCCTCCCAAGATACGAGTTGGGGGAGAAAAGATAAGACGTGATCTGAAGAGACAGCTGGGGCCAAGGGAGAGAGGGTTTTGTTTGTTTTGTTTTAAGTGGGAGAGTTGAGCCAGTGGCTGTGAGTGAAGAGGGGAGGTACAGAGCAGAGGTGAAGATTCAGGTGGAGGCAGAGATCGCGGCTCAGGAGCAGAAGGTCCCACCAGCCTCTCCTAAAGACACGCTCTGTCAAAAACATCCAAATCGATAGAAATCCACGAGAAGATCAGGGCCTGACCGTGAGCCATGGTCTCAGGAGGGTCAGAGTAGGAGTGAAAATGGCTTCTAGTGGAAGGAACAGCTAAGGGCTGGGGCAGCAGTTCTCAGGAAATACAGTGGCATCCTGTCCTTCTGGGCCACCCATGCCCCCTACCCCAGCACAGGGGCCACAGAGAAGCTCTCTGCCCACCCCCTGGAGGCTGCTTGTCTGGTCCTTGCACCACCCACATGGGCTGCCCCTGCTGGTTTAGCATGGGCCTGGGTTTCTCTCTCCTTATGCTCTCTGGGGCTTACCTGCATGCCTACAACTTCTACCTGAAGTCACCCTGTCCCCTGGCCTGGACATGGAGTATCCCAGCTCCTGGCTCCTCCATTCAGAGCAGAAGGTGTCCCAAAGCCCTCATATCCAAAGAAACTGAATTCTTCCTTGAGCCTGCCCTCCCCACAGCCACTGAAATGTGTCTGCAGACCCGGCTCCCCCAGCCTCTCTTCCACGTCCCCAGGCTCGGTGAGTTCCACCAGCGATCCTGTTCCTACACAATGACTACAACAGTGGCCGTGCACTGAGCCCATGCCACTCACTGATCCATTCCTTTGTTGAATACTCCTGGAGCACCTACCACGTGCCTGGTGCTTTACCGATTGCTGGGATGCAATGGGGAGCAAGTCAGATTTGTCCCTGCTCTTGTGTGGCTTGAAGCCTTCCATCTAGCATTGTGCTAGACACTGCTTGTGTTATCCTCTTTATCCGTACAGCAGCCCTGTGAGACAAGCATTACTACCACCATTTTAGAAAAGAAGAAATCAAGGCCCAACATGGTAAGAATTCCACAGCTTATAGAGAGCAGATCCTTAACCCACCATCCTGGGAGGCTCTGCTTCCTCCACCCAGGGTTGACTCAGCTTCTTTAAGCTCAGGTTCCCCAAGTTCTCTTCTAGAGTGACTCCTCTCCCCTCTTCACTCCACTGGAGGTAAGGGTGCATTGTTTGAGTCTGGAGACTGAGGTCTGAGGCCTGGCTCCTGGATCATGGCTGAGTAACCTGGAATGGACTATTTATTTCATGGCTCAAAGCCCAAGTCCCCTCCTTGGTAAAATGAGTAAGGATGATCCTCCAGGACCTGCCCTCCCCAGATAGGCGCTGGGGGGATTACATGAGGTCAGAGATGTGAAAGTGCTTTCAGAGGCACTCACAGGCAAGGGGTTATGCTTATGAAAACTTTCTCTAAGCGGAAGCCCTGGCATCAGCAAATTACATATTAACGTGTGTTGAGTCACCACACTTCCTGTCCCAAGCTGTTTATACTGGGAGTGCTTTGCTAGCTGTGTAATGAAAGGTTTTTCCTCTCCTAAAGGAATTTCAGGTGTCTCCTAGCAGGCAGAGGAAGGAATCAGGGGCCTTCCTTGCACCTCTGAAATCATAGCCCAGAAGGCTGAGACTAGCATTTGTTGAGCATTTAGTATATGCCAGGCACTGGGCTAAGCTCTTTGCACACAATACCTCATTTACTTCTCATAAACCCTTAAGATGAAAATACTATCCTTACTTCACAGATAAGAAAATGAATGTATCTGAAGCCACAAAGCTTTGAAGTGGTGAATTGAGGACTTAGAGCTAGGCCTGTCTGACTCCAAAACTCATGCTTTTCCCAGCCCTGCCCCGAATCCCTGCCAAAAGCGACCTCCTCCAACTGCAGCCTCAGCACCGACACTCTGATGCTCACTGGTGTGCCTCCTGCCCGCCTCTGCACCACACAAGGAGCTCTTTGAGGACAAGGACTATGTTGAACTCATCTTTGTATTTCCAGCCATCAGCACAGTGCCAGGGCCAGGGACGGCATCAACAAACATTCTGCTGAATGATTGAATGGTCAAAGAATAACTTTTTCTTAAGGACAAAATCGTGACTCTGATACCAATAACCTATGTCAAAAATTGTATTTAGTCCATTAATTCATGGGGGAACCAGTAAGATATTACAATTGGTTAAAAGAAAATCTCAAAGAACCTGAAATATAGCTCTCATGGTCTGCTCCAACTGCCATAAGAAAACACCATAGGCTGGTGGCTTCAACAAGGGAAATCTATTTCTCACAGTTCTGGACACTGGAAGTCCAAGATCAAGGTTCAGGTGTCTGATGGGGGCTCACTTCCTGGCTTGTGTGTCCTCTTGCTATGGCCTCACATGCCTTTTCCTCGTTGTGTTATTACCAGTTTTCTGTAACTTCCAGGGCTGTAAAATAGCTCAAAGACCATGAAGCCTGAAAAAAACCCAGAAGAGTATGCTAGACAAGACACCCAATCATCTTTTTGGTCCATTTCAAAGTCTTTCACAATTTTTCCCTATAGAACGCATCAATGAAAACAGCTGTCTGGGATGCCGCTGGGAGTGTCCACTCCCCCATCCACCCCCAATCCCACCTCTCTGGGGTTGCATTTTGTCATGCTTCTTTCATCACTCACTTCCATCAGACAGTGGGTGGTCCCACAGCTTGGGCCTGAGGCCTTTCAACTGCCAACCAACTCCACCCACAGTGATACTGACACCCCAGACTCACACTTACAACTGCCTATGCAGTATCTCCTTTGTCTAGAGTAAAGAAAGAAGGCCGCATTACAATGTCCTAAATGGAGGGGGCCTGTGACTCGGAACAGCCATGCAAGGGCACAGATGGGCTGGGAGGGAGAGCCCTACAGTGCGTGGACTCCCTTGCCACTCACATTGGCATTGGCCCATGAAGATCTTAGCCCAGGAAAGAGCGTGCCTGACACAGTCTTACAGGAAAGGGCATCCCCAGGCTGCCCAGACCTAAGGGCTTCTACACCAGCTAGCTGGGCACCATTGAAAAATTTAAGACCTCACCAGAAACTGCACCTGACAAGGGGCCGAGAGTGTAGGAGGAAGATCACGCATGAGAAGGAGGTTCCCACTGGAAAATCAATGGAAAGCAAACCCTGGGATGTCTAAATGCCAAGAAGAGTCCAGCTAGCTCATTGGAAAATTCAACCTTGACTTCAGATCCCTTGAAAATCCAACATTTGTTCTTAAAAAACAATTTCTGATGTCTTTTTCTGTCTTCCTTTTATGAAGGTCAAGTTCTACCTGCAGAATGGTGTTTGTGATGCAAGTCCACAGTGTTTATCTCTGGAATAACAGTGGGCACGAACTGGCCAAGACCCCCATCAGCCGCTGACAGCCTCACATCTCTAGCCTGCACTAGCAACAGCATCCAACTAGTTCGCTGGCCTCCAGTTTCACCCCTTAACCCATCCCACATGGATGCCAGAGTCAGCTTTCAAGATACATTTAGCCTTATCATTTTCCTACGTAAAGTATTTCATTGGCTTCTGATTGGCTGCCTGTAAGATAAAGGCCCGTGGTGTCCAAGGTGTTCCACAACTGCCCCCTGCTCACCTCCCAGCCTTGTCTTCATCACTCCCTGATCCCTTCTTTGGGCTCTAGCCTCACCAGCTGCTGGGAGTTCTCTGCATGCCCCAGGCCATTTCTCCCACCTTTACTCACACCCTTCTTCTGACCAGCTCCTGTCCCCTCAGAGATTGGTTCAGGGGTCTTCCCAGCACACATGCTCTCTCTCTGCTCCAGCGTGCCTCCGGGAATCACCACATCGCTCCTCTATGTTAACAGGTCTGCTCCTCCTTCCATGAGACAATGGGCTCCTTGAGAGCAAGCATTGTTTCCCATGCTGTTGACTGCTATCCCTGCAAAATGCATGTCCATCTAGAACCTGGGAATGTGACTTTAATTTGGAAATAGTGTCTTTGCAGATATGATCAGGGTTAAGATGAGTTCACACTGGATTAGAGTGGACCCTCACTCCAACGCAACTGGCATCCTTTTAAGAGGGAAATGTGGACTTAGCAGCACACGGGAGAATGTCATGTGAAGACAGAGACAGATTGGAGTGAGGCTCTACAAGCCTAGGCATGCCAGGGACTGCCAGAAGCCATCAGAAGCTGGGAGAGAGGTATGGGACAGATTCTTTTCTCGAACCTCAGAGGGAGCATGACTCTGCCGTCACCTTGATTCTGGGCTTCCAGCCTTCAGAGCTGCGAGAGAAGAAATGTCTGTTGCTTTAAGCCATGCCGTTTGTGGTAATTTGTTACTGCAGCCCTAGGAAATTCACAGGGTTCTCATCGGAGCCCCTAGCCTGGTGCTTGGTAAATGCTTTGAGTGAATTAATGGAAGGTCTTACAATACACTGCCTGCCTCACTCCCTGGCCTCAAATTGTAGCTGAGGAAGGGAAAGAAGACTTGGGGCAAGAGTACTCCCTCTGACCAAGGGAGACGGGCTCAGTCAACACATATTTATTACACACTTAGCAAGTGCAAACAGCTCTACCCCATGTAGTGAATCAGAAATGGCTCCCATCCTGACAGAAATGACCTAACGCCATGGATAACAGTATTAGTCCGTTTTCACACGCTATAAAGAACTGCCTGAGACTGGGTAATTTATAAAGAAAAGAGGCTTAATTGACTCACAGTTCAGTGTGGCTGGGGAGGCCTCAGGAAACTTACAATCATGGTGGAAGGAGAAGGGGAAGCAAGCACCTTCTTCACAAGGCAGCAGGAAGGAGAATGAACACAGATGCAACTACCAAACACTTATAAAACCATCAGATCTCGTGAGAACTCATTGTGAAAACGGCATAGGGGGAGCCGCCCTCATGATCCAATTACCTCCACCTTGTCTCTCCCTTGACATATAAGAGATTATGGGGATTATAGGGATTATAATTCAAGATGATATCTGGGTGGGGATACAAAGCCTAACCATATCAATAGAGCAGCCATTGTCTGTGGAATGGATTTGCCTCTCAGGGGCGTCTGGGTGAGGCTCACCTCAGCATGGGTGACTGGGCAGAGCTGCTGAGGGAGGTGAAGATGTTGAGTTTGCAGAAGAGAGGCTTTTAAGGGGACAAACTCCAAACATGGAACAGACAGGGGACTGAGAGAGATGTGCCCCCTGTGGCTCCAAGACCAATGTTTAGAATTCACAGGAAAACAGATTTAGGCTCAATCTGAGGACGAGTTTTCTAATAGGAGGGAAAGGAAACCAACACTGCTGAGTGCCTGCCCAATGCCAAATAACAGCCCCACGAGGCAGGTGTTACTACCTAGGCCCATTCTGCAGATTGAAAAACTAAAGAGACCTGCCCTAGATTCTATGGCTGAGGGTGGAGCCAGGATTGAAGCCCAGGGCCGCCTGCCTGCAGGTAAACACACCACCCCCATTCCCCAAAGGCCATGTTGAGTATCCCCAGCTGTCCGTGGTGGAATCCAGAGACAGGACAGGCTAGATGGGGGTGATGCAGAAATGCTCCAACTTCCGGGGCAGGACGGTGGGCTAAATAACCTTTAAAATCTCCTCTAAGTTCGAGGGATTCACTGCTCACCTTGGATCACAGGGACAGTGTTACAATCGCTTTCCACCACCTCACTGTCAGCATCACAGGGCCAGAATCCACACGTGCCCTCAGCAGCTGGCCCTGAACGTAGACCAGCTCTCAGGCATGGAGCTTGCCTGCTGCATCATCTTTTTATTTTTTAATTTAATATTTATTTAATTTTTTTTAACCTTTTTGGGAGAGTGTCTCACTATGTTGCCCAGGCTGGTCTCAAACTCCTGGGATCAAGCCATCCTCCCACCTCGGCCTCCCAAAGTGCTGGGATTCCAGGCCTGCGCCACCATGGCCGGCCTGCACCATCCTTTTAGCCCACAGAGAAGAACCTTAAGTGGAGAGTGAGTGGATTTTAGCCAGGCAAGAAGGGACAATAATGTTCTTGGAATGGCATCTACAAAAGGCCAGTTGTGAGAGAAAGCATTTTCTGGACAGAAAAGTGAAAAAGCGTTATCAGTAAAAGGAAGGGAGTAGCAGGAGATAAAGCCAGCAGTAAAGGAAATCAGGTTAGATCTGGAAGAAACTTGCAGGCCAGCTGAAGGGACTGAAATGCATCCTCTATACAAAAGGAAGCCATTGATAACATTCTTGTATACAAAATATATAAAGAAGTCTAATAACTCAGCAGTTAAAAGACAAATCACTGGCCAGGGGCAGTGGCTCACACCTGTAATCCCAGCGCTTTAGGAGGCCCATGCAGGTGGATTGCTTGAGGCCAGGAGTTCGAAACCAGCCTGACCAACATGATGTAACCCTGTCTCTACTAAAAATACAAAAATCAGCCAGGCATGATGCACACCTGTAATCCCAGCTACTTGGGAGGCTGAGGCAGGAGAATCACTTGAACCTGGGAGGTGGAGGTTGCAGTGAGCTGAGATTGCACCATACCCAGCCAAGGGGCTCCCCCTGCCTCCCCAGAAGGGAAGCTGAAGGGTAGCTTGTCCTCAATGGTCTTGGGCATTGGTTTCTGTTCGTGGTGCATCTGCCTCTGCAGTGGACTACCTGTGGGTGGACTAATCTGTAGTCTGTTCTCCAGACATGGCCACCCCGTAAAGTTGTGCAGACTGTACTCTGTACAGAGGGGGCTGCTGAGATGGTGAAAGAAACTGAAATCCAGCCTGTGCTCTTGTCAAAAAGCAAAGGCATCTTATAGAGGCAGCAGCCCTTACCACTCCCCCAGCTCCTCTGACACAGGTCCCACCTCCTAGGCCAAGACTGGGGCAAGGAAACCAAGGCACTCACCGCAGGCACAGAATGTAAGGTATAGCCCCAGAACTCAGCAATTGGGCTGGGTGTGGTGGCTCACACCTGTAATCACAGCACTTTGGGAGGTTGAGCCAGTGAGACTGCTTGAGCCCAGACGTTCAAGACCAGCCTGGGCAACATAGCAAGACTCCATCTCTACAAAAATTTTAAAAAATTAGCCACACATGGTGGCACGTGCCTATACTCCCAGCTACTTGGGAGGCTGAGGCAAGAGGATCGTTTGAGCCCAAGATTTCAAGGCTGCAGTGAGCCATAATCACACCACTGCACTCCAGCCCCAGCAACAGAGCAAACCCCTGTCTCTAAATAAATAAATTAAAAAAATTTTTTTTAAATGAGAACAATATATCAAATTTTAGAGGGCGGATCC
The DNA here is from genome assembly GCF_000001405.40 of Homo sapiens. NCBI lineage: Eukaryota > Metazoa > Chordata > Mammalia > Primates > Hominidae > Homo > Homo sapiens. Next base: position 119,609,902 of record NC_000011.10, on the reverse strand, counting down.
AACCCTGCACATGGATGATCCCGTCTCATTCACCTCACTCTAATCTTGGCCCTAGTTCCAATAAAATTTTATTCATAAAACCAGGCAGGCCGGGCACATTGGCTCATGCCTGTAATCCCAGCATTTTGGGAGGCTGAGTTGGGTGGATCACAACACAAGGTCAGGAGTTGTTCACAACACAAGTTGATCACAACACAAGACCAGCCTGGCCAATATGGTGAAACCCTGTCTCCACTAAAAAATACAAAAAGGTGGCAGGCACCTGTAGTCCCAGCTACGGGGGAGGCTGAGGCAGGAGAATCATTTGAACCCAGGATGCAGAGGTTGCGGCGAGCTGAGATCGCACCACTGCACTCCAGCTTGGGCGACAGTGCAAGACTCCATCTCAAAAACAAAAACAAAAACAAAACAAAACAAAACCAGAAAAAAAAAAAACAGGCAACAGCTGGGCACTGTGGCACACGCCTGTAGTCTCAGCTACTCAGGAGGCTGAGGCAGGAGGATTGTTTGAGCCCTGGAATTCGAGACCAGCCTAGGCAACACTGAGACCTTGTCTCAAAAAATAAATAAGTAAATAAATAAATAAATAAAAGAATTAAAAATAAAACTAGGCAGAAATCCCATGAGCCATACTTTGCCAATTTTAAGTATTGCATTTAAATATTATTTATCTTGATTGCTGGGCTGCTCCCTTCCTGCTAGCCCTGACTTGTCCCCCTAGTCCTCATCTCTCAGATTGGAGGCCACTCCAGATTTCCTTGGTACCAGCCACAGGCCAGGAACCTGAAGGGAGTTATGGGGAAGGATCAGCTGCAAGGATCTCAGGGCATCGCACTGCCTAAAGGCACCTTCTGCTCCGCTTGTCTGTTCCCTGCTGGTGCAGGATATTATGAGAGTTCCAGAAGGAAGCAGGGCATAAACTGCCTGGGGCTGAGCAGACGCACCTGTGGTCTCTATCACCCCCTGGAGTTCTGACCTCTAAGTGAAAAGAAAAGGAGGCAGAGGTGGAGACCAGACCCAACAGCTCCTTCCAAACAATGGTTCTGCCTGTCTCCTTGGGCTCCCCAATTTCCCAGGAAGCCTTTCCTGCGTGGGGGGGCAACTACCCTCAGGTCTCTGCTCTGTGGTTAACTATTTTCCTCCATTCATCCATCATTTAGTCACTTATTTAATAATCATTGGTCCCTACTACGTGCCGAGCATTTGCTAGATTCTAAAGATACGGAGAAAACCCCACTACTGTCAGAGCAAACAATAAGACCAATGTACACAAATAATTACAGTAATGTTCTGTATATAAAGTGCAAAAAGAAAACCTGTGTGTGCACAGGTTTAGCTGGGGCATGGAAAAGGATATGATTACTTGTCTCTGGAAGCCTCAGAACAAGGGGGTCTGATTTCTCCAAAGAGACAAGGTGTCAATGGATCTTCCCAGCAGAGAGAAGCGCACGCACAAGAACCTGGATGGAGAAGGAGCAATGGAAACAGAAGTGAGAGAACTGATTGAAAGAGAGGCATTGTTATAGCTGGGTAGCAGGCAATCGACATGAGCTCATCTGAGCGTAGGAATAATCGTGCTACCATTTCTATGAGGTTGTTGAGAATATTAAATGAGTTATCTAACCCTTAGCACAGTACGTAGCACAAGGTAATCACAATGTTAACCACTACTACTCATTAAAGCATTGCATGAGAATAAAAGTTTAGTCACATAGATGGATTTTTGCACGTGGAGAAAGGTTGATTTAATCAACACTTAAACACCTACTACATCTGCAGACACTCTATGGTTAACTTTCAGAAATTCAATGATCAGTCCTGAGTTTAAACTAAGCCTTCTTGGAATTTAAAGCTAAACTGTTTCTCTCTTAAGCTCTAGCTCTTGCAAATCAAAATCGCTTTGCCCATAGACTATTGTATCTGCATCTGCCTCGAGTTAAAAAAAAAATCCATTCAGCAACTCAATTGACTTCTTTGTTCTAGGCTGTAGCCGCCCTCCCCAGAGGCATCGATGTCATTGACTCAGTGGGTGCAGGGCTACCAGGCAATAGGAACACGGAGGTTTACTATTTCAAAAACATTATCCAGCCTCTTATGAAACTGGCAAGATTTAGGGATGAAGCTTAGGTAATGGGGATGAGGGAAGGCTTAGATCCAAGAGGTTTAATTTACAGAAGGGTTTGTTTTTGGGGGGTCTTTCTTATTCCTCCCAGGAGGGAATAAATATCCTGCTAAACTGTTCCACTTGATGGAAAATAGGATGCCATATATTTACTGAGCACCTGCTATGTGCCAGGCTCTATTCTCAAAGGGGTTCCTCAAAAAGATTGGGGCAATTCTGCTTCTATAGATTCCACCTGAGGCATCTATCTCATGGGGGCAGGGGTAGAATTGTCCCAGCTCTTGGAAGGTTAGAGAAAAGTTATTGTGTAGCTTGGAATTTAGAAAACAGAGTTTCTACTTCTTCCAGGATTCCTAGCACTCAGAATCTGCCCTTTGGAAAACTGATTCTGCTATTTGTATTTTCTATTTCTATTTTCTAGCTTTTAACAGATACAGTTATATTTGAAAATACCAGCCTGTCTTTGGCAGCGCTAAAAGAACTAAAGAAAGGATTTAATTTCAGCATGAGCTGAAGTTAAAAGGGAAAAACTGTCCCTTACCTCTGGGGAGGCTGGTCCCCAAGGGATGTGAGACCCTTGAGACAGAGAAGTCTTGGCTACTGGGGAGGCCTTGAGAGATGGAGAAAGTAGGTTGGGTTTCTGGCTTCCCTGGTTTCTGAAAAAAAAAAAAAGTTCAGGAAATGTCACCCCAAAATATTCAGCTCTTCAGCTCTGGTATGCTGATTACCTCAAACTGAGAGCACTTGGGGTACAGTAAATGAGGTCAGGGGCTCTCTCTCTCTCTCTGAACTCCCTGTAACTGCCTAAAGACAGGTCCTCCAAAAAGAAGCCAATTGTCGTGAGTCCCTCCCCAGGAATCCATCAACCAGAGAAGACTGGCTCCTATCACAGGAGAGAGAGGAAACTGGGGGTCTAGGGGGCACCCACCCAGGCAGACTTAGACTGTCGCTTATTCTCTTAAGGGCCCATTCATTTTTCCAAACCTTGTATACTCTCCCCTAACTTGCCTGCATCCCCCTTCTCCCTCCTCTATGAAGAATGCATCTCAGCTTCTAGATCTCGCTGGGTTTGGGGTATGCAGTTTTCCTCCATGTGACGCTCCTGTACACACAAAAAACACATCTATCTTTTCTCCTGTTAATCTGCCTGCTGTCAGTTTATTTCATAGACTCAATTATGGAAGTCTCAGAGGGAGAGGGAGGGGTTTCCCTCCCTGATACGGGCTCCTGCGTGGATCAGCTGTTGTTCCCTTCCTTCCTTGGGGTATCTATCCCCAAGAGCCCCAACACCTTGCCCTTGCAATGTCTCCCTTGTCACTTGAGCCAGTCTGGGAAGCTTTCTTTCTATTTCTTGCAAGTCACCATCCCAGTGTGTTTCTTTTTTATTTTTATTTTTTAAATTACTTTATTTTGGAGTGGGGGACACGGTCTTGCTCTCTTGCCCAGGCTGGAGTGCAGTGGTACCATCACAGCTCACTGCAGCCTGGTTCTCCTGAGCTCAAGCGATCCTCCCTCTTCAGCCTCCTGAGTGGCTGAGACTACAAGTGCACACCACCACCCCTCGCTAAGTTTTGTTTTTTTGTTTTTTGTTTTTTGTTTGTGGTAGAGATGCGGGGTCTCACTATGTTGCACAGGCTGGTCTCAAACTTCTGGCCTCAGGCAATCCTCCTGACTGGCTGGAAGCTCCAGATGCTCTGGGTCTTCCTCACCACAGACCTCTTCTTCTACTTACTGTGTGCCCAGCACTGGAGATAAAAATAAATAAATAAAGATCCTGCCCCCGCCGCCTGAGGAGCCCCTGGCTGATGAGGTAAATGGGCTGGGCTGGGCGAGCCTTTCAGGGGATGCCAGCAAGAGCCCCAATTCTGGAATTGCCTCCTCCAAGGCACTGAACTAGGCCCCGTTAAAATTAACTCCACCAATTAAAGGCATCGTTAGGAGACAATGCTGCCTGTCTTCTTCTTTATTTTTAATTACAGAGCCTAGCCTAAAGTTGTCAAACCATTTATAAATTAGAGCAGAGTTCCTAAGCAGAAGGCCAAGGAACAGGGAAGGGGAAGAAGGGATGGAGACAGGGGTTCTTGGTCTGCCTCCCCAGGCCTCTCTGGCCTGGTCCGGGCTCATCTACCTCTGGACAGTTGTGACAGGCCACTGCCCCACTAATGGATGGGCTGTCTAGGGAAGCACTCGCTGTCCCTCCCTCACCTCTCCGCGCACACCCCGATTATAGTCATTAGGGAATCACCCTGAGCGACGGGAAGACAAGCGGGTGGTACGTCGGCAGCCCGGGAGGCCAGAGGTGGCTGGGGGGTGCCGCAGGACTGGCTCAGGCTGGAGAGCAGAGCCTGGAGAAAGCGCAGAGGCTGAGCTCCTCTCCTGCCCTCTCCCTGTGGGGAGGCATCCTTTGCTCCAGTCAAACAGCCCATGGCTGGCACAGCAAGAACAGTGGGAGGGTGACAGTGAGAGGCTCTAGACAAAATGGATGCCTCTCAGTCCGGCCTCCAGGCCCCCGCCAGCTTCAGGGCACTCTGTAACCACGGCCAGCTCCTGCACATCTTCCCATAGGATGGTTGGAAAGAAGGCTTGAGAGGGAAGAGGCTAAAGAAAATTCTTGTCCCTACCGGGCAGAGGTCAGACATGCAGCAGCCTCTAAACTTGGTGGGAGAGAGCAGGGCCCAGGCTCCTGGGCTCCCACCTCCAGCCTCTGCTCCCACCCAGAGGGATAGGGCTCTGCCTCTCCTGGTCCAGGGCGTAGACCAGGGAGTGGCCCAGCCCCCAGTGTCTCCCTGGGCCACAGGTGGGGAGCACAGGGAGGTCAAGCAAGCGGTGAACTGCCCAGCACCATTGCCTCCTCTTACCACATGCCACCTCTTTCTAGCCAGGACCAGCTTCTAAAGCTTCCCCCATCCCTGCCTTCCCATTTCCAAGGTGGGACTAAATTGCTGTTCCATTCCACCCCAGGCTGCAGTGGCCAGTGACAATGCTAAATGCATCCTGAGCCCTGTGCCCGATGGTCAAGAAACTCCCCACCCTTTTGTGTTCTAGGAAAAGGCTCACTGCCAAGAAGCCCCCTTCCCCAAGATTCCTTCCTTAGGTGTGAGAAGGCCAGGCACAGACACTCCTAAGTCCCATCCTTTGTCTCATAACTGATGAGCCAAACCAGCAGCCAATCTAGACAAAATGCCGCCAGCTTGACCCGACCACACTTGAGTCAGGCATCTCTGCCCTGAACTTTGCCCCACCCTCAGCCTGAGCCAGCATAGGAACTCAGGACACCCTTCTCAACGCCCCCTCTCAGGATGCAGGGGCAAACATTCCTGCATCAACTGCCAGCCAGGCCACCTGCTGGCCCCACTCCCCGCACCTGGCTCCTTTTAGCCTTATTTATTAAAAATAATAGACCAAGAAGCAGCTTCTCCGCTCCTTCTGGAATCTCCACCTGGTTCAGCCCACCTGCCTCCACTCCTGCCTCCACCATGTCCATCAGGGTGACTCAGAAGTCCTACAAGGTGTCCACCTCTGAACCCCGGGCCTTCAGCAGCCACTTCTACACCAGTGGGCCCAGTGCCCGCATCAGCTCCTCGAGCTTCTCCTGAGTGGGCAGCAGCAGCTTCCGGGGTGGCCTGGGCAGAGGCTATGGTGGGGCCAGCGGCATAGGAGGCATCACCACTGTCACGGTCAACCAGAGCCTGCTGAGCCCCCTTAACCTGGAGGTGGACCCCAATATCCAGGCTGTGCGCACCCAGGAGAAGGAGCAGATCAAGACCCTCAACAACAAGTTTGCCTCCTTCACAGACAAGATACGGTTCCTAGAGCAGCAGAACAAGATGCTGGAGACCAAGTGGAGCCTCCTGCAGCAGCAGAAGATGGCTCAGAGCAACATGGACAACATGTTCGGGAGCTACATCAACAACCTTACGCAGCAGCTGGAGACTCTGGGCCAGGAGAAGCTGAAGCTGGAGGTGGAGCTTGGCAACATGCAGGGGCTGGTGGAGGACTTCAAGAACAAGTATGAGGATGAGATCCATAAGCTTACAGAGATGGAGAATGAATTTGTCCTCATCAAGAAGGAGGTGGACGAAGCTTACATGAACAAGGTAGAGCTGGGGTCTCGCCTGGAAGGACTGACTGATGAGATCAACTTCCTCAGGCAGCTGTATGAAGAGGAGATCCGGGAGCTGCAGTGCCAGATCTCAGACACATCTGCGGTGCTGTCCATGGACAACAGCCCTCCCTGGACATGGACAGCATCATCGCTGAGGTCAAGGTGCAGTACGAGGAGATCACCAACCACAGCCAGGCTGAGGCTGAGAGCATGTACCAGATCAAGTATGAGGAACTGCAGACGCTGGTTGGGAAGCACGGGAATGACCTGCGGCGCACAAAGACTGAGATCTCCGAGATGAACCGGAACATCAGCCGACTCCAGGCTGAGGCTGAGGGTCTCAAGGGCCAGAGGACTTCCCTGGAGGCCGCCATAGCAGATGCCCAGCAGCGTGGGGAGCTGGCCGTTAAGGATGCCAACGCCGAGCTGTCGGAGCTGGAGGCCGCCCAGGAGCGGGCCAAGCAGGACATGGCGCGGCCGCTGCGTGAGTACCAGGAGCTGATGAACGTGAAGCTGGCCCTGGACATCCAGATCGCCACCTACAGGAAGCTGCTGGAGGGCGACGAGAGCCGGCTGGAGTCTGGGATGCTGAACATGAGCATCCATACGAAGACCACCAGCAGCTATGCAGGTGGTCTGAGCTAAGCCTTTGGGGGCCTCACAAGCCCCGGCCTCAGCTACAGCCTGGGCTCCAGCTTTGGCTCTGGGGCGGGCTCCAGCTCCTTCAGCAGCACCGGCTCCACCAGGGCTGTGGTTGTGAAGAAGATCAAGACCCGCGATGGGAAGCTGGAGTCCTCTGATGTCCTGCCCAAGTGAACAGCCACGGCAGCCCCTCCCAGCCTGCCCCTCCTGCGGCTGCCCCAGAGCCCACGAGGGAGGCTGCTGTGCTGGGGAGCACAGGGAACAGGAGACCCACCTGAGGCTCAGCCCTAGCCCTCAGCCCACCCGTTGGGGAGTTTACTGCCTGGGGACCCCCGTTGCCCATGCCTCCAGCTACAAAGCAATTCAATTGTTTTTTTTCTTTTTGGTCCAAAATAACCTCAGCTAGCTCCGCCAAAGAGTAATGTAATAATAATAATAATAATAGGCTGGGTGCAGTGGCTCATGCTTGTAATCCCAAAACTTTGGGAGGCCAAAGCAAGCGATCATTTGAGGCCAGGAGTTTAAGACCAGGCTGAGCAATATAGCGAAACCCCATCTCTACAAAAAATACAAAAATGAGCCAGGTGTGGTGGTGTGCACCTGTAGCCCCAGCTACTCAGGAGGGAGAGGCTGAGGCACAAGAATCACTTGAACCTGGGAGGCAGAGGTTGCAGTGAGCTGAGATTGTGCCACTGCACTCCAGCCTGGGCGACAGAGCAAGACCCTGTTTCAAAAACAAACAAACAAGCAACAACAACAACAATAATAGTAATAATAGCCTCCCTGTTTTTTTAAAAGCCCGTTCTGTCTGACCTTGAGACATCTGTGTTTTCCCTATTGCAGTAACCCTCCCCTCTTATTGCAATTGTCTTCACATAGTCTCTCTCACCTCTTTCACCTAAGTCCTGATTTGCTCTTTGTTTGACACCAGCCAGGAACAAGAACCCTTCCCCACTGAAATCGCCTCTCACAGGCCATCTACCCTCAGTGGCCTCCACTTGGTCCCTTAGGTGACGTATCAGCTCTGCAGGTAACCAGGTTCACTGATAGGTTAATGAGCTCCCCTCTATGCCCCTAACCAGCTTCATGACTCTCCCGTTTCTCAGGGCTTACTGGTTAGTAACAAAAACAAGCTTATCTTTCTTGAATTTTCATGCTGTGCCATGCACTGTGCTGAGCACTTCCCAGGCATTTTCTCAACCCTTGGGAGCTCAGCACTGTTATTGTTCCCATTTCTCTGATATGGAAATTCATTCTGCTCAGCTGCAGAACGGCAGCTCCATGGGTCTACCCCACCAGCCCTACAGTATATGATCACTTCCTTGCCTCATCGATTCCTTGTGAGGGTTAATGGCATAGCGTGAAGGTTCAAGAAAGATAGCCTTGCCCATGCCATCATCATCAATCGCTTATATGGCAGGTCCTTAGAACAGTGTCTGGCACCCAGTTGATGCCTTATAAGCGATCGTTCTTACTATTACCACTATGATAATCACATGGGTTGTTAGTAGGTTGCATTGTCACTAAGATGATGATGGCATGAGCCACTATGTGAAAAAGGTTCAGCAGTGCTGGGTTAAGTAAGTTGTCTAAAGTCATACAATGTGTCCACTTGTAATCTTGTAGTGTGCCATACAATTCACTTCTGTATTACCCAGTTTATTTACTATCTTCATTGCTTATTGGCCCCGTTGCTAGAATGTGAGCTCTGCAGGGCAGGGATCTCTGTTTTGTTCACTGCTCTATCCCTAATGCCTGGATAGGTCCTGGAACATAGAGGGTGCACAATAAATATTGTCAAGTGAATGCATGGATGAATAAAAGAATTCTAAGGCTTGTGCTCCTTACCATTGCACTCTAAGGCAGCCTTCTGGTCCTAGACCTGCAGTTTCCTTTGAAAGTCAAAGTCAGCCTAAACCATTCCTGATGGGGAAGATGAAAAAAGCACTGTCTCCCTAGCCCATGAATAATCCCTTTACTTAGATAGGGAACTCGTGGGTTTCTGGAAAACTTTCACATGCATCACCTGGTTGGAGCCACTGGGTGTTCCTATTTCCATTTTACAGAAGGAGAAACTGAGGTGCAGAGACCTGCTTGGGTCCTTCCCTAAGAGCCTTTCTGCCGCCCAGCCCTAGCCCAGCCTGGGGCCAGCCTCCGGCACAGTCCTCACCCCCGTGGGCCACAGAGCAGACAGAGTCCCGCTTCCCTTTCTGCTCCACTAATTATCCTTTTAACTCGCACTGGTGTATTTTTGCCGCACGATCTGCAGTTTTATTTTTATCCACCTCTCGGTAATGGTATTGGGGCCGTTACTCAGGGAGGCTCCTGGAACCGAGCTGCTCCCCAATTTACAATTGCAATTATGAACTCTGACAGAAACACATGCAGCTGGCATCAATTTTAAGCAATATTTTGATCATAATAATTAAAAAAGTAACTTATGGCGTGCACGCATTAGATAAATTAATGTTACTCCAAAGCTCTGCTAAAAGCCATGCAAGGAAGAGAGAAGCGAAAAAGGAAATGGTGCCCCAGATCTCTCAGGGGCCTGGGAGTCTTGTCTCCAGCACGACTCACTCTCTGGGCTTACAAATTAACTTTCACATTGAGTTTAATATCTGCATGTCCTGCAGGTTGAATGCTGCCTGTTCCCATCCTCCCCGCAACACACATGTAAATTTTATGGTTTATTAATGTATTCGGGTATAAACAAGCACATTTCCTTGTCACTGTTCCCCAGACCGGCTACAGGCAGCTGAAAGGATGTTCACATCTCTCTCGAACATGCTGCTCTAGACCCAAATGGGAGCAGGCTCTGAGGGCTTGGGTGGGATGGGGGAATGGCAAGGACTTCTGATGTCTTTTCCCAGCACACACAGGCTATAAACAGACCTGCAGCCATGCACTGTCACTCATGCCCAGGCACCACTACACACACACACACACCCCAAATCAACGTGCCCCAGGCACATGATTCATAACCACATACACCTCACACTCCATCCACAGACAACATCACATAATTGACACACATATTTATATACATCTGCCCTCTTACACATGACCCATAATCACAGAACATGCATCCCACACTTCTGTTCACATGCACATATGCACACACATTAATACACAGGCGCTCCCATGCACAAACGTACCCGTCCCCAGATACACAATTTATCACCATTGACATCCTTACACTTTCACTTACAGACTCACATACCTGCACACACATACACACATACAGACATTGGTTTATAGGCACATACACAACTCTTTGCTCACAGACACAATTCATTACAAACAAGACCCACACACATAGTCACACAATGAAACTCACAAATATGTGCACACACACACATTGATACACACACTCTCTCATACACACTCCCCTCTTTCTGCACAGGCAGGACGCTCACCGCAGAGCAGGCCAGGCCACAGGGCAGCATCAGTAGCTTTTTAACTTTTGAGGGGCCCTCACGCTGATGGCTGCTCCCCACAGCCATGCTGTTTGTGTCTGCAGAAACACAAACGTTCATACACCATCCCAAGGGCTTCGTCCTTTATGAAATCCACCCAGGTCCGAAGCTTGTCCCTTGATCTGGGGTCCCAGGCAGTCCCATCCCTACCCATAGCGGGGTGAGTGCACCAATGTCTGGGGGTAGAGGGGGTAAAGGAGGAAGTCCCATTGGCTTTTAGTAGTGGTTTACTTTTATTTATTATGATGAGCATCACTATTTTTGGTAAATGGTTTAAAACTCTATTTTTTTAATATAAAAAAGATGTTTGACCAGGCGCAGTGGCTCATGCCTGTAATCCCAGCACTTTGAGAGGCTGAGGCAGGCGGATCACAGGGTCAAGAGATCGAGACCATCCTGGCTAACATGGTGAAACCCTGTCTCTACTAAAAATACAAAAAATTAGCTGGGCATGGTGGCACGTGCCTGTAGTCCCAGCTACTCGGGAGGCTGAGGCAGGAGGATCGCTTGATCCCAGGAGGCAGAGGTTGCAGTGAGCTGAGATCATGCCACTGCACTCCAGCCTGGCAACAGGGCAAGAGTTTGTCTCAAAAATATATATATATTTAAATTCTTAAAAAAAGCACTGCTCCTATCTCCTACCCACTAGCTGGCAGGCCTATGGCCTGCAATATGGCAGAGTTGAGATTCCAGGTCTCTGAGTCAGATGCTGGGATTCAAATCCTGGCTGCAACACTCACTGATGAGTGGGCTTGGAAAGGGCTTAGTTCCTGTTTCCTCACTAATTCCTCACCTATTTCATAGGGTTGTCCTCAGGACCAAATAAGATAAGAAGCTGAGCACATTGCTCGGCCTGGGGCATGAGCCTAGTACATCTCATTTGCAGCTGTTTTTGTCCTGACATCCCCTTCAACCCTGTGCTTTCTCCCCATCTGTACCAGACTCTCCCTTCTCTTGTCTCCCTGTCTGACTCTTCCCCTGCCTCCCCAGCCCTCCACCTGGGGGTGCTCAGCCCCTGTACCCTCTGCTCTCCTCACTCTACACACCTCTTTCAGGGGCAACATCCACTCCGATCACCTACCACAGTGGTTTGGGCAAAAAATGAGAGTTTTGATATGTGACCACTGGGTAAGTTCTTGGGAGCCTCAGTTTCCCCTTTGGTAAAATGGAGATAAGTCTGCCTCTCCCACAAAGCTGAATGAGGCTGGGCCCGAGAAAGGCTGCAAAGCCTGAGAAACATGTCAGTTGTCACAGTGGACTCTGGCCCGTCACCTCGAACTTCTCCTCTAGATCAGCTGTTTCTCTTCCCTCCCAATTCGCAGGAAGTCCTTTCTACTTGCGGATCCTTCCCTCTGCCCCTACACACTTTCAAACCCCATCCTTGGTTCCCCCAATCCCACTCCTTGTGTTCCTATTTCTCCCCACATCTCCATCCTTCTCCCACACACAAAGCCTCCACCACCTTGGACTCTTCCCTCCATCTCTCTCCTCCAGCCACCAACAAGTTCTTTTCCTTCAACTTCAAAACCTTCTTTCACCCTTCCCTTCTTTCCCTCTCCACTCTCCACTGCCACCACCCAAGGCCATCACTGGTTTGCTGCAAAGTCACGGCCCCAGCTTCTCCCATGGGCCCATCCTGCTTGTGGCCAGGGCAGCTTGCTTTTTCAGGCACACCTTTCATCCCACGGTGCCAGCCTCACAGGGGAAGTCCAGATCCCTCTGCCTGGCTTTCTGTCTCCCCCAAAATCCACCTCATCTTTCACTGTGTGAGCAGAGTACAGGGGGAGGGGGTAGCATTTTACCCAACCAGAGCAACGGACATACTAAACACACCTACATCAGAGCATCCCTGAACCCTTGTTCTTTGCGACCTCCTCATCACAGAAAGCCCCCTCCCTCCCGCTGCCCATTTAACTCTCATCCAAGCTCACCACTCAGCTCAAGAAAGCCCCACTCACGAAGGCTTCTCCAGCCCACAGAAATCTCTCCCTCCTCTGACGTTATCATCAGGCCTGGGATTTTTTTCTCCTTAAAACATTTTTATTATGAAAGATGACATCCAAATACATACAACATCATAGCAAAAAACATGTGCCCAACATTTTTTTAGTTCCACTTTTTAATTTTATGCATCCACAAGGTTTAAAGAGTTACATAATTCTACTGGGTTTGAAATTAAAAACAAAACACGACAGTAATCCCTTGCTTTCCAACCCCTCACCCACCCCAGGCAGAGGCAACCACTCCTTAGAGGCAACTATTTCAATGCTTTTAGCTGATTCTTTGGATATTTACCTCCAAATCTCTTTAAAATGTGCTTATGTTGCTATGTCTTTGTTATTCCATTTTTGGCATTATCTATTGACTTTCCATTAAATAGTATGAAGATTTGGCCATCTTCCCCCTCCTGCCATCACACACACACACACACACACACACACACACACACACACACACTCCTCCTCTCCATCCTGACGATTTGTGTATATTGCAATTTTTGTTAGATCAATATTTACATGATTGTGACGCTAAAGATGGCTTTCTGATACTAGATCCTTTGTAAGTGATTGCTTTTCCCTTGTCTTTCTCAGGAAACTTGTAGAATCTTCTCTTCATGATTTTGCACCTTGGTGTGAGCTATTTTTTCACCATGTTGGACACTTGGTAGGCATTTTCAGTCTGGAAACTCATGTTCTTCTGGCCTGGTACTTTTCTTGAGTTAGTTTACAACTTCCCCTCCTCTGTTTAGGTTTTCTTTCCTTCATATAGAGGACTTCCTGGACCACTCCACTAATTTTCTTATCTTTTCTATTTTCTATCTCTTTGTCTTCTTTGTTCTATGTATTAGTCTATTCTCATACTTCTATTAAGAACTGCCTGAGGGCTGGGT